>NC_000004.12:183466835-183769865 GCF_000001405.40 Homo sapiens | reverse complement strand
TGGGATTACAGGCATGAGCCACCACGCTAGGCCATTCTGCCCTTTGTCTGGGGTTGTACTTAGGTTTTCGGTGGGGTAGAGGGGTCATGCCAAGGTATCCTGAAGCAAAGGAGAATCCACCAGGCCCTCACTGTCACCTGTCCACACAGACATCAGCTTAGACATGTGTTTCCCTGCCAGGCCCTTGGTCTCTGGTCTACACAGGTCATCACAGAGACAGTGTCCCTTTCAATCCACTGGCTCCTCCAGGTTTTGAGGCTCTTCTCCTATGACTCCTGGGGCCCTCATGGGTACACAAGAATTATTCTGCTGTTTCCATGACACGCTGAGGTGCAGGAAGCTCTTTGCTACTAAGACCCATCTGACAGCCATTTCTTCTCGGGAATCTGGTGATCCCCTTGGGAGCAAAAATCCTCCCTGCCCTCTGATACATGGACTTGGGTCTGGGCTTGCTGCTGCCCCGAACCCTGATCAGAGAAGCAGACCAGGGCTCTTCTTTCTGAAACCCACCAACCACGATGCTCTCCCCACTCCCTCTCATCTTCATTCTACTCCCGTTAAGGATAAACTTGGTCTTGTACTTTTTAAAAAATAACTGAAGTAGACATCACATTGCAATGCTATTTCTATTCCAGTGATACATTTAAAAGAGAAATACAATTGCTGTATTTGTAAACTATCTGGAATACTTTTACAATACTCTGGAAATCAAATCCTATACAACTACTTAAACTTTAAGAATATTGGGAGTGTCAACTTAATTATCTGCAAGAGGTGAAACAGTTTTCCAAAATAATTTTAAAGGTTATTTGACCAAAAAGTGTGAAGACCAACTACTCTGGAAACCAAAGGAAATTATTAATTATGAATGGAAGTTAAGGAAGACTTGCATTTGAGATGGTTCTTGAAAACTGAGTCAGACACTGCAGGCTAGACATGATTGGGAAGAGGTCAAGAGAGCTGACCTTCAGAGTGTCCAAGGAATAAACAGCCCTGGTGCAGGCCGGGCGCGGCTCACGCCTGTAGTCCCAGCATTTTGGGAGGCCGAGGTGGGTGGATCACCTGAGGTCAGGAGTTCGAGACCAGCCTGGCCAACATGGTGAAACCCAGTCTCTACTAAAAATACAAAAATCACCCAGGTGTAGTGGTGTGCGCCTATAATCCCAGCTACTCGGGAGGCTGAGGCAGGAGAATCGACTTAAATCCGGGAGGCAAAGGTTGCAGTGAGCCAAGATCGCGTTAACACTCCAGCCTGGGTGACAGAGCGAGACGACTGTCTCAAAAATAAAAAAAAAAATAAAAGTTAAAAAAAGGCCCTGGTGCATTTAGGCATCTCTGAGCAGCTAGTGCGACTGCCGGGTGCATGGTATGCACATGGTCAGGTTTTGCCACACCGATGAGCCTGGACTTGTTCCTTGGGCCAAAAGGAGAAATGACTATATCTTATCAAGATGGGTTACCCTGGGCAGACACTGAGAGGACACAGGTTAACACTTCTGGAAATGTAAACCTCTTCCTTTAGATACTGGAAGAGTCCTGCCCAGGCTATGCATGGAGCCCTAGCTCATTGGCTGGCCCTGTGCAGTGCTGCGGCCACGCCACCCATATTCGTCTCTTGTCCCTGATATCCTCCTCCACCTGCTCTTCACACCATCCAGCCATGCTCACTACACACAGAGCTCAATAAATTCTTTGGGGAAAACAAATCCATATTCTCTGTCCCCAAGACTGGGTCACTCCTTCTGCAAAAATTCCCTCTGGCTGCCTTCCAACCTGCTTATGTCCATCTTAACTGCATTGAAGTCTGTTTCCTCTCTTCCTCAACAGTTGCCAAAGCATCTCATTTACCTCTCTAAATAAGACAAAAGCAAAAAACAATTAAAATTAAATCAAACCCTGCCACGGTTTATTCCACATACATTTAAACTTAACTACATCAAGTTAAAGTTCAAATCTTTGTAACTAAGTTTCTTTCTTTCTTTTTTTTGAGATGGAGTCTCGCTCTGTTGCGAGAGTGAAGTGCGCGATCTCAACTCACTGCAACCTCCGCCTCCCATGTTCAAGCGATCCTCCTGCCTCAGCCTCCCAAGTAGCCGGGATTACAGGCATGCGCTACCACGCCCAGCTAATTTTTTTGTAATTTTAGTAGAGACGGGGTTTCACCATGTTGGTCAGCCTGGTCTCGAACTATCGGCCCCAAGTGATCTGCCCACCTCAGCCTCTGTGTCTTGTCCTTGTTTCCTGTTGAGCACTCCCTATCCTTTATTGAAATGCTGGTCCTCGACCAGACACACACACACACACACACACACACACACACACACACACACACACACACACACAGATGGACCTATAGATAGATCATGCACATCTATGGGAATGTTTTAAGTTTTTGAATATAAGTGGTAGATATCTGGGTGATCAGTACATCATTCTTTTAATTTTTGTGTGTTTGGAAATTTTTATAATAAAAAATTAGAAAACAGGATTCCCACCCTGCATCCAGTCTTTGATCTGTGATCTGGGATGTTCCCTCCATGCAGGGCACCTTTTGGGTCCTGTGCCGTTTCATGCCACCTCTTCCTCCAATAGCTAATCTTCTCAAAAGTGGAGAGCTGCCTATTACAGCGCCTCCTTAGCTTGGGGGATATTTTATACCTCTTACCTTTCTTTTTTTTCTTTCTTTTTTTTTTTTTTTTTTTGAGACGGAGTTTCGCTCTGTTGCCCAGGCTGGAGTGCAGTGGCGCAATCTCGGCTCACTGCAAGCTCCGCCTCCCGGGTTCACTCCATTCTCCAGCCTCAGCCTCCCGAGTAGCTGGGACTACAGGCGCCCGCCACCATGCCCGGCTAATTTTTTTGTATTTGTAGTAGAGACGGGGTTTCACCGTGTTAGCCAGGATGGTCTCGATCTCCTGACCTCATGATCCGCCCACCTTGGCCTCCTAAAGTGCTGGGATTCCAGGCGTGAGCCACCGCGCCCAGCCTATACCTCTTACCTTTCTAAGAATCATTCACATATTATCTCCCACTGTGACATAAAGGTTTTGTGCCCTCTTAATGGGTTTCAAGATGAACAAATGAGAGAGGAATGGAGGGGTTGGGGAGCTGTCTTCCCAGAGCCACAATAAGCAGATAAAAGAGGCTGTGTCTGCTCTGTCTACACCCACGTTTGGACAGCATGGTGTCCCTCTTTAAGCCACGTCTCAAATGGGCTCTGCTTTCAATCTGGTGCTGTTCCGAGTCCTGTGGCCTCTCCAGTCCAGACTGCTCCTCGATGAAATGAGGCCTCTGTACCAGCTGGTTATTGGGCCAGCTCTCCTGAGCCACTAAGTAGGTGGATTCCCAGGCCTCACCTCCTGGTGCACATGGTCAACAACATGAGAAACCCTGGCCTGGGTGGCCTCCAGGACTCCCTCGAGCTGTGATACACCACAAATCTGTGGCAAAACAGTGTGGGCTGTGTCATCCGAGCAGAGTGCCTCTCTCATGCCTTCTCTCTCTCTTGACCCGCTCACACTTCCTCCTCCCGGGCCACCATCCATGGCCTGGCCGGGATGCTGTCCCTTCACACGGACGAGCTCTCCACGACACTGCTGACATGGGAGCCCGAAGCAGAACAAGCGAGTTCAGAAAGAAGCGGAGTCGAGGCTGACATTCCAACATCCAGAAGCATTTTCTTGGTGCTCCTTTAAAATAAGACAAAATTGCCATGTATCAATAAAAATAAATAAATAAAAACAAACCAAAGTGTCTTAGCCCTTTGTCACTGCATTAAAACATATTTTATAAGATAAACTACCTTAACTATGCGTTAAGATACATTTTCTATTGTTTAGAACACTCCTTTTTTAAATGTGTTTTTGGAGAAAAGCTTTGTAACAGCCTATTTCAGTCTAAAAATATAAATACTTTCCTTTAGGAAGTCACCGCTCCCTTCCCCTCACATATTTGAGGAAATACTGCAGATCTAACTGCAATCATGCTAAAAAAAAAAAAAAAAGGAAACCCAACCACAAAACAAATCCCCTTCCAATGTTTCCACGGGAGCCAGTAAACAGCTAATGCCATGACGATGTGAGGTGGGCGGGGGCCTGGTTCCCCCCAGTGTCATGCACTACCTTCCGTTTTCTGCCGGTTGAATGTTAAATAAATCTACATGCAAATTCACAAAGAGCCCTTTCATTCTTGGGGCATACAAAAACGCAGAATTAGGCCTGAAGTTCTGAGTCCCTTCTACCTTCCATCGGCTGAATGAGCTACAGGAATTCACTTAATAGGCCTTTGGAAGGATCCTTCGTGGCAAACCCGACCGTGACCGCCACTGGGCCAGCCTCAGCGGGACCCCTCTGTCCTCCCGACTGCTCCCGTGCCCCAGCTTGTCTGAATTACGTGATGATCTGAGGCCAGTACAGAGGTAGGTCCTGGAGGGAGTGGTGACTGCTTTCTCTTTTCTTCAGCACATTTCAAAGAATGGCAAAGCACTTAGGAAAAGGTTTCTTTCAAACTTAATGCTGCTTAGGCCACAGGTACACATGCCTCGCTGTGTGATTGTTCAAGCCCTTAAGTCAACACAACAAGAATTTACAAGGCGCTGGCTGAGTGCGCAACACTATTAACAGCCGAAGTGAACACACACACACATGTTCATATTGTCGATCAAAGAGTTTTATATCCAATTAGGTAAGTCATTATTAATAAGTACAACACAATTGAAGGATAAAATAGTATGAATGCAATAAACTAATAACATCTGCAATATCACCTGAAAGTATCCCATTTGGGTTGAGTGTTTGGGGAAGGCTACTGCAGAATGAACAAAACAGAATAGCAATTAGTATACATTGGAATTTGATTGCAAACTGCCTTGTCCAGAGCTTTGCTCTGACACTTATGAGCTACAGGACCTAGGGCAAAATACTTAATCGATTTTGGCCTTAGTTTTCTCATCTGTCAAATAGGGATAAGACACATTCCTATCTCAGAAGGTTCTTATAAGAAATACACATACACACGTACATATTTACTCACTTATTGATAGTCCCTTTCCTCACTAGAATATAAACCCCATGACAATAGGAAATACTGATTGTTTGCTGCTTTGGTCAACTTAGCCAAGCTGGGACTGCATTTCCAGCATTCTCTTCCCTGCATGTTGCTGGGTTAGGGCAGACCACAAGAGAATTTTGCCCAATATTTGGGAGACAAAAGCAAGGGCTCTGCCATATCTTTAGGTTCTGAAGGTCAGTGCAGGCTCTGGGCAGTGTGGGAGCCACACACGTTGTCATTAATGTGCAAGCACATCCTGTCCCGTGGCCACCAGCCAGGCTCCTCCTTCTCCAGTTCCCACCAGAACATCCCTGCAGCTCCTCTGCGTCCCAGGCCAGGTGTGTGTGCAGCTCCTCGATGAAGGAGGCTCCACATCTCCTCCTGGTCAGTGTCACCATGTTGGAGCCAGTGAGGCAGACACAGGTTCCAGTTTGTTCTTGTGGGTCCCAGTTATCCTTGTGGGTTCCAGTGTGTTCTAGTGGGTCACAGTCTGTCCTTGCTGATGCCATTTCATACCTGGCTTTTCTTCCCCAAGTGGGTCTAGTAACCTACAAGGATTTCATCACCAGACGAAGACGCAACAGCCTTGCACTGACTCCTCCAGCAACTCCCACAATTGTGTAACGTCTAATCCCCAAAATGAATCCATTATTCCGTACCACTTACAGTGATTCAGCATCTCTGACTGAACCCTGCCTTCTATGGAAACCCGTGCCAGAAATCGTTTCAGAGGATGTGTCCTTGGAACCAGTTCTAGGCTACCTGAAATTGGTTCTCTGATCTGATTCAATTTTAAAGTGTTAGTGATTCTGTTTCCATCGGTAAAGAGGGTAACGGTCATGTATGAAACAAGATGGCAAAAGTGATTTTAATGATTTACCTATAGAGACCTGTCATCAAGTGCCTATAGACAGCAAGGCTTCAGGCCTGGCGCAGCGGCTCACGCCTGGAATCCCAGCACTTTGGGAGGCCAGGGCGGGCGGATCATCTGAGGTCAGGAGTTCAAGACCAGCCTGGCCAACATGGTGAAACCCATCTCTACAAAAATACAAAAAGTAGCTGGACATGACGGTGGGTGTCTGTACTCCCAGCTACTCCGGAGGCTGAAGCAGGAGAATAGCTTGAACCCAGGAGGCGGAGGTTGCAGTGAGCCAAGATCTCGCCACTGCACTCCAGCCTGGGTGACAGAGTGAGATTCCCTCTCAAAAAAAAAAAAAGCAAGCAAGGCTTCAGGTGACTATGTGTAGCTCCTGCCATAGAACACTTTACACATAATGGGGTTGCTTGCTGATTTTGAAGTGTTCTGCAGCACTTGGAGAAAGAAAATGATGAGCTTAGGGCTTTAAATTCCCAACTCAAGGTCTGGCTAAAGGACTAGAAATCTTCTATGACTGCCCTCCCCCTCGCCAAAAAAAGCATCTTTTCTTGTAGCTAGAGTCAAGATTTCTGAAAACCAAACCCAAAGTTCAATTCAATTGAATTTAACCTTACAGGATCTCCTTTGCTAAAGTTAAGGCAATGATTGGAAAGGAGAGGGACTCATAAAAATTGGGAAGGGAGTATGTAGGCATATTCGATGTGGCAGGGGGCCTGAAGTCCCCAGATCTGCCAAGTCTTCTTTGCTGGTAGAAGCAGCCCTTTTTAGCCTGGTTAAGGAGATTATTGTCCTCATGGCTGAAGGTCCTGCAATGGTCTCTTCTGAAGTGGTTGCCTTACAAAGGACTTCTGACCCTCCTTAGGAGGAGCAGTGGGTCAGGGTCAGCCCCACCCCCACCCGTTTCTCATTGATTCTAGAACAGACACAAATCCCAGCAGGCCCCAACAGGTATGAAATATAAGCCGTAAGATTATAATACACCAATTTATATCAACAGAAACCAGAAGGACATGTGTGGAAGCCCAATAAGGATGTTGGATCAGAAAGGAAGGAACACTATGTTGGACTGGACTAAATTTTTTAATATAAATATATAATAATGTATGTTACATAATATAAATTGAAACAGATTATTGATTCAATGCATTAGCTCAAGTGGCTGGGAGTGGTACTAATATTTTTCTTATTTGATTGACTGAAACTGGACCCAAGGGGCTACACTAAAACTTTAAAGAAATAGCAAAGAGAATACTTCCAGTACAGAATGAACATTAGAGGGGGAAAGGCAATATTTGTTTTAAGCATGTTTGGTCTTTAAGAATGAATGAAAAGAAATTGGTTATTTTCTTACCCACAAGCAGGAGATTTAGCCCTAGTGAAGTTCATCTCACTTTTTACACTAATTCCAAGTAGATCATGGATCCAGCACCACGGATCATTTTTTTCCCAGCCTTGTGCATCATTTTCCAATATTCTTGCCGACTGAAGTCTGTGAAATGTGGTTAATTTTAATGAGAGATTCTAATTAAATCCTTTAGCCATGCCAACACAGTAACCTCTTTCTCTTTCCAGGTCTCCCTCCTTTGGAACTAGTCTCTTGGGTTGAGTCCAATAAGCACATCATCTTCCCCAGCTCTACAGACTGGCTCCAGTTTTGAGACCTTTCAGACTTTTCCATTTTGTGATTTCTTAGCTTCGTGTGTTAGGGAAGTTTGAACTTCATTTGTATTGTCACCTTAATTAACATGGCTGGACCAGAATCCAGTAGACCACGTTAGTCAACACTGGACAAGGAGGAAGAGTCGGAGGTGCATGATCTCAGCTCTGAGGGTTATATGCATTCTCCCTGCTCATGTCCCAGAAACGCTTCATTCCTCGAGAGTTTCAGCAGAAAAAAGCCCTCATGAATCTAGGGAATGGCATTAGCTACATGAGTGTTTTTAAGTGGATTTTTGTTTCCAGATACTGCTCAGCCTCTTCAATTCTATTTCTTAACTTTAAAAAATTACAAACTCTTTCTTTTTTTTTTTTCTTTTTTTTTTTTGAGACAGAGTCTCACTCTGTCACCCAGGCTGAGTGCAATAGTGCAATCACAGCTCACTGCAGCTTCCAACACCTGGGCTCAAGAGATTCTCTAGCTTCAGCCTTCTAAGTAGCTGAGACTTTAGGTGCGTGGCACATGGCTATTTTTTTTTCTTTTTTCTTTCTTTTTTTTTTTTTTTTTTGTTGTTGTTGTTGTAGAGATGGGGGTCTCACTATGTTACCCAGGCTGGTCACGAACTCCTGGCCTCAAATGATCCTCCTGCCTCAGTCTCCCAAAGTGCTGGGATTACGGCCGTGATCCTGGTTTGGCCAACTTTCTTTTCTTCACAACTATTTTTTATATGAAGATTTGGCCCTTAGCATTAGAGCCTGGAAAGGGCAAAGAGGAACCGAGGATGATGAGAAGTTGGTTAATAGATACAGAATTACAGCTAGATAGAAGAAATGAGTTCCGGTGTTTTGTAGCACTGTAGGATAAATATGGTTAACTATCATTTATTGTATACTCTCAAAAAGCTAGAAGAGAGGATTTTGAATGTTCATAACACAGAGAAATGATAATCGTTTGAGGCAATGGATATTCAAACTAGCCCGATATGATCATTATACATTGTATGCATGTAATGAAATATCACTCTATATCCTATGAGTATGTACAATGATCATGTGTCAACTAAAAATAAGAGAAAACAGCATGTTAGCCCTCAAAATGAAATTTTTAAAAGGAGAACAATTATGCCATATCCTCTTAGGATCTGAATCTCAATGTGTCACCTACATGAAGGATTTTTTACAACTCTAGGTGTAAGTTGAAAGAGGAAAGTATCCTGAAAATCGTTGCCTAATGTTGGCATCCCTTATATTCCATATAAGCACTGAAATTACTCAAGGAGAAGGATTTGGTCTCTTTCTCTGAACCTACATAGAACTTGTCAATTTAATTTAATTTAAATTTATTTTAACCTATAATTTTTATTTTAATTCATTATCACACCAATATCATAGTGAGAGATTTGAGCTATCAGAGTGTGTGAAGGTTAATTCTGTATCTATTATATATTTAAAATATTTAATCAGAAATCTAAGGCTTGGTTAAATGTTGCAGCATGTAACTCCAACACATTCTAATTCCAACTGGTCAAATTATTAAAGTCAGAGCAACGTATTGCAGGTTTATGTTTTTCAATTTATAAAATAAGAAAAACAATATTGACCTCTTTTACCCCTGTACTAAAAGTGTGAACAGAGTTTTACGACACAACCTGCTAGTTAATTGCTTCATAATCTTGCATTGACTTATGCCACTGTAGCAATTTTATGCTGGTTCTTCCAGTATCAGAGCAGAGGTGTGGCTGCTCTGCTAAAATGACCTTTATCCAAGTTCCAACTTTAAACAACTCTGCTTACCAGTATTTGCAAACTGAAACATCCCATTAAAACCAAAGCAAACATCCAGGGGAGGATTTTGTATGTATATAAACTTTACTTGAAGAGATTTTCATTTTCTCCCATAAAGTGTAACAATAAGTAAATCCCATTGTTTGACAATCACTATATGGTAAATATTTATACTAATTTCTCATGTACTCAAACAAGCCAAACATTTTTTAAAGTTCCACACTCTTGAACTTCCCCCATAATGTTTCTGATTTAATGGCAAGATTATAAGCTGTGAAGATTAGGAGGATCTTATAAAGTATCCGGTCCTTCTCACCTCTCAGCATTTTCTATGATTTTCTTTAAATTTTTTTTTTTTTTTAAAGACGGAGTTTTGCTCTTGTCACCCAGGCTGGAGTGCTATGGCTCAATCTTGGCTCACTGCAACCTCTGCCTCCCAGGTTCAAGAGATTCTCCTGCCTCAGCCTACCAAGTAGCCGGGATTACAGGCACCCACCACCAAGCCCAGCTAATTTTTGTATTTTTAGTAGAAACGGGGTTTCACCATGTTGGCCAGCCTGGTTTCGAACTCCTGACCTCAGGTGATCCACCCACCTCAGCCTCCCAAAGTGCTGGGATTACTGGTGTGAGCCACTGCGCCCAGCCTGATTTTTGGAAATGTTTAATAATAAAAGCTATGTTTTCCACCTTGGTGGCTACAAGTAGAATTTTTAAAATTAACATTAAATCAAGAAGTTCTTACTCTCAGTTAATTAAGCTTTTTTGATGCCCAAAGTATATAGAAGTCTCTTTAAATCTATTTAAATGACATCACATGAACTATTTCTTCTTACTCTTGCTGTAGATTGATGCTTTCTGAGACATTTAGAAGCATAGAGTTGCCAAACAAAATACCAGACATCCAGTTAAATTTGAATTTCAGATAAACAATGAATTTGAATTTCAGATAAACAATGAAAATATTTTAAATATAAATATGTCCCAAATATTGCTTGGGATATACTTATACTAAATTTCTTTTCATGATTTATCTATTCATAAAATTCAAATTTAACTGGGTATCCTGTGTTTTATAAAACAGCTTTAAGATACTCATGGATTATAAAATTCCACCACGTTTAGCGTGCAGTTCACTGGGGTTTAGTATATTCCCAGTTACTCGACCATTACCACATATCTAATTTTAAAACATTGTTATCACCCAAAAAGACACCCTGTGGCTGTTATCAAGTCACTCCCCATCCCTGCTGCGTCATTCTGCAGCCCTGAATGGCCAATAGTTTATTTCCTGTCTTTATAGACTTTCCCAGTCTGGACATTTCACATACATGGACTCATGCGGTATGTGGTCTTTTTTGTGACTGGCCTCTTTCACTCAGCAGGCTTCCACGGCTCACCCATGTTGTAGCATGTGTCGGCGTACGCTGCACTTTTATTTGCGAAGCCTGGCACCCCTAATCATAGGCATACAGAACAGAACCCTTTTGCCTACAAGAAGGCCAAGGACTGATCTTTACCACCAGACTCAGAGCCAAACATCCCGGGAGCTGCTTCCAAATCTCCTCCCTCTCCTTTGCACTCTCGGAGTTTCTCATTCTGGATTTGGAGACCTGGGGCTCAAGGAAAGCCCCAAGGAAACAGCACTGGGGCGGTTAGTGGAGAAGTCGCTGGGAGGCCGAGGGAAAGGGCGGAGAAAGGCGGGCGCCCCAGTTCAGGACCTGAAGCGGCCTGAAACAGCGGTCCGCCTTCCATACTTCCCTGGGGTTTTGGGGGTGGCTTCTGCCCTTCTCTTTTAGATCTCCCCTTGATGTCAGCTGTCGCCAGATTTTTCCTCTATGGAATGTTAGGGAGGAAGGGTAAGTAACACGGTGGGACTGCCTCGCCATCCGGGCTTGATTTCGCATCTACCACCGTTGCTCTTTCCCTGCCCTGTCCCCAGCCTTCCCCACGCCCCGTCCCCAGCCTTCCCACCGAGGCTCCCTCCCTGCGGACGTCAGCGATTCTCACGGATGTGGCCCTGAAGACCCACGGTCCCGCCTTTGATCCTGATAGCGCCTCCTGCTCACGGCCTTGGGAACTGCAGCCCACGCACAACCAGCCACTGCTGTCACCGCGCCAGGACGTTCCTTTCAGGTTCAAGAGGACAGCTTTAAAACCTCAGCAAACAGCTCACCCAAATGATTTATTTTTTGTTTGCTTATTTGTTTTTTTTTCTTTGTGTGACTTGACTTTTTGCCTTCCGCAGAGTTAGAGACGTTTACTGCCTTCGCCTGGGCAGAAGTTAGGTGGCTTTGGTCCTAAGGAGGCAGGCGAGAGGCCTTGCCTGGCAGGGATTTGAGGCGCAAGGCCAGCCTCCCCTTCTGCCTTGTGTGACAGGACACTTGGTGCGGGCTCGGCAGAATCCAGGACACCGCCCCACACCCTCCACTTGTAAAACATGTATTTCAAATTCCATGTCGCTTTCCGTTTAAGCCTTCCGCAAAGCCATAGCCAGCATCCCCAGCTCCCCCGGGACCCTCACTCTAACATTTCTGTCTCCCACAGAGAAAGTAACCTGCTCTCACTCCAAACTACATGCTCAGCTGGCGGAGTGCATTTCTATCAAACTAAAAGAAAAAAAAAAGAAGAAACCACTAACTATCAGTCTTATAAACTCTTCCCCCCCCCCCCCCCAAAGACGGAGTCTTGCTCTGTCACCCAGGCTGGAGTGCAGTGGCACAATCTGAGGTCAGCTTTCATGCAATGCTTATCGAATGCATTTCAGGGGAGTCCCGGCTTGGCTAACTTGTTCCCAAACTTCAGTTTGTTTGTTTGCTTGCTTTTTTGAGACAGGGTCTTACTCTGTTGTCCAGGCTGGAGTGCAGTGGCACAATCTTGGCTCATTGCAGTCTTTGCCTCCCGGGTTCAAGCGATTCTCCTGCCTCAGCCTCCTGGGTAGCTGGAACTTCAGGCGCCTGCCACCATGCCTGGTCAATTTTTTTACAGAGACGGGGTTTCACCATGTTCGCCAGGCTGGTCTTGAACTCCTGGCCTCAAGCGATCCGCCCATCTCAGCCTCCCAAAGTGCTGGGATTACAAGCGCAAGACACTGTGCCCAGCCCCAAACTGTAGTTTCTTAAGGTGTTGTATTTTTAGTTCCCAATCCACTTCAGATTCCAAATATTTGTGGTTCCCAGGGAGCGGGCTGTCACGCTTTGTGGCTTGGCAGCCCGGAGGTAGCATTCTCACCTGTCAGCATTCTAGAAGTAAATGAAAGACTGAGGAGTAGGCTCCATGGTGGCTGAGTTTGGGCAAAAGGAAGTGTAGTTTCTTCTGTGCCATGGGAACAAGACCAGCAAGCCATGCCACGCATCTGACCCCACGGGGCCACAGAAGCCTCGAGGCTCTGCAGAGAGGGGCTGCTGTCCCGCGCTCATCTCTCCCCAGCCACAGGACTCCACCCTCAGCTTACTCCTCAGAGTCCTGCCCGATTAAGTGAAGAAAACGCTAGCATTTCAAGAGTTCATCACGTTCACCAATTAACAACCACAAGATATATTGGGACTACATGCATATGGTATGGGGTAAAAATGAAAAAACCCAAAAACTTAAAAGTGAGAAATGCATAAAAAACAAAAAACAAGACACAAAGACACTGAATGATCCAGATTTACTTTTTTTTTTTTTTTTTTTTTTTTGAGATGGAGTCTTGATCTTGTCACCCAGGCTGGAGTGCACTGGCTCAATCTCGGCTCACTGCAACTTCCACCTCCCGGGTTCAAGCAATTCTCCTGCCTCAGCCTCCTGAGTATCTGAGATTACAGGCGCCCGCCACCACGCCCGGCTAATTTTTTTTTTTTTTGTACTTTTAATAGAGACGGGGTTTCACCGTGTTGGCCAGGCTGGTGTTCAACTCCTGACCTCACGTGATCCACCCGCCTCAGCCTCCCAAAGTGCTGGGATTACAGGCGTGAGCCACCGTTCCCAGCCGATTTACTTTCTATCCATGGACCCATATGTAAAGATATATATATCTCAGTAATTTCCAAACATATTATAATGAACCCTTATGTAGTTATCTCAGTAATTCCTGAACATATTTCCCTCAAAAGCCCACTTGTAAGGCACAAATTATAGTTATTTTACCAATCTACCCGTCAATCGTTGTATACTGAACATGCCTACAGTTCGTAAGGCACTGTGAAACTAGTACCTGAATTAAAAGTACTAAATGCATTTCTTGCAAGTACATGTAATTCTAAACTATCTCAAAATAAAAATTTTAATTAAGGCCAGTGCAGTGTCTCATGCCTGTAAGTCCCAGCACTTTGGGAGGCCAAGGTGGGTGGATCACTTGAGCCCAGGACTTTGAGACCAGCCTGGGCAACACGGTGAAACGTCATCTCTACAAAAAATGCAAAAATTAGCTGAGCGTAGTGTGCGAGCCTGTAGTCCCAGCTATTCAGGAGGCTGAGGCCAGGGGATCGCTTGAGCCCAGGATGTTGAGGCTGCAGTAAAGTATGATTGTACCACTTCACTTCAGCCCTTCACTAAGTGACACAGAGAGACTCTGTCTCAAAAAAATTGTTTTTAACTAAAAAATACCGAATTCCAACATTTTAAAGAAACCAGTGGCCTCATAAATAAACAGTGAATTCTCATAGCAAAAATTCCTGAGGAAGATAATGGCTCACTAATCCCTCCTATTTGGTAGAATGTTCTAACTTGGGATCCGCTCACTGAACCAAAAAGAGAAGATCATTTCAGCTGTGTATCATTTACTGGACAGATTGTATGAGAGAGTAAATCTTGGATATGGAGTGACTGGGGGGACTCCCCCAAAGCACCTGTGTTCAATATTACTGCATCATGTGCTGCATAATGACAGGATATGTTCTGAGAAATGTGTCTTTAGGCAATGCCATTGTTGTATGAACATCACAGTGTGCACTTATACCCCTAGTTGGTACAGCCCACTACACTCCTGGCGATATGGTGGAGCCTATTGCTCCTAGGCTACAAATCCGTACAGCATGTGACTGTACTGAATACCACAGGCGATCGTAACACAGTGGTATGTATTCGTGTGTCTAAACCTAGAAAAGGTACAGGAAACATACAGCATTATAATCTCACGGGACCGTTACTGGATACGCAGTCTGTGGTTAATCAAAATGTGGTTATGCGGTGCATGACTGTACATGTGTGCTCACAAGCACATATACATGTATACTCCCACACCAATGCCAACACATATGTGTACACACAGACCCCTTCTCCCGCTTTTTACTAAAATTAACTCCTGTCATTTATCTGTAGAGCTCTTTCAGCTTGAAAATCCCAGGAAGGGCCGGGCACAATGGCTCACGCCTATAATCCCAGCACTTTGGGAGGCCAAGATGGGCAGATCACCCGAGGTCAGGAGTTCGAGACCAGCCAGGCCAACATCATGAAACCCTGTCTCTAGTAAAAATACAAAAATCAGCCAGGCCTGGTGTCAGGCGCCTGCAATCCCAGCTACTTGGCGGGGGGCTGAGGCAGGAGAATTGCTTGAATCCCAGAGGCGGAGATTGCAGTGAGCCGAGATTGCAGCACTGCACTCCAGCCTGGACGACAGGGCAAGACTCTGTCTCAAAATAAATAAATAAAAACAAAATTTAAAAAAATCCCAGGAAGCTGTCAGGCTAGTCGGTGTCCCGCTCCGCCTTGAGGAAACAGAACGCAGGACAGGGCAGATCCTTTAGAAACTGGACGCTCTGCCGGCAGGGCGCGGTGGCTCATGCCTGTAATCCCAGCGCTTTGGGAGGCCGAGGCGGGCGGATCACAAGGTCAGGAGATCAAGACCATCCTGGCTAACACAGTGAAACCCCATCTCTACTAAAAATACAAAAAATGTAGCCGGGCGTGGTGGCGGGCGCCTGTAGTCCCAGCTACTCGGGAGGCTGAGGCAGGAGAATGGCCTGAACCCAGGAGGCAGAGCTTGCAGCGAGCCGAGATCTCGCCACTGCACTCCAGCCTGGGCGGCAGTGCGAGACTCCGTCTCAAAAAAAAAAAAAAAAAAAAAAAAAGAAGCGGGACGTTCTGATCCACACTGCCAGAGGAAGTGAGCTCCAGTATGGGTGGGCAGAAAAGGCGTGGTCAAACAGGAGGAGGATTCAGGTGGGAGCTGCAAAGGCAGCAAAGTCAGGCTTGGCCGTGACTACCGTTTCCACAGAGCAAGGCCCAGACCTGCACGACTGGATTCAATGGCAAAGTTCTAAAAATATGCTCAACAAACACAGTCTACTGACCCTCCTCTTAGAAGAAATGATTGCAGGTCACAAGGACGTTAGTATTTCAGCCTTCATTTTAATGCTTAGAGGAGTCTGCCTTTACATAGTTGACTCTCCTATTTGAGTGTTGAATTTTCGACTTCCCATTTATTGAATCCCGACAAAAAAGGGGCGAGAGGCGAACGAACATGGGAATCCAAGGCTCAGTCTTATAGGAACTGTGCATCCATTATCACCGGCTCTTCTGCACATTATCAGATTAGGTCATGAGAGTAACGCTACACCCATCTACAGTTCAACTCTATAGCAAATGCCTACATGGGAACCAGGTAAGTGGAAAAGGGGCCTCCTGATGGGGCAGAATTCACAGGTATTAGAAAAACGGTGCCTGAGTTAGAGAGAGAGGGACAGACAGACAGACAGACAGACGGCCAGAGCTGCAGCATCGGCATTGGGCATCCATTCCAGTTAACTTGCAAAGCAGACACTCCCCATTTTGTAGAGTATATGGGAGGGAGGCAAGGTCTTCTAAAGAGATTCATTAGCGAAGCTTGTGTGCTTCAGGACTGTGCTTTGAACAAGTGCATGGAGCTGTGATTAGTGAGAATAACCTTAAAGGAAGGGGAAGGATTCGACGCAGAAAACAAGAGCCAGTAGCACGCAGACCACCGAGACAGAGGCTGTGCCCTAAGCTGCAACGCTGAAATGCAATCAGCTGATCCTTTATTACAAGGAATAGGAAACTAATATCAAAATACAGAATTGTTAACGTCCCTCTCTAAATGAGTTATAATACTGTCTCGTTGAGTTCAGGTTTTCTCAGCAAATTCCAAAGTGGTAAACCTTTAGGATTCTGGTTTATTTCTGTGTGTGCTACATACAATCTTTGCATAAAATATAATTTACTCCATTCAAGAGAAGCCACGTGGTCTATTATAAAGACTAAAGCTGCCTGGCACAGTGGCTCACACCTGTAATCCCAGCACTTTGGGAGGCCGAGGCGGGCGGATCACGAGGTCAGGAGACTGAGACCATCCTGGCTAACACGGTGAAACCCCGTCTCTACTAAAAAATACAAAAAATTAGCCGGGCGCGGTGGCAGGCACCTGTAGTCCCAGCTACTCGGGAGGCTGAGCCAGGAGAATGGCGTGAACCCGGGAGGCGGAGCTTACAGTGAGCCGAGATCGCGCCGCTGCACTCCAGCCTGGGCGACAGAGCGAGACTCCCTCTCAAAAAAAAAAAAAAAACACTAAAGCTAAATTCTACAACTATAGCAAACATGGAGTTCTGGTTCCTAACTCACAGAAATTTAGAAATGAGAGAGAAGCTCTACGCTAACCCAAATGCCCACAGCAACAAGAAAGGACAAGTTACAGCCATAAATGGAAAGAAAACAGACAAACTCTAGTGTGCCAACCCAAGAACCAGAGAGCATGGGGACTTAAAACCTTGTCACAGACCTCTGTGACAGATGACTGACAGCCTAGGTCTATAAAGGAAGTGCAATTGGAATTGTTATCTTTGATTTCAAAAAATTGAAAAGTGAGCAAAGAAATTTGGAAATATTTTTGGCCAAAGGGTCAAAGAAAAATAATTTGTTCCTTCTAGAAAATTGGCTATCTAGAGCAAGTCGTCAAGGAATGTGGGCAATTGAGATGTGTACTGGGCTGAAGACTGTCCCCTCCCACCAAATTCATGTCCACCTGGAGCCTGTAGATATGACCTTATTTGGAAATAGGGTCATTGCAGATGTATTCCAGTTACGATGAAGCCATACTGGATTAGGATGGGCCCTCATCTAACTACTGATGTCCCCATAAGAAGAGGGAAATTTGGAAACATCACGTAGAGGGAAGAGAGCTGAGATTGTAGTTACGCTGCCAAAAGCCAAGGAACACCAAGAATGGCCAGCAACTATCAGAAGCTAGGAAGAGTCCAGGAAGGATTGCCCACAAGAACCTTCAGAGAGAGCTTAGCCTGTGGACACCTTGACTTCAGACTTCTGGCCGCCAGAACTGTAAGAGAATAAATGTATGTGTTGAAAGTCACCCAGTTTGTGGTACTTAGGTTTGGCAGCCCCTAGGAGACTAAGACAGCAAGGTGCTATTCTGCCTAGTTCATTCAATTAATTCTGATAGTTGCTTTTGAAAAAAGTAGATTTTGTTTGTTGAGTGGTTACCATTCTAAGCTCTTTTCATGGGTCAACTCAATCCTTACAATAACCCTCTGAGCTGATATTACTATTATCAGATGAGAATATTTTCATCTATTTTTGAAACTCTGTTGTGACAGATGAGAACCCAAGGCAGAAGGGAGTTGAGGAACTTGCTCAAGTCCACTCAGCTAGTGCATTTTGGAAAAAGAAATTGACTCAGGCAGGCTGACTGCAGATGACGCTCCACTGCCCATGTGACACACTTTGCAGCCTAAGTCATCTGGATTTGTTGTTTTCAAAGAGCAAATGATCCAGATAATTCCCTTCGCATCCTTGTGGATAATTCAGGTCAAAGGTTAGCACAACAAAATATATGGATTTTATGGCTCATTGGTGATTCTCTCCTGCTATCTTCATATGGTGCTTGTCATTCATTCCCTGACTATGCCAGGCCCTCTCATTCACTGGTGCCTTTAAAATAGTTATGCCTATTTCATGGAATGTTATTCCTGGCTTTGGCATTTTAAAATTGCATCTTATCTTTCAGGTCACAGCTCACATGCAATGGTGTGGTTAAAGGCATATGCATGTAACAACAGAGCTTCAAAACACATAAAGCAAAACTAACACAGCTTAAAGGAAACTTGAGCAAATCCACAATTATAGTTGGAGATGTTAACATGCCTCTCTTAGTAATACAACCAGCCGACAGAAAATCAGCAAGGATTTAGAAGAATTGAACGATACTATCAATCAACTGGATCTAGTTGACATTTATAGAACACTCCACCCAACAACAAAATACACATTATTTTCAACTGCATAGGAAATATTTACCAAGATAGACTATATCCTGAGTCATTAAACAAACATTTACAATTTAAAAGAATTTGTGCGTTAATTGTATAGATCAAAGGGAAGAAAAATAAGAAAAAATAAAATAAAATAATCTGTGGCTGGGTGCAGTGGCTTATACGTGTAATCTTAGAGCTTTGGGAGGTCAAGGTGAGAGGATCACTTGAGACCAGGAGTTCGAGATCAACCTGGGCAACAAAGTGAGACCTCATCTCTATAAAATTTTTAAAAATTAGTTGGGAGTGGTGGTGTGTGCTTGTAGTCCCAGCTACTTAGGAGGGTGAGGTGGGAGGATTGCTTGAGCCCAGGAGTTTGAGGTTACAGTGAGCTATGATCACACCACTGCATTCCAGCCTGGGTGACAGAGTGAGACCCTGTAATCCCAACACTTTGGGAGGCCGAGGCGGGCGGATCACCTGAGGTCAGGAGTTCGAGACCAGCCTGACCAACATGGTGAAACCCTGTCTCTACTAAAAAATACAAAAACCAGCCGAGCATGGTGGCAGGCAACTGTAATCCCAGCTACTCGGGAGCCTGGGGCAGGGGAATCGCTTGAACCGGGGAGGCGGAGGTTGCAGTGAGCCGAGATTGCGCCATTGAACTCCAGCCTGGGTGACACAGCTAGACTCCATCTCAAAAAAAAAAAATTAAAAAATGAAGATAAAAGAATAGAAGTCATACAAAATATGTTCTTATGTTCTTGGACCATAATGGAATTAAACTAGAAATCAATAACAAAGATACCGAGAAAATCCTCAGACTGTTGGAAATCAAATAATTCACTTAATCCATAAAATACCCATGTGAGGTGGATATTATCATCTTCATGTTAGAGATGAAAAGATGAGGCAGAGAGAAACTGAGGAACTTGCCCAAGTTCACTCGGCTAGTGAGAGATGGAGTCAGAAATTGGACTCAGGCAGGCTGGGTCCCGATCACACTCTGCTGTCCCTCTGACACATGTTGGAGCCTAACTTATCCAAACCAGTGCTTCCACAGATCAGATGATCCAGGTAATTCACTTGGCTTCATTCGGGACAATTCAGGACACTTTTACTAGTTATGAAATTCAGGTTGACAGGTTTTTCCTCCCCCTATAAGCACTTTAAAGATGGTTTTCCATTATCTTCTGCCTTGTTTCTGATCTTTGTTCTCCTCTATGTAATGTGTCTTTTTACTTTGGCTGCTTTATCTCTGTTTGTTAGCAGTTTGCTGATGATTTGCCTAATGGTAATTTTCTTTAAATTTATCCTGTTTGGGAGGTGCTGAGCTTCGTGGGTCTACAAGTTGAATTACTTTTTCTCAATCTTGGAAATTCTGCCATCATTTTCCTCAAATAAATATTCTGCCACATTCTCTCTCTGCTTCTTCTAAGATTCTAATTACGTTAGATATTGTCCCACAATTATTGAGGCTCTGCTCATTAAAAAATATATATTTTTGCTCAATGTGCTTCAGCTTGAATGATTTTTCATCTGTCTTCAAATTCATGTCCTTTCTCCTGAAGTTAAGCCTATACAATTTTTAAAATTATTTCAGATATGTATTATTCCATCCTAGAAGATCCATTTGGTTCTTTTGAAGAATCTCTTGGCAGCCATTAGACTATAACCTCCATAAGGGCAGAGCTTTTTATCCATTTTGTTCATTGCATTATCCCTGTTCCCTAGAACTGGCATAATATCTGTTCACGGACGAACGTGTGACTCCATCTCCCTGGCTGTGACTGATGGGCTAAGGAACACGTGGATGTAGTAATGATGTGGGAACAAATGAGAGTGGCCCAGCTCTTCTTCTGTTCACTTCAAGGCCTGATGATCTCAAAGTCCACCAATCCTTCTCCTCCTGAAAATCTGTATTTCGGATGATGCCAATTGCCTTAGTTTGGGTTCCAAAGAAGCAGACCTTGAGAACCCCAACACCAAGATTCAAGTGCAAGTAGATTAGATTATTTTGGAAAGGATCCCAGGAAATATCTATTGGTAAGCTGGGAACTGAGACAGGGTAAGAAGGGCAGCTGATAAAGGAGGTATTATCAGAAGTGTCAGTAAGTGGACAACTGGAGCCTAATTCCAGCGTAGAATTCCGAGAGTCAGTGCAGGGTTTTCCCTCGCGACAGGCAAGGGAGCTGCGGCTTTTATACACCCATTCCCATCAGTCACTGGTTGATGGCTGCTTGGCTGCTGGGGTTGGGGTGGGAGAGTTAATTTTCCCATGCTTTTGAAACTGACCCAGTATAGTCCCACGGATAGTTTTTAAGATAAACATAGAAATTGACCCTTCTGGTCTTAAAAAGCTTGAAACTTAACATTTGTCTTCTGCGAGTTCCTTCCTCAGAAATGACCTCCAGACCTCTCAAAAAAAAAAAAGTATCAAAGAATTGAAACTCACCAGTTACCCACATCCAGACAACGAGATGCCAGGCCCCTCATTCCTCATGGGATTGCTTCCTTGCCCCTCCCCAGTTACTGTTTTCTCACACATTGTTATATTCCTTCCCTGCTATATAAACCTCTAGTTTTAGTCAATCAAGGAGGTGGATTTGAGCCTGAGGTCCCACCTCCTCAGCTGTAGCACCCGATTAAAGCCCTCTTCCTTGGTAATACTGTTGTCTCAGTGATAGGCTTTCTGTGCGGCGAGCAGCAGGACCTAGACTGAGCCCCCCAGTGTTTCTGTAACACTTTTAGTCTGTCATGTTAGCGTTGCTGGAGAGAGCAGGAGCCAGAGAATGACCTCAGGCAGTCAGAAGCCTTGCGAGTGCACTGCAGTGAGCTGTAAGTTGATATGAGTAGGGAACTTTCATCAGGGGCTACGCTGATTTGCCCTGAGAACAAGTATGCAGTAAGACAAATACTTACTGCAGTGCTAGGCCCACATAAATATTAGCCTAGAATGGAAGCTAAATCACAGATTTGGGAGCCAACCCAACTTGGGTTCAGTTATTATATCTTCTATCAACCTGCCTTGTGACCCTAACAAAATTACTTAATTTCTTTGAGCTTTGGTTCCCTCACTTAGAAAAAGGTGTAATGCAGAAGAATGATGGAGAGTCAATAACAGATGCCTGGCACCCAGTCAACACTAGGAAGGAAAGCATGTGCATGGCTTCCTGGCATCCCTTCTCCTGGCTGTGAGCCAAAGCAATAAATGATGGAATTTCAGGCATCAGTGAGCCAGCAGGGATTTGTATGAGGGGCATGAAGAAAAGAGAAGACAATTTTCTGGCATTCCTGAATTACAATGTGGAGGGAACACCTCTTTGCCCTACTTCCTGGTTTCCAGCTTGAGTACCCAGGAGAGTGGGGTACTATTTACAAAAAGGGAGAGACTGGAGAGAGAAGATGCTTCAGTGCAAGGGTGACTAAGGAATTCAAATATTGGGATATTTAGTCCATTAGAGGTCAAAACTCTGAATATTGCCCTAGATTTTGATAAAACACTAGCTCAAATTAAGCATTCTTTGCAAATGTATTTATACTTTAATATACATCGCTAGATTTGAGTTACAAACTTGAGTTTAAACTCCAGCTCTACCATTTATTAGCTATAAATGGACAAATTATTTAACTCTTATAGACCTCAGCTTCCTGGTCCACAAAATGAAATTAGGCCTGCTCTGTCTCATAAAGGGATTAAGTAAACTGTGAAGTGCTACTATAAAAACATGACAATGTTACTTATTACTGTATCATAAAGACATGAGCACTGTTACCAATTACATTCCAAAGGATTTCCGCAGGCTTCCAGTCCAGGTAAGACCATTACCAGTTTTTCCAGATACCCACAGCAATAGGATGACAACATTTAAACAACTCTCAGACAGTATTTTTAATAAAATTAGATGACAAAAGTTTCCCCAGGAACTCCAGAATAACTACGAGGAGGATCAAACCACCACTATCAACAAAACCCGCTTGGAACCCTTGCAGTGTTAACACCTGTGTGAAGAACCTAAGGGAAGAAAGGAAGGGGAATTCTGATGGGGCTAAAGGCCAGTGAAATCAGCTCTCCAAGACAAACAAACGCAACACAACCAACCTTGACTTGTAGCGTTGGCTGGGGTTTGTGGTCTAAATACTCCCAATACAGCTCATGTCACTGGCTGCAGATCTGAAGCCAGCAGCACATGATCACGTCTTTTGGGCCAGAGTAAGCTGAGAATTTAGTCAGCCTGAGAGTCTCGTAACACAGCCCTTGCCAACAGCAAGTCACGCTACATGAGCGGGCTCTGCTCAGAGGAAACTAGTGAGAGGTGACAGCGTGCTGGCAGCCCTCGCTCCCTCTCGGTGCCTCCTCGGCCTCGGCGCCCACTCTGGCCGAGCTTGAGGAGCTCTTCAGCCCGCCCCTGCACTGTGGGAGCCCCTCTCTGGGCTGGCTGAGGCTGGAGCCAGCTCCCTCTGCTTGCGGGGAGGTGTGGAGGGAGAGGTGCCTGCGGGAACCGGGGCTGCGCGCGGTGCTCGCTGGCCAGTGCGAGTTCCAGGTGGGCGTGGGCTCGGCAGGCCCTGCACTAGGAGTGGCCTGCCGGATGCCGGCCCCGGGCAGTGAGGGGCTTAGCACCCGGGCCAGCAGCTGCAGAGGGGGCGCCAGGTCCCCCAGCACTGCCGGCGGGCCCGTGCCATGCTTGAATTCTCACCCGGTCTCAGCGGCCTCTGCATGGGGAAGAGCTCGGGACCTGCAGCCTGCCATGCCCGAGCTCGCTCCCGCCCTGCAGTGGGTTCCCGCACAACTCAAGCCTCCCCAGCGGGCACGGCCCCCTGCCTGGTCCTATCGATCGCCCAAGGGCTGAGGAGTGCAGGCATGTGGCACAGGACTGGCGGGCAGCTCCGCCTGCGGCCCTGGCGTGGGATCCCCTAGGCAAAGCCAGCTGGGCTCCTGAGTGGGTGGGGACTTGGAGTACTTTTATGTCTAGCTGGAGGATCGTAAATGCACCAATCAGCACCCTGTGTCTAGCTCAAGGTTTGTGAATGCACCGATCAGTGCTCTGTCTAGCTAATCTAGTGGGGACTTGGAGAACCTTTATGTCTAACTAAAGGATTGTAAATACACCAATCAGCACTCTGTGTCTAGGTCAAGGTTTGTAAACACACCAATCAGCACCCTGTGTCTAGCTCAAGGTTTGTAAACGCACCAATCAGTGCTCTGTGTCTAGTTAATCTAGTGGGGACTTGGAGAACTTTTATGTCTAGCTAGAGAATTGTAAATACACCAATCAGCACTCTGTGTCTAGCTCAGGGATTGTAAACACACCAATCAGCACCCTGTCAAAACAGACCAATCAGCTCTCTGTAAAATGGGCCAATCAGCAGGATGTGGGTGGGGTCAGATAAGGGAATAAAAGCAGGCTGTCTGAGCCAGCAGTGACAACCCGCTTGGGTCCCTTTCCACACTGTGGAAGGTTTGTTCTTTCACTCTTTGCAGTAAATTTTGTTGCTGCTCACTCTTTGGGTCCGCATTGCCTTTATGAGCTGTAACACTCATCGCAAAGGTCTGCAGCTTCACTCCTGAGCCAGTGAGACCACGGACCCACTGGGAGGAATGAACAACTCCAGACGCACCACCTTAAGAGCTGTGACACTCACTGCGAAGGTCTGAGGCTTCACTCCTGAAGCCAGCGAGACCACAAACCCACCAGAAGGAAGAAACTCCGAACACGTCCGAACATCAGAAGGAACAAATTCTGGACACACCATCTTTAAGAACTGTAACACTCACGGCAAGGGTCTGTGGCTTCATTCTTGAAGTCAGTGAGACCAAGAACCCACCAATTCCGGACACACTAGGATGACCTAGGTCCTGGAGGACCTCAGATGTACTCAACAAAACCCTTCTGCTAGGAGGAAAAGAACCTACCCTAAATTGAAAAAAAAAGGCAGCTTCTGGTAGTAGAATCTAAATTGATCAGATCAGGGCACCGGGTATAAAAAGAAAGACAATACAAAGGAGAAAGATCTCATAGCTGTGGAGGTGAAGACAGAGAATGGCCACTTTTGGGAAAACTTTGAAATAACAATAGAGAAGGGAGTTTTCAAGCCAGAAAGCTACCTGGGCCTATCTCCTACTCTCTGTGTGACAATACTGTCCTCAAATTACAGGAAAAAAACTGTCCCATATAAGTATAAACATTATTCCAGGCGTGGTGGCTCAAGCCTGTAATCCCAGCACTTTGGGAGGCCGAGGTAGGCGGATCACCTGAAGTCAGGAGTTTGAGACCACCCTGGCCAAAAGGGCAAAATCTCATCTCTACTAAAAAAACCACAAAAATTAGCCAGGCGTGGTGGTGCACGCCTGTAATCCCAGCTACTACAGAGGCTGAGGCAGGAGAATCGCTTGAACCCAGGAGACAGAGGTTGCAGTGAGCCAAGATCACGCCACTGCACTCCAGCCCGGGCAACAGAGTAAGACTCTGTCTCAAAAAAAAAGAAAAAGAAAAACTAAAAAAAAATATTAATTGTGCTAACAGATAAAAATGCAAGGGAAAGGCAAGAAAAATATGTCCACAAAGCAAATGAAAAATGTGTCCTAATATAAAATGAACCCAAAGTAATTCCAAAAACTTCAGGAACTACAGAAACATATCATAAATACATTAAAAATTAGATAGCTGAACAATAGAAACGTGACAAAAGAGCTCAGAAAAAAATTAGAAAATAATATTTTATAAATGAAGACTAAGCTAGAAGTTACATGAGAGCAATAGGCATTACAGAAAGTATAGCAAGGACATTGAGATTAGAAAGGAGGAAACAAAAATCAAACGGGACATTTTTTGGTTGTTGTTTCTTGCTTGTTTCTGAGACACGGTCTCCCTCTGTCGCCCAGGCTGGTGTGCAGTAGCGCTATCATGGCTCACTGCAGCCTCAATCTCCCCGCCTCAAGCAATCCCCCTGCCTCAGCCTTCTGAGTAGCTGGGACTACAGGTGCTCGCCACCACACCCAGCTAATCTTTTTATTTTTTATAGAGAGGGGTCTCACCATGTTGCCCAGACTGATCTCAAACTCCTAAGCTCAAGCGATTCTCTCACCTCGGCCTCCCAAAGTGCTGGGATTACAGGCATGAGCCACCACACCCAGTCCAAACGGAAAATTTTTAAAAATATTTTTTAAAAGATAGATATAGAAGATTGGCAAAGGAAATCTATGACAATATGACATAGGAGTTTCTTAAAAAGGAAATCAAATAAATAGATCAGAACAAATAATAGTGTAAGTAATCTTTTGACAAATAAAAAGATACTTGAGCTGGGCGTGGTGGCTCATGCCTGTAACCCCAGCACTTTGGGATTCTGAGGCGAGGAGCACTTGGGCCAAGGAGTTCTAGACCAGCCTGGGCAGCATAATGAGAACCCATCTCTATCAAATAAAAAAAAAATTAAAAGGTAGCCAAGCATAGTGGCACATGTCCATAGTCCCAGCTACTCAGGAGGCTGAGGTGGGACGACGGCTTCAGCCCAGGAGATCAAGGCTGCAGTGAGCCGAGATCAAACTATTGCATTTCAGCCTGGGCGACAGAGTGAGATCCTGTCTCAAAAAAAAAAAGAAAAATACTCGAATCTACAATTAAGAGGATATACTATGTACCTAGGAAAATCACTCAGAGATGTATTCAGAGATACATTTCACACTGAGATATTCTTGTTAAACTACCGGGAATTAGAGAGAAAGAAAAAATTATCTGAGTATCTAAACAAAAACCAAATGAGAACTACAACGGAAAAAAGATAAAATTTGTATCCGATTTATTAATAACACTTCATAATGGAAGACAATGGAACAACACATTTACAATACTCAAGGAAAGAAAATGTGAGCCAAGGATTTTATATCCAGTCAAACTCATCAACAATAAAGATCACCGCTATAAACATGCAAGACTGGCCGGGCGCGGTGGCTCAAGCCTGTAATCCCAGAACTTTGGGAGGCCGAAGCGGGCGGATTACCTGAGGTCAGGAGTTCTAGACCAGCCTGGCCAACATGGTGAAACCCTGTCCCTAAGAAAAATACAAAAATTAGCCAGGCATGATGGTGGCAGACTCCTGTAGTCCCAGCTACTCAGGAGGCTGAGGCAGGACAATTGGTTGAACTCTGGGGGCAGAGGTTGCAGTGAGCTGAGATGGTGCCACTGCACTCCAGCCTGGGTGACAGAGCGAGACTCTGTCCCAAAAAATAAATAAAAATAAATAAATAAACAAACAAAGAAACATGCAAGACCTCAGATAATATTGTTCCCACATGCCTTTCCAAGAAATCTATGAAAATGAGCTCCAAACAACCATTCAAAATAATCATAAGAAGCTTCAGCACAAAGTCTTTGATGAGCTTATTTATCCGTAGAACTAAGAAAAAATAATGAGAATAAAAATGGAAGAAGGGTAGGCCCTGCATGGTGGCTCACGCACGTAATCCCGGTACTTTAGGAGGGCAAGGCAGGAGGATTACTTGAGTCCAGGAGTTCAAGATCAGCCTGGGCAATATAGTGACATCTTGTCTCTACCAAAATTTTCTCTTTTAAATTAGCCGAGTGTGGTGGCACATGCCTGTAATCCAATTTACTCGGGAGGCTGAGGTAGGAGGGTAGCTTGAACCCAGGAGGCAGAAATTGCAGTGAACCATGATCACACCACTGCACTCCAGCCTGGGTGACAAAGCAAGACCCTGTCTCAAAAAAAAAAAAAAGAAAAAAAAAAAGGAAGAAGGTATTTCAATATTATATACTCTGAAAATATGGATATAATAGAACTAATAAAAAACTGAGTTTGGGATGAACGAAGTACTTGGAAAGTAGAATAAGCTCAGTAAGTAACTCGCCGATATTAACTGTGAGTAAAAGGCTATCACTTTAATTTTGGAAGCAGGATGAGAAAGAGTAGAGGAAAGAGTGGGTATTAGTTAATTTCATTATTACCCATAGTTGGGAGCAAATAGACAGTGTATTAAAAAAGGGACTCAAAGCTCTTATACAAATATGTGAATACCAAGATAACAATTAGAACAAAAATACAAACCTTCCTAAATATTAAGACATATCAAAAATTTTATATCTACATTGTAAAAAAAAATATTGAGAGAGATATATGACATAGCTATCATAAAGTAGTGTAATAGAACTGAGACCTTTTGTATAAGAAAAGAGAAATAAATATAATTAGACATTTTCCTAAATTTGCAAAACAAAAATAAAAACAAAGGACGCAAAAACCAAAAACCAATAAAAATGGTTCCCTGTAGGAGTGGAGGTTAGAACACTACAGAGAGCTGGGAGGCAAGCAAGGCTTCAGTGAAACTTACCAAGTGGTGTCATTTAGAAACTTCAGGAACATTACATGGTTCACATGGTTAAAAAAATAAAATTAAATCACCAATTAAAAACAAAGCAAAACCAAAAATGGAAAACAAACTGAAATATAGCTGCCGTACATATAAAGCTGGTGGCACAAGCAGACAGAGAAAGGAATTATTTAAGTGAAACCATTAAGTGAATTAATAAGGTGAAGTAACAAATTAAGTGGAATTATCAAGTGAAACAGAATTTTACTGTGTATCCTTAGAGATGTATAATCTCAGGACACAGAGCCCCATAGAAATCTGAAATGCAGTTAATTGCATTTTAGTAATAATAGTATTTTTATTTTAAAACTATTTTAGGTATTTGTAGAATAAAGCCAATAAGTAATTGTGTTATTGTCATTAGGAACTACAATTGTCAATGATATAAGAAAAGAGATTAATTTAATTATTCAATTTAATTTTTTTTTTTTTTGAGATGAAGTCCAGCTCTGTCTCCCAGGCTGGAGTGCAGTGGCACAATCTCAGCTCACTGCAACCTCGCCTGTCGGGTTCAAGTGAGTCTCCTGCCTCAGCCTCCTGAGTAGCTGGGATTACAAGCGCGTGACATGACGCCCAGCTAAGTTTTGTATTTTTAGTAGAGACGGGGTTTCACTGTGTTGGTCAGGATGGTCTCGAACTCCTGACCTCAGGTGATGTGCCCACCTTGGCCTCCCAAAGTGCTGGGATTATAGGCGTGAGCCACCGTGCCTGGCCAATAAATTTAATTTTTTAGAAGTAAAAACTCTGTAATCTTAAATCTGAATTGGAAATATCAGTATGAACTTTTACTAAAGTAAAAGGCATTTCTGAAAATTCCTTTGGAATTTCACATAAAATATATAACAGACTTAAAAGCTATGAGACTTTTAGAAAAAAAACATAGAAAATCTTTGGGCTCTAGAGCTAGTCGAAGAGTTCTTAGGCTCAACCCTAAAAATAAATCCATAAAAGGAAAAAACGATAAATTGGACCACATCAAAATTAAAATCTTTTGCTCTATTCTCCTCAAAGAGGATGAAAAGACAGGCTACAGACTGAGAAGAAAAAAAAATATGCAAAAAACATGTCAGACAAAGAACTGGTATCTAGAATATATAAAGAACTCTCAAAATTCAACAGTGTCGAAATCCCGGTTAGAAAATGGAACAACTATGTTTTCACTGAAAAGGATATACAGATGGCAAATAAGCATACGAAAAGATGTTCAACACCACTAGCTGTCAAGGGAATGCAAATTACAACCATAGTGAGCTACAGGTATCATTACACACCTATCCAAATGGCTAAAATAAAAAACAGTCACAATGCCAAATGGTAGCAAGGATGCAGAGACACTGAATCGCTCATGTATTATGGGTGGAAATGTAAAATGGTACAGCCACTCTGGAAAACAATTTAGCAGTTTATTGTAAACTGAAGCATATTATTACCATAAGACCCAGTAATTGCACTCTTAGAAATTTATTTCAGAGAAATGAAAACTATGTTCACAAAAACCTGTAAACAAATATTTATTGCAGTTCTGTTCATAGTATTTAAAAACTAGAAACAACCTACATGTCCTTCGATTTGTGAGTGGATAGGTAAGTTGTGGTCCATCCATCATGCAATAGTAATCAACAATAAAAAGGAACGGGTTAGGCCAGGCGCGGTGTGGTCCATCCATCTTGCAATAATAATCAACAATAAAAAGGAACAGGTTAGGCCAGGCGCGGTGGCTCATGCCTGTAATCCCAGCACTTTGGGAGGCTGAGGTGGGCAGATCACTTGAGGTCCAGAGTTCAAGACCAGCCTGGCCAACATGGCAAAACCCCGACCCTACTAAAAAAAAAATTACAAAAATTAGCCAGGCAGCATGGCGCACACCTGTAATCCCAGCTACTCTGGAGGCTGAGGCGGGAGAATCGCTTGAACCTAAGAGGCAGAAGTTTCGTGAGCCGAGATCTCACCACTGCACCCCAGCCTGGGCAACAGAGGGATATTCCTTCCCACCCACCTCCAAAAAAAAAACAAAAAAAAATGGATCGGGTTAATCTCTGAGGAATTATGCTGAGTGAAAAATGCTGATCCCCAAAGTTATATATTGTAGTATCCTATTTATATAACATTCTTGAAATGATGAAATGAAAGAAATGGAGAGCAGATTAGTTGTTGCCAGAGATGAGGAACTGTGTGAGGTGGCGGGGGCGGGCGGGGGGGGTGGGGAGCAATGGTTAACAACACATAGAATCCTCATAGAGATGGATCTTTTCTGTATCTTCTTTTTCTGTTTTTTTCTTAGAAAAAAATAGGTCTCACTACGTTGCAGGCTGCTCTCAAAAACTTCTGGCCACAAGCAATCTTCCCACCTTGGTCTCCCAAAGTGCTGGGATTATAGGTATGAGCCACCGTGCTGGCCTATTCTGTATCTTCACTATGGTGGTGGATATATCAACCTACATAGGTGATAAAATTGCCTAGAATTAAATACACACACACACACACACACACACACAAGTGGGGAAATCTGATTAAGACTGGTGGATTGTATCAATGTCAGTATTCTCTTGTGATCTTGTACTTTAGTTTTGCAAGGTACAAAAGATCTCCTTGTAATATTTCTTACAAATGAATGTGAATCTATAATTATCTCAACATAAAAAGTTTAATTTAGTTTTTAAAAAATGCAGTGCTCTGGGCTAACCAATGTTCTTAAATCAATATGCAACATAAGGGAAATTTCACCGATGACAACGATGACAATGGTGGAGGTGGCAGTGCTGATGATGCTGTCATTTGCTGAGCTGTCGCTGTGGGCTCCAAGATAGCTGAGACCTTGTCTGTGTCATTCACTACTATAACCCAAACACTACAGCCTCCTGAACCGTTGTTTGTTAGACAGCACTAAGCAAATAATTGTTGAATAAATAAATGAACAATTCTGCAAGATTTTTATTTTTTATTATTATTGCCTATTATCATGTTTCGGATGAGAAAACTGGAACTCAAAAAGTTTAAGTAGGCTGGGCGTGGTGGCTCACGCTTGTAATCCCTGCACTTTGGGAGGCCCAGGTGGGCAGATCACCTGAGGTCAGGAGTTAGAAACCAGCCTGGCCAACATGGTAAAACCCTGTCTCTACTAAAAATACAAAAATTAGCTGGGCGAGGTGGTGCATGCCTGTCATCCCAGCTACTCAGGAGGCTGAGGCAGGAGGATCGCTTGAACCTGGTGGGCGGAGATTGCAGTGAGCCAAGATTGTGCCACTGCACTCCAGCCTGAGCAACAGAACGGGACTCTGTCTCAAAAAAAAAAAAAAAAAAAAAGTTTCAGTAATACCCCAACGTCAAACAACTTACAAGCAGAGAAGCCAAGATTGACTCATCACCATCTGTGCTATTAATAACTAATCACAGTCTCCCAAAATGCTACCATAGCTTCCAATAAACCAAAACGAATATTCTTTATTTTAGCAATAATCACTTTAACTGCCTAATATCTCTCAACTGAACCTCCGGATGGTTCTTTAGTTCTTATTTATAGAACGGCATCACCAGCCCTCCTCCCACGCCCTATTGTTCTCTGAGCGTCATTGTGAGAGTATTATTAGTGCTTCGTGTGTGCAGAAAAGCTATCAATGACTAAGGCATTTTTAAAGCATGTTAGCCACTTTGGCAATGTCCATTAATTTCTGAGAATACACTTAGGAATCTCACCCTACGGGTTTGAATTACTCCAATTTAAGTTGACCATGTAAACTGCAAATAAGATCCGGCATGGTGGCTCATGCCTGTAATCCAAGCACTTTGGGAGACCAAGGTGGGAGGATAGCTTGAGCCCAGGAATTTGAGACCAGCCTGGGCAACAGAGTGAGACAAGAATAAAAACTAAGAAAAGTAGCCAGGTGTATTGACACTTGCCTGTAGTCCCAGCTACTCGGGAGGCTGAGGCAGGAAGATCACTTGAGTGCAGGAGTTCGAGGCTGCAGTGAGCTATGATTGCACCATTGCACTTTAGCCTAGGTAACAGCATGAGATCCTGTCTCTAAAAAATACAAATTAAAAATCTGCAAATGAGTCTAGTGTCAGGCATGAGAGACAGTTTAAAAATAATAGGTCTGGCTCTCCCTCTCCCTCTCCCTCCACGGTCTCCCTCTCCCTCCACGGTCTCCCTCTGATGCCGAGCCAAAGCTGGACGGTACTGCTGCCATCTCGGCTCACTGCAACCTCCCTGCCTGATTCTCCTGCCTCAGCCTGCCGAGTGCCTGCGATTGCAGGCGCGCGCCGCCACGCCTGACTGGTTTTCGTTTTTTTTTGGTGGAGACGGGGTTTCGCTGTGTTGGCCGGGCTGGTCTCCAGCTCCTAACCGCGAGTGATCCGCCAGCCTCGGCCTCCCGAGGTGCCGGGATTGCAGATGGAGTCTCGTTCACTCAGTGCTCAATGGTGCCCAGGCTGGAGTGCAGTGGCGTGATCTCAGCTCACTACAACCTACACCTCCCAGCCGCCTGCCTTGGCCTCCCAAAGAGCCGAGATTGCAGCCTCTGCCCGGCCGCCACCCCGTCTGGGAAGTGAGGAGCGTCTCTGCCTGGCCGCCCATCGTCTGGGATATGAGGAGCCCCTCTGCCTGGCTGCCCAGTCTGGAAAGTGAGGAGCGTCTCTGCCCGGCCGCCATCCCATCTAGGAAGCGAGGAGCACCTCTTCCCCGCCGCCATCCCATCTAGGAAGTGAGGAGCGTCTCTGCCCGGCCGCCCATCGTCTGAGATGTGGGGAGCACCTCTGCCCCACCGCCCTGTCTGGGATGTGAGGAGCGCCTCTGCTGGGCCGCAACCCTGTCTGGGAGGTGAGGAGCGTCTCTGCCCGGCCGCTCCGTCTGAGAAGTGAGGAAACCCTCTGCCTGGCAACCGCCCCGTCTGAGAAGTGAGGAGCCCCTCCGTCCGGCAACCACCCCGTCTGGGAAGTGAGGAGCGTCTCCGCCCGGCAGCCACCCCGTCCGGGAGGGAGGTGGGGGGGTCAGCCCCCCGCCCGGCTGGCCGCCCCGTCCGGGAGGTGAGGGGCGCCTCTGCCCGGCCTCCCCTACTGGGAAGTGAGGACCCCTCTGCCCGGCCAGCCGCCCCGTCCGGGAGGGAGGTGGGGGGATCAGCCCCCCGCCTGGCCAGCCGCCCCGTCCGGGAGGTGAGGGGCGCCTCTGCCCGGCCGCCCCTACTGGAAAGTGAGGAGCCCCTCTGCCCGGCCAGCCGCCCCGTCCGGGAGGGAGGCGGGGGGGGGGTCGGCCAGCCGCCCCGTCCGGGAGGGAGGTGGGGGGGTCAGCCCTCCTTCCGGCCGGCCGCCCCTTCCGGGAGGTGAGGGGCGCCTCTGCCCGGCCGCCCCTACTGGGAAGTGAGGACCCCTCTGCCCGGCCAGCCGCCCCGTCCGGGAGGGAGGTGGGGGGGACAGCCCCCCGCCTGGCCAGCCGCCCCATCCGGGAGGGGGGAGGGGGGGTCAGCCCCCCGCCCGGCCAGCCGCCCCGTCCGGGAGGTGAGGGGCGCCTCTGCCCGGCCGCCCCTACTGGGAAGTGAGGACCCCTCTGCCCGGCCAGCCGCCCCGTCCGGGAGGGAGGTGGGGGGGTCAGCCCCCCGCCCAGCCAGCCGCCCAGTCTGGGAGGGAGGTGGGGGGTCAGCCCCCCGCCCGGCCAGCCGCCCCGTCCGGGAGGGAGGTGGGGGGATCAGCCCCCCATCTGGCCAGCCGCCCCGTCCGGGAGGTGAGGGGCGCCTCTGCCCGGCCGCCCCTACTGGGAAGTGAGGAGCCCCTCTGCCCGGCCAGCCGCCCCGCCCGGGAGGGAGGTGGGGGGGTCAGCCCCCGCCCGGCCAGCCGCCCTGTCCGGGAAGGGGGAGGGGGGGTCAGCCCCCCGCCCAGCCAGCCGCCCCGTCCGGGAGGTGAGGGGCGCCTCTGCCTGGCCGCCCCTACTGGAAAGTGAGGAGCTCCTCTGCCCGGCCAGCCGCCCCGTCCGGGAGGGAGGCGGGGGGGGCGTCGGCCAGCCGCCCTGTCCGGGAGGGGGGTGGGGGGGTCGCACCCTTTCCGGCCGGCCGCCCCGGGCCGGGGGGAGGGGGGGGGGTCAGCCCCCCCGCCGGCCCACCCGCCCAGTCCCGGAGCGAGCGGGGGGCTCAGCCCCCCACCCGGCCAGCCGCCCCGTCCGGGAGGGAGGTGGGGGGATCAGCCCCCCGCCTGGCCAGCCACCCCGTCCGGGAGGTGAGGGGCGCCTCTGCCCGGCCGCCCTTATTGGAAAGTGAGGAGCCCCTCTGCCCGGCCAGCCGCCCCGTCCGGGAGGGAGGTGGGGGGGTCAGCCCCCCTTCCGGCCGGCCGCCCCGTCCGGGAGGTGAGGGGCGCCTCTGCCCGGCCGCCCCTACTGGGAAGTGAGGACCCCTCTGCCCAGCCAGCCGCCCCATCCGGGAGGGAGGTGGGGGGGACAGCCCCCCGCCCGGCCAGCCGCCCTATCCAGGAGGTGAGGGGCGCCTCTGCCCGGCCGCCCCTACTGGGAAGTGAGGAGCCGCTCTGCCTGGCCAGCTGCCCCGTCCGGGAGGGTGGTGGGGGGTCAGCCCCCGCCCGGCCAGCCGCCCCATCCGGGAGGTGAGGGGCGCTTCTGCCCGGCCGCCCCTACTGGGAAGTGAGGAGCCCCTCTGCCCGGCCACGACCCCGTCTGGGAGGTGTGCCCAGCGGCTCATTGGGGATGGGCCATGATGACAATGGCGGTTTTGTGGAATAGAAAGGCGGGAAGGGTGGGGAAAAAATTGAGAAATCGGATGGTTGCCGGGTCTGTGTGGATAGAAGTAGACATGGGAGACTTTTCATTTTGTTCTGTACTAAGAAAAATTCTTCTGCCTTGGGATCCTGTTGATCTCTGACCTTACCCCCAACCCTGTGCTCTCTGAAACATGTGCTGTGTCCACTCAGGGTTGAATGGATTAAGGGTGGTGCAAGATGTGCTTTGTTAAACAGATGCTTGAAGGCAGCATGCTCCTTAAGAGTCATCACCACTCCCTAATCTCAAGTACCCAGGGACACAAACACTGCGGAAGGCCCCAGCGTCCTCTGCCTAGGAAAACCAGAGACCTTTGTTCACTTGTTTATCTGCTGACCTTCCCTCCACTATTGTCCTATGACCCTGCCAAATCCCCCTCTGCGAGAAACACCCAAGAATGATCAATAAAAAATAAAATAAAATAAAATAAATAAAATAAAATAAAATAAAATAAAAAAATCCAATTGCTGGATAAAAAAAATAATAATAATAGGTCTGGCTGTTTTGGGGACAACTACTTATAAAATGAACACTCTTGATGCAAAGAATAAAAACTGGAAGAAAATTCTCCAAAAAGTTCAAGGTCTTCATCATTCAGTAATGGCTGGTGAATTATTTTCATTTTCTTATTTATATTTTTCTGCCTTTTCCAAATTTTCTACTATAAATATATATTCCTTCTATAAATAACATAGTAAAAATAAGAAGATGAATGGCCTAGGTCAAAAATTTTGCAAACACTGTTTTAAATTGCAAAAAGAATTCAGGGCCCGGAGTGGTGGCTCACGCCTGTAATCCCAGCACTTTGGGAGGCCTTGGCGGGCGAATCACTTGAGTTTAGGAATTCAAGACCAGCCTGGCCAACACGGTGAAACCCCATCTCTTCAAAAAATACAAAAATTATCTGGGCGTGGTGCTGTGTGCCTATAATCCCACCTACTCGGGAGGCTGAGGCAGGAGAATCGCTTGAACATGGGAGGTGGTGGTTGCAGAGAGCCAAGATTGTGTCATGTACTCCAGCCTGGGCGACAGAGTGAGACTCCGTCAAAAGAAAAGAGAAAGAAAGGAAAAGAAAAAAAACGGAAAAGAAAGGAAAGGAAAAAAGAAAAAAGAAGGAGGAGGAAATAAGGAGGGAGGGAGGGAGGAAAGAAGGAAGGAAGGAGACAGAGAAGGACATTCAAGATCAAGATATTCTGGAATAAACTTATCTTAGCCCAGGTTCTCTGGAAACCAGAACCAAGGACAAGGCATTTGTGCTTATGCTTTACTAGGGAGAGTAATCCCAAAAAGTATCAGTGAAGGAAGGAGGGAAGGAGGAAGGAGAAAAGAGGAAAGAAAAAAGGGGGAAGGGGGAAAAGAGGAAGCAGAAAAGGAAGAAAGGGGAAGGAGGAAGCAGGGAAGGAAGGAAGGAGCAAGGAGGGAAGGAGGGAGAGCAAACACAAGTGCATTGCTGAGCTCCTCACAAAACCGTGATTTTTCTGCCTTACAGGATGTCTCCGGAGAGGCTGACTAAACTATAAACAGTATCATAAAACAGTCCACGAAGGAAGGCAGACTTCATCCACTGACTCTTGTCTGCCATTGACTGAAGTTTGTCTCACAGGACACCAACTCCTCGTCCCCTTATCTGGGCGGTCTCTGCAGGCAGCCACCAGGAGACCGGATCCCAAGCAGTGGTGGCAGCCTCCCTTGCCCACCTGCAGCCTGCAACTTCCAGGGCCTGGTGAGGTGAGCAGGAGGGCAAATGTGGGCTCCGAGAGGTCATGGGAGCCGAGGAGTGTCCCACAGGAGGGCAGAGAGAGGCAGGCAGCGGGCTGCTATCCGATGGTGAACTCCCTGGGCACCCCGGCAACCAGAAGCCAAGTGTGCAGGTGCAGCTCCACGTGCCACTCCGGGCATCATGAGGTGCAGATGCAGCTCAACAGGCCTCCCTCCCAAGAAGACAGAAACGCCATCTCTGGACATGTGGGTTGTTAGGGGTCATGGACAGTCCAGCCGCTCCTGCAGTCCTGCTCGGATGGGCACTCAGTACATGTGGTCAATGAGGGTGGCTTTTCGGGGCTTCAGGGGAGAGTCTGAAGCCCAAGGCTCTGTGCATCTCCGACGGGTGCGCAATCACTTCCCGGCACCTTGTTTTCAATGAGAAAATAAAGTTCATCCTGTTGTTTGCTGCAGAGAAAATAAGAGCAAATCTTGCAGGTAGATTTCACTGAGAGGCAGAAATTACGTGTGGCCTGTCGGGATGCGCGGGGCTGCACAGGTTCACCGGTGCAGCCTCTGATCACCCAGGGCCTCTGTGCAGCGAGCAGCAGTCACAGAGACTTGGGGCAGATGGAGCCCTGCTGCATGGCAGCCCCCACTGCTTACAGTTCCTTATGTCAGCTCAGAAGACCAGGACTCAAGCGCAGGGAATACAATTTTCTCACAAATAGGAGTTCTGGACACACAAACAAAACAGAAGGCGAGGGAGACTCAGTCACATCTGTCAGGGCCATCGTTCAGCGTGTGCTACAACTGTCCTGGTTACAGGGCTCGGGCAGGTGACTCAATTCCCATTTTTGTGATTGATGAAATACCATAAGGGGTTTCGGAAGAAGTTTCCAAAAGGCAAAATCTTTTTATTTGCATCATACTTTATTTGAAGAGCCCTCCAAAGACGTCATCTTGTACTGTCTCCAGAAGAAAAGATGTCAGCTGGGGTTTTCCCTGGTGGGAGGACAAAGAAATGTGGCTTGAGAAAAAACAAAAAAACTTCTGCAAAGTGACTTAGGGCTAGAGCACCCACGGTGAATGAACGACATGGGCCATCAGCCTGCAGTGTCTGATAGAACTCTCATTGTTACACTTTGACAGAAATTGTCCGTATCCTTAGGCACGTTATGTAGGCCACGGTACATCTCCAACTTACCTGGAACTAGCCATGAGAATAAAGGGTGCACTCAGAATCACTGTGCTTCGGTTTCCGCTTTCTCTTTTCTTTTCTCTTTTCTTTTTTTTTGTTGTTGAGACGGAGTCTCGCTCTGTTGCCCAGGCTGGAGTGCAGTGGTGTGATCTCAGCTCACTGCAACCTCTGCCTCCCAGGTTCAAGTGATTCTCCTGCCTCAGCCTCCCGAGTAGCTGCGACTACAGGCGTGCACCACCACGCCCAGCTAATTTTTGTATTTTTAGTAGAGACGGAGTTTCACCATGTTGGCCAGGATGGTCTCGATCTCTTGACCTCATCATCTGCCCACCTCGGCCTCCCAAAGTGCTGGGATTAAAGGCATGAGCCAATTTCTGCTTTCAAAAGCACCAGGACTTTGCTGTCGTGGGACTTGGAAGCTTCCAGGTATTAGGGCATTAGATATGATTACGGCCAGTGCTTTTACGGGCATTCATATGGGCCCATTATTTATTTATTTATTGAAACAGGGTCTCATTCTGTCGCCCAGGCTAGAGTGCAGCGGCATGATCTCAGCTCACTGCAACATCCGCCCCCCCCGGGTTCAAGCAATTCTGCCTCAGCCTCCCCAGTACCTGGGATTACAGGCATGTGCCATGACGCCTGGCTAATTTTTGTATTTTTAGAAGGCATGGGGTTTCACTATGCTGGTCAGGCTGGTCTTGAATTCCTGACCTCAGGTGGTCCACCCCTCTTGGCCTCCCAAAGTGCTGGGATTACAGGCGTGAGCTACCGTGCCCGGTCTGGGCCTCTGTGGTTTGATTCTGAGCAAATGACAAACGGACATGGGGTGGGGTGAGGGAGGAGTTCTCAAATGTAAATGTAAATTTGGAAAATGAAGAAGGCAGGCTAGGTGCAGTGGCTCATGCCTGTAATCCCAGCACCTTGGGAGGCTGAAGCGAGGCAACTGCCTGAGGCCAGGAGTTTGAGACCAGCCTGGGGAACATAGCAAGACCCTGAAATAAATAAATTGATAAATAAATAAAAAGTAATGAGAAAGGACAAGAAATAGGAAAGAAAAAAAAGAGGAATCCGAAACTGAGGAATAAATCATTTCTAAAGAGTAGGCCCAAATTTACCTATATGTGCAACAAATATTCTTTTTTTCTAATGCACCATGGATGGTTCTGGGGGAGCTGGAGACAAGGCGGTGAATACAACATGTCTGTTTGGCACTTGCAGTCTAATGGTTCTGCTGGAAGGCCCATTTAGGAAGTTGTGGCAAGACTGAAGCTATCCCCTCCGGTTTAGTTAAGACTCTGAAACTCTTTAGGTCACTTGGCGGCATCCCCTAAGCCAGCGGCCTAAGTCCAGATCTGTCTCCTGCAATCTAAAGGCTGAGACACCTCAGAGTGTCTGCTATGAGAACCCCTCCTGGCTACATTAGACTGGAAATGTGGACAGAACCGACTCAGTGAACATGCCAAGCCACAGATCAGTCACTGACATCCTCAGGAACCTTCTAGATTAGAGAAAAGCATCATGGCTATAATTCCAGCCGTAGCTCATCTGCTTCTTCCTGGAGTAGCCATCAGACAAGAGCAGATCTTCATCTTATGCACAGTAGAAGCTTGCCAGGAATCCACCTCGGGTGCCTTCAGTGTCATATTGGTATCACTAGATGTGCCTTCGACAGAGAAAAAGGGTGTATACAAGAATTTTTGCAAAAATATCTAGAAATCATATCCAGGTATCAGTGTGTGTAGCAAAGAGTGGATGTCTGATATACTACCTTCTAGCCCCAAAACATTTTCAAAAGAATGGTGCTGGAATGAGATACCTAGACATATACTCAAATGCATTGATGCCTCCAAGACAACCAAAAATCACATGTGAAACCTGCATCTCAGCATGGCCACGAGGTGCCGAAAGACTGAAGAGAAGGGTAGTGGATTAAGCATGACATTGTAATTTGGGAGAATTGGGCTCTTACCTGGCTCTCCTGCTGACTAGCTGTGTGACCTTGGGCAAGTCACTCTAGTTCTCTCCAGCATCTGAGCACCTCTCATCAGTTCCACTGCCACTCCTCTCTCCAGGGCCCTGGGATCACCGCAATGTCTCCTCTACCTTTGTACCCTGACAGTCCAGGATCAACACAGCAGCCAGAGTGATCCTGTGAAAGCTAAGTCAGAGCTCGTCACTCCTTTGCTCTAACCTCCCAGTGGTTCCCTATTCAGAGAAAAAGCCAAGTCTGTGCAATGAATGGCCTGGAAGGTCTGGCAAGATCCGACACCTCTGTGATCTCATCGCCTTGCTCACTCTGCTCCCCACACTGCTCTGGAAATTCCCGTTGGGCATGCCCCTCCTTCGGGACATTGAAACTAACTCTTCTCTGTGCCTAAAGCCTGCTTTCTCCAACCACCTCAAAGCTAATGTCCTCTTCAAGTTTTTGCTTAAACGCTACTTTTTTGGCGAGTCCTGCTCTGACCTCCTATTTAACAATGTAACCCCCACTCACCCTGCTCTCCTTCTTTTTTGCCGGGGGTTGGGTGGGGAAAAACAGGGTCTCACTCTGTCACACGGGCTGGAATCCAGTGGCGCAATCATGGCTTGTTACAGCCTCATCCACCCAGGCAGCAGTGATCCTCCCATCTGAGTCTCCCGAGTAGCTGGGAGTACAGGCATGTGCCACCACACCCACCTCTAATTTTTGCATTTTTTTGTACAAATGGTGTCTTGCTATGTTGCCCAGGCTGGTCTTCAACGCCTAGGCTCTATCAGTCTACCCACCTCAGCCTTCCAAAGTGCTAGGATTACAGGTGTGAACTACCATGCTTGGCACCCTGCTGTTATTTCTTTTTTCATAGCATGTATCACCTTCTAAAATACTTTCTAATGTTTATCTATTATATTTGTGGTTTATTATCCATCCTAAAATACCCATGAGGAGGGGAGTCTTGGTGTATTTTGTTCACCAATGTACTTGAACTGGCTTAAGAGAGCACCTGACACATTTTTAGTGTTCAATAAACATCTGTTAAGTGGCTGGGGCAGTGGCTCACACCTGTAATCCAAGCACTTTGGGAGGCCGCGGCGGGCGGATTGCCTGAGCTTAGGAGTTCAAGAAACCCTGTCACTACTAAAATACAAACAAAAACAAAAACAAAAACAAAAAAAAAACCAGGTGTGGCAGCGTGCACCTGCAGCCCCAGCTAATCAGGAGGCTGAGGCAGGAGAATTACTTGAATTTGGGAGGCAGAGGTTACAGTGAGCAGAGATTGTGCCACTGCAGTCCAGCCTGGCAACAGAGCCAGACTCTGCCTCAAAAACAAACAAATATCTGTTAAGTCAAAGAATGAATGAACAGTTCAGAGTACAGTAAGAAAAGTCTCCATCCACATGCAAACAGGATTCCAGATGACATGGTTACAAATGCCCAGCCAGTTTGCCACTCTGTCTTCCCAGGCAGTGGAAAGGCGTATGTGAGCAGATGCCGGACCCGGTCAACTTCCAGGGAAAGCTGCCCCTCTGTAAGTAAGGAACGTTTGTTTCTGGTGCGAGACCCCAACTTCCTCTACCGAGGTTCCAACAGCCTCGGTGGGATTTGTGCTGGGGTCAGAGACCAATGAATGACGGATGGACTGACACTGGGTTGCTGTCAATCACAAGATGTCTGCCAGCCCCTCCCTCTCCTTACACACACAGTTCGGAGGCGTTCACTCCTGCCATCCCCTTCGACTGAACAGAATCCAGCGGAGAGTTGCACAGAAGGCAGAACAAGCTACTATTTGGCAAAATGCTTAGCGTTGGCCAAACGGGGGCTGTGTCCTTAACAGCTGCTGTTAAGGTCCGGGGTCTAGGCCGGGCGCGGTGGCTCATGCCCGTAATCCCAGCACTTTTGAGAGGCCGAGGCAGGTGGATCACTTGAGGTCAAGAATTCCAGACCAGCCTGGCCAACATGGTGAAAACGTCTCTACTAAAGATACAAAAAAATTAGCCAGGCACAATGGCTCACGCCTATAATCCCAGCACTTTGGGAGGCTGATGCAACCAGATCACTTGAGGTCAGAAGTTTGAGACCAGCCTGGCCAACATGGCGAGACCCCATTCTCTACTGAAAATACAAAACAACTAGGTGTGGCGGTGGGCACCTGTAATCCTAGCTACTGGGGAGGTCGAGGTGGGAGAATCGCTTGAACCCAGGAGGCAGAGGTTGCAGTGAGCCGAGATCGCGCCACTGCCTTCCAGCCTGGGTGATGGAGTGAGACTCCATCTCAAAGAAAAAAAAATTCTGTTAAGGTCGGGATCACTCCATATCTCTCTCACAAATAGAGAAAGGGAAGTCAGCAATTCTACAAGAATTGGCTGCTTTTAATTCCATTTTTAGCATTCGGGAAGTATATATTTTTAAAAATTCTGCTTGATCAGTGAATAAATCCTTATTTAACTGCACTAAATAATATGATCATTGACAGAACACCTAAAACCGTATCCTGTAGCTATCCAGGACATAGTTCCCTGAAGATAGCCCGCTACACTTCTGCGTACTCTGGTGGAGAGCTTTCTCTCTGCTGACTGACTCAACAAGGCAGCTGACCTTGGGCCTCCATACTATTTGGATTCTCTCTAGTCACTGTATCCAGTTCAATCACTGAGTTAAACCAGCAAGTGGCTGTTGACTGTAGCATTTCACAGAACTGTTTTTAGTAACAAGACAGCCCAGATTGCACTTTCGAGCAACTAAGTCATCCCCTGGCCATTGATGGCTGCGTCCAACCCCATCTGAGCCCTGCTTTGGGCACTAGAGAGAAAAGAGATACAGGACAAAGAGCTAGTTGAGAGACAGAATGCAGCCTTTAAAAAGGTGCAAGATGAGCTGGGTGCAGTGACTCATGCCCGTAATCCCAGTGTGTCCAGAATTGGTGGGTTCTTGGTCTCGCTGACTTCAAGAATGAAGCCATGGGCCCTTGTGGTGAGTGTTATAGTTCTTAAAGATGGTGTGTTGTAGGGAAAGGAAAGATCAGACTGTTACTGTGTCTATATAGAAAGGAAAGACATAAGAGACTCCATTTTGAAAAAGACCTGTACTTTAAACAATTGCTTTGCTGAGATGTTAATTTGTAGCTTTGCCCCAACCACTTTGCCCCAGCCACTTTGACCCAACCTGGAGCTCACAAAAACATGTGTTGTATGAAATCAAGGTTTAAGGGATCTAGGGCTGTGCAGGACATCCCTTGTTAACAAAATGTTTACAAGCAGTATACTTGGTAAAAGTCATCGCCATTCTCTAGTCTCAATAAACCAGGGGCACAATGCACTGAGGAAAGCCGCAGGGACCTCTGCCCTTGAAAGCAGGGTATTGTCCAAGGTTTCTCCCCTTGTGATAGTCTGAAATATGGCCTCATGGGATGAGAAAGACCTGACCGTCCCCCAGCCCGACACCTGAAAAGGGTCTGTGCTGAGGTGGATTAGTAAAAGGAAAGCCTCTTGCAGTTGAGATAGAAGGCGGCCACTATCCTGCCTGCCTCTGGAACTGCCCAGGTCTCCTGCCTGCCCCTGGGAACTGAATGTCTCGGTATAAAACCCGATAGTACATTTGTTCAATTCTGAGATCAGAGAAAAACCGCCCTATGGTGGGAGGCGAGACATGCTTGCAGCAGTGCTGCCTTGTTATTCTTTACTCCACTGAGATGTTTGGGTGGAGAGAAACATAAATCTGGCTTACGTGCACGTCCAGTCATAGTACCTTCCCTCGAACTTAATTATGACACAGATTCTATTGCTCACGTTTGTTGCTGACCTTCTCATTATCACCCTGCCCTCCTACTACATTCCTTTTTACTGAAATAATGAAGATAGTAATCAATAGAAACTGAGGGAACTCAGAGACCAGTGCTGGTGCTGGTGCTCTGGGCCCACTGTTGTTTCCTCTATACTTTGTGTCATTTCTTTTCTCACTCTCTCGTCCCACCCAACTAGAAATATCCACAGGTGTGGAGGGACAGGCCACCCCTTCGGTGTGTCTGGAGTTTCTTCCTTCTGGTGGGTTCGTGGTCTCCCTGACTTAAGGAGTGAAACTGCTTACCTTCACAGTGAGTGTTACGGCTCCTAAGGGCAGCGCGTCTGGAGTTGTTCATTCCTTCTAATGGGTTCATGGTCGTGCTGGCCTCAGGAGCGAAGCTGCAGACCTTCGTGGTGTTACAGTTCATAAACGTGGCGCGTCCGGAGTTGTTCATCCCTCCCAGCAGGTTGGTGAGTTCATGGTCTCGCTGACCTCAGGAGTGAAGCTGCAGACCTTTGCAGTGCGTGTTACAGCTCATAAACACAGTGTGGACCCAAAAACTGAGCAACACCAACATTTACTGGAAACAGCAAAACAACAACCCTTCCACAACATCGCAGGGAACCCAAGTGGGTTGCCACAGGTGGCTCGCATGGCCTGCTTTTTATCCCCTTATTTGGCCCCACCCACATCCTGCTGATTGGTCCATTTTACAGCAAGCTGATTGGTCCATTTTACAGAGTGCTGATTGGTCCATTTTACAGAGTGCTGATTGGTCCATTTTTGACAGAGTGCTGATTGGTGCATTTACAAACCTTTAGCTAGACACAGAGTGCTGATTGGTGCGTTTACAATCCTTTAGCTAGACAAATAAGTTCTCCAAGTCCCCACCCATCCCAGAAGCCCAGCCGGCTTCACCTCTCACCAGCACTTTGGGAGGCCACGGAGGGCAGATCACCTGTGGTCAGGAGTTCGAGACCAGCCTGACCAACATGATGAAACCCCACCTCTACTAAAAATACAAAAATTAGCTGGGCAGGGTGGCGGACGCCTGCAATCCTAGCTACTTAGGAAGCTGAAGCAGGAAAATTGTTTGAACCTGGGAGGTGGAAGTTGCAGTGAGCTGAGATAGTGCCACTGCACTCCAGCCTGGTGACAGAGTAAGACTCCATCTCAAATAAATAAAATTTAAAAATGTAAAGGTATGAGATGGGCATCCACACAGGAAATGCCAGAAGAGTCCATAGGACAAGAAGGACCCCTGAAGGCTGTGGAGGGAGGTGGAGTTTCAGCTGAGCCCTACCAGGCTCCTGTGGCAGTGATAATGCTGTGTTTACCATACAGTCCCCTTCCTGGGCACCCTGCCTTCTCTGCAGTCAATTCTGGCCACTAGAATAGGGGTGGACTTTTAGATGGGAAATAATAAAGTCTCAAAAATGTATCTTTGTGTCTTCTCCCGGTTGATCTCCCTCCATACACAAGCTGCCCACTGTGCCTGCCCTTCTGGGCTGGATGCATCTCAGGCAAGTCTGCAGTAACAGCTCACAAGCAAACGCGTGCTTCCGTGTTGAATAGAACAGTCCTTGTCTGAGACACCTAACAATGCTTTCACCCAAAAAGAACTTCAGGGTTACATTTTTAGACAGGCAGGGCCTATGACCTTTGCTTAAACCATCTTGGTGGGGGAGCCCTATACTATTCCTAAGAGTAATATTTGTTCAAATGGGAACAGATTTCAGGGCTGGAAACAAACTTGTTAATGGCAACCCTCATCCTGGAACACTGATGTGGCTTGCATATACTTTACCTCCTGGGTGACTTGTGGATCACTGGGGAGCAAGTTTCTGCATAGGACCCGTCTGCTGGGTCTCTTCCCTCTGGTGTTGTGATCTATGTTCCTTTTATTGATTTATTTTTTTGAGATGGAGTCTCATTCTGTTGCCCAGGCTGGAGTGCAGTGGCACCATCTCGGCTCACTGCAACCTCCGCCTCCCGGTTCAAGTAATTCTCCTGCCTCAGCCTCCCGAGTAACTGGGACAACAGGTGTGTGCCACCGTGCCTAGCTAATTTTTTTTTATTTTTAGTAGTGACGGGGTTTCACCACATTGGCCAGGCTGGTCTTCTGATCTCGTGATCTGCCCGCCTCCGCCTCCCAAAGTGCTGGGATTACAGGCGTGAGCCACCACGCCCAGCCGATCTATGTTCCTTTCAAAAAATAAACATTTATTATCCCTTCTTCTTAGAAAAAAAAACATGTTTACTGTGGAAAACTATTCGGAACAGATAAGTAAAATAAAGAAAATTATTATCACCTGTACAATCCAACAATCCAAAAACTATCTTTCTAGAGAGAGAGAGAGATGGGGCCCAGCTCTGTCGCCCAGCCTAGAGTGCAGTGGCACAATCATAGCTCAATGCAGCCTTGACCTCCTGGGCTCCAGCAATCCTCATACCTCAGCCTTTCAAGTAGCCGAGACTACAGGCCCACACCAGCGCCTGGCTAATTTCTTTTTAATTTTTGTAGAGACGAAGTCACGCTTTGTTGCCGAGGCTGATCTTGAACTCCTGGACTCAAGTGATCCTCCTGCCTTGGCCTCCCAAAGTGCTGGGATTATAGGCATGGGCCACAGCCCCCGGCCCAAAAACAGTATTTTTATGCATGATCATTTTCCTTTGGGTTTGTATTTGCATAGTGTCTGTTTTGTTTTGTATTACGAAACAAGATCATTACCGTATTCACTGTTCTGTCCTTGCTTTTTTCTTAACAGTACCTGGTGATCCTTTCCCCACGTTATTATTAAGTACTGAATCTCTTTATGACAGATCTCTGTAATCCAAATACAAGCGATTTAATGAAGGAAGAGAGTCCTTACAAAGAAAGCCATGACTGTCAAGGTTTCAGGCCCCACTGAGAGTGCTGTCATCTGCCAAACCAAACAGAACAGACAGAAGGAGGGGCACCTCGCACCTGCAGTGTGCACGGCACTCACTTCTGGGTAGGAAGCTCCAGGGCACCCGAGTTTGCAGAGGCAACAAAGAGGCGCAGCTGAGAGGCCAGTTGCAGCCAAGAGGCCAGGTGCAACAGGCGCCAGATGCAGCAGACAGGCCAGGCGCAGCAGAGGCCAGATGCAGCAGAGAGGCCAGGTGGGGCAGAGAGGCCAGGTGGGGCAGAGAGGCCAGGTGCAGCAGACAGGCCAGATGCAGCAGAGAGGCCAGGTGCAACCGTAAAGGTTTCACACTGCGGCATCTCCCAGGGCGGCTTTGCAAACCCTCACCGGGCGTTCTGCATTGTGCTTCCGAAAAGCCACAGGAGTTTCCTGCGAACCGCAGCGGCGCGGGTGCAGGTGGCGACAGCCCCTATTGAAGGCCCCTGCAGCGTACGCGTCGGACGGGCTTCCCAAGGCGGGTGCTGGCGGCGGCGGGGCGCACCGTAGTCCTGGTCCCGCCACGGCCGCTCCCTGGCGGCCCCCGCCGGCCGCGTGCCCCAGCCCCAGGGCGCCCGCCTCGCTCGGCGCGCACGAGTTTCTGCAGGTCTCTCCTGCCAGCCTCAGGGGAGCCTCCTCGCGGCGCGGCCCGGCTGGGTTCCGGCTTTAAAACAGAAAGGCTCATTGTCCCGAGGTCCCCTGGCCGGTCTAACCGCTGCGGAAACTCCCCGACGCCCCGCCCCGCGCCGAACGGCCCCGCGGCCTGGCCAGAGAAGCCGAGACCGGGTGCGGGGGCCGGGCGGGCGGGTGAGCCTCGCTAGAGAGGCTGGGCTGGTGTAGGTTTTTTGTTTGTTTGTTTCCTCTTTTGTTTTTTTTTTTTTTTTTTGAGATGAGGTCTCCCTCTGTCGCCCAGGTTGAAGTGCAGTGGCGCGATCTCGGCTCACTGCAACCTCCGCCTCCCGGGTTCAAATGATTCTCGCACCTCAGCCTCCCCAGTAGCTGGGATTACAGATGTCTGCCACCACGCCAGGCTAATTTAATTTTTTATTTTTTATTTTTTTTTTTTGAGACGGAGTCTGGCTCTTTCCCCCAGGCTGGAGTGCAGTGGCGGGATCTCGGCTCACTGCAAGCTCCGCCTCCCGGGTTCACGCCATTCTCCTGCCTCAGCCTCCCGAGTAGCTGGGACTACAGGCGCCCGCACCACGCCCGGCTAATTTTTTTGTATTTTTAGTAGAGACGGGGTTTCACCGTGTTAGCCAGGATGGTTTGATCTTATGACCTCGTGATCCGCCCGCCTCGGCCTCCCAAAGTGCTGGGATTACAGGCGTGAGCCACCGCGCCCGGCCTAATTTTTGTATTTTTAGTAGAGATGCGGTTTCACCTTGTTGGCCAGGCTGGTCTGGAACTCCTGACCTCAGGTGACCCACCCGCCTTGTCCTCTCAGAGTGCTGGGATTACAGGCGCGCCACCTAGCCTGGCTAATTTTTTTAGCAGAGACGGTTTTTATTTTTAGTAGAGACGGTTTCACCGTGTTGGCCAGTCTGGTCTCGAACTCATGACCTCAAGTGAACCGCCCCCCTCAGCCACTCAAAGTGCTGGGATTACAGGCGTGAGCCGCCGCGCCAGCCTGGGTGGATTTTCTGTGCACGGAAGGGAAGCAGCACCGGAACCCCTCCTGTTCCCCTAAGCACCGTGGACACTGCCCACCTGACAGCGGAGGGGGAGCAGCCGGAAAATAAAATGTCGCAGGGCGCAGTTACGCGTATCTGTTAGTGTTTGTGTGTGGTAAAAGATCTGTCACTCAATGAGTGCCCGTTTTCAAAGAATGAACATAAAATGAACATTTATTAAACATAATTTAATCTCTTCTCCATGTCAGGCCCTTTCACTGATTTCCCAAGGTGACCATTCGGACCATTCGTACATTAATATTGATTTTAAGTTGATAAAGGTTGTGTTTGAAGTTGTCTTCTTGATTTTATCCTTGCAGCTGAAGATACCTTGTGAACTTTACTTTTCAGAGCAGAGCGTCTGAGCGGTGGGCAAGGCACAAAGCGCGAGGGAAGCCGCTGGAGGGAGCTGCTCTCCTGCACGGAGGGCGCAGGCGCCAGCTGCTGCCAACACCACGGGAAAGCCCTCACCCTAACCTTGGACTCCTGACCCCAGGCTCCTAATGCACATCATTATTCCATAAGAACAGGGGAGAAACGGAGAGGGCACGAAGCACAAACACCGAAGCTCTGGGATAACATTAGAGATAGGAGGGCCACCAACTCGTTACACTGAAAATTAAAAATACAGAGGCCGGCCGCTGGGGCTCACTCCTGTAATCTCAGCACTTTCGGAGGCTGAGGCGGGCAGATCACTAGAGCCCAGGGGTTCGAGACCAGCCTGGCCATCCTGGTGAAACCCCGTCTCTACTAAAAATACAAAGATTAGCGGGGCTTGGTGGTGCGCGCCTGTAATCCCAGCTACTCTTGGGAGGCTGAGGCAGGAGAATCACTTGAACCCGGGAGGCGGGGGTTGCAGCGAGCCAAAATCATGCCACTGCACTCCCATCTGGGTGACAGAGTTAGGCTCGTCTCAAAAAAAAAAAAAAAAAAGGAAGAAAATTACAAATAAAGAGAAGGAATTAGGTTATTAAAAATTATCTTTGCTTCCTTGTCTGATGGGCTGAATTAAGAAAAAAAGTTCTCTTTGCTGTAGGAACTATATTGTAGGGTAATTAAATAGACCTAGTGGATGAGGAAAAAAAATTCTCTAAGAATTCCAGTCAATGAATGCAGAATAGCATTCTTTAATTACATTTTGCAACTTCCAATTGAAAAACTTCTAATTTTAAAACATTTAAGTTAAATATACAGTTCAGCTAAACAGCGATCAATGCGTCAATGCAATGAGCGTCATTCAATTCAGACAATTGCATCGATGGCTGTTTAGCTGAACCTTATGATAAAGGAATTAGGCTGCCATCCTCTAAACCCATTGATCAGTCTTACCACGAAAAGCGAGACGAGACAGAAGTGTGGTGATGGGAAATATCACCTATGAAATAGCCTTATTCTGAAAAAAAAAAAAAAAAAGGAAAGATGGAAGGAAGGAGTGAGGGAGAGAGAAGGAGGGTGAAAGGAAGGAAGTAGAGGAGAGAAGAACTGGAGGGAGGATGAGAAGGAGAAAGAATTTGAGCTCAGGCTAGCTTGTAACTCTAACTCCCAGTCCATTGGAAAAACAGTAGATAGAGGAACAAGTTACATAAACACCCTGGGGTTGCAATTAACTAAACCCCGAATGTGGGATATTTTACAAAACAACTGACCCATTTCTTCATCAAGTCAATAGGGGATATAAAGGGGGACGGGACTGTTCTACATGAAATGAAACAATATAATGATGGACCTTGTTTGGATCCATATTCAAACAAGCCAACTGTAAAAAGACTTAGGGAAAATTGAATATGTTATACTAGACAATGTAAAGAAATAATTGATTAGATGTAATAATGCATTGTGGTTGTGTGATTTTAAAAGTCCTTTTCTTTCTGGTGAAATGAGGTAGGGAGGATGGATGGTAGAGGGCAAGGCATTAATGGCTGAAGCTGAGTATAAGCATGGAAGTGTGTAACAGTCTCTACTTTTGTGTCTGTTCGGAAATGGTCACAATAAAAAAGTAAAATGAAATAAAGGATGGCAATCAGAAGTGGAGAGAATATCGTAAATGTAGTCTGACCAAATGGTGTCACTAATACCTTTGATTAAAAAAAAATCAGCTGTTTGATTTTAAAAAGCTATTACGGAGCCCCTCCCATCCTATGACTGAATAATTCCGTATTTCATCTTTTTTTTTTTTTTTTTTTGAGACGGAGTCTCACTCTGTCTCCCAGGCTGGAGTGCAGTGGCATGATCTTGGCTCACTGCAAGCTCCGCCTCCCGGGTTCAGGCCATGCTCCTGCTTCAGCCTCTCCAGTAGCTGGGACTACAGGCACCCGCCACCACACCCGGGTAATTTGTTGTATTTTTAGTAGAGACGGGGTTTCACCGTGTTAGCCAGGATGGTCTCGATCTCCTGACCTCGTGATCCGCCCACCTCGGCCTCCCAAAGTGCTGGGATTACAGGCCTGAGCCACCGCGCCTGGCCTATTTCATCTTGAATAAAGGGTTTATGAACTGTTCCTGTTAAATTTGGCATTTGGAATTCAGTCCTTTGTTGAGATAGTGATTTTGAATTATTCTCCAAGATCAAATATTTTTTCAGACTACGGTTCTTCAAGCTGATGAGCATTACCAAAAAGAAGACCAGCTTCCTCCAAAAGCTCCGGGAGAGAAGCCCTGCTCTGCAGAGGTGCAGGGAGACAGCAGCAAGCGCGCTTGCATTTTTAAGTGAGTTTCATCCCCTGCTCACCATTCTCTTATCACTGAATATCTAAGGAAGAAAAAAATAAAGGTTAGGTTTACTCAACAGTGGACAAGTCTGTCTATGTTCAAAGCACTGGCATGCCAGGGTGCCGCAGGGGTGCATGCCAACAGTCCCTTTCATCACCTGGAAAGCTCTTCCTTGATCTGTTTATTTTACAAACGTTTCTATGTCCTCCAAAATCCAGTTCACATAACATTATCTGTTCATGGATGATGGAAATGCATTCCCACACAACAAAAGCACAGAATCATTTTATTATGAACACAAAAACAAAAACAACTCCAATGTCAATGTCCCTCCTTGAGGAAGCCCTACCTCCCCGCAGCTTCCTCCTCATACTCTATAATAAAGTTAATCCTTCCCTGGGGCTCCTGTCTACCTTGTATCCTTTGTTATTTTTTTATTATGGAAATTTCCAGACATACCCAAAAGGAGAGTGAATGGCAAAGCCCCCAGGCCCACCCATCTTTAATGTTATCAACATTTTTCAAATCTTGTTTCATCCATTTCTCTCCAATCTGGTTATTTTGTTTCTTTTCAGGTATGTTAAAGGAAATCCCAGACATCCCATCACTTACTAGTCTTGTGCCCATTTCCATGGCACTGACCACACTGTGTCAGAACCTGCTGCCGTGGCAGTGTCTCCTGCTGGACCACTGGTCTTCAGGAATAGGGATTCCTTTATGGCCACAGCAACCAGCCCACAAACTGGCCCACAGTAGGCCCACAGTAAATACTTGGAATAAATTTGTGTAATTGAGGGCAATAGATTTACTGTCACAGAATGAAAGAATTTTTTTTTTTTTTTTTTTTTTTTTTAGAGACAGGCTCTCTGTCGCCCAGGCTGGAGTGCAGTGGTGCAATCATGACTCACTGCGGCCCCACGTCCTGGGTTCAAGTGATCCTCCTGCCTCAGCCTCCAGAGTAGCAGGGGGGCACCACCACTCCTGGCTAATTTTTCTGTTTTGTGTGGAGACAGGGGCTTGCTAGCCCAGGCTGGTCTCAAACTCCTAGCCTCAAGCGATCCTTACCTCTCAGACTCCCAAAATTTTGGGATTAGAGGCTTCAGCCATGGAGACCCAGGCATGGAAAGATCTTAATTCATAAAAATGCCTAGTACTTCAGGCATACATAATTTAGCTCAAGACAAATTTATTTAGGACTAAGCCCTGGCAGCATTAGAATGGTGGCTGTGTAGTGTTGCGGCCTCTGCAGGACAGTACCTTGATGACAGTCCCAGCTCTACTCCCACTTGCCATGTCACTGGGTACAGCAGATTTTGTTTTCCAAAGATGGAGGCAATAATACCTCCTGTCCTGTACCTTCTGGATGAGGCCATTTCCCCCTCAAGAGGTGACATTTATAGTTTGTGTTCCCTCCCCTTGAATCTGGGTGGACTGTGACCCTAGCAGTGACATTATGTGTTATTGAAGGCAAGGTCAAAAAAGGTGATGCAGCTTCCCTTGCTGGTTCCATTCTCACTGGAGGTTTGAGCTGCCAGGTAAGCAGTCCAGCCACCTTCAGCCGGCCATGCTGTGAGGAATCCCAGTGAACACATAGAGCGACCCTAACTAAATAGAGGTGCCTGGCTAGCTCCAAGCTGCCTCGGTTCCCCTGGTTCTCACAGTTGGTCCTATTCTAACTCCAGCTACTGTTTGACTACAACTGCATGAGTGACCCCAAGCCAGAACTGTCCATCTGAGTTGTTCCCAAATTCCTGCCCCACTGAAACCATAAAGATAATGATGGTTGTTTTAAGCTATTAAACATTGGGCAGATTTGTTTTGTAGCAATGGATAACCAGAACACTGGGCAAGTTACTTAACCTTTCTGCGCCTCAGCTTTCACATCTTCAAAATGGGAATAATAAGAGTACCTAAAACCACATTGAGCTTTTATGAGTATTATATGAGATAAAAACATACCCATGTGGCACATCACATTACTCAATAAATGTTAGCAATGATCATTTGGGAAAGATAGTTTAGAAATCCTGACCAACCTAACAAGGTAATATTTGTAAGTTTCCATTTACCATGCATGATGATACTATTTTTTTTTCCTGAAACGGGATCTCGCTCTGTCACCCGGGCTGGAGTGTGGTGGTGTGATCATGGCTCACTACAGCCTTGACTTCCCAGGTTCGAGTGATCCTCCCACCTAAGCTCCCCGAGTAGCTGAGACTACAGGACTAGAGGCACGAGCCACCACGTCCGGCTAATTTTTTGTATTTTTAGTAGAGACGGGGATTTGCCATGTTGCCCAGGCTTGTCTTGAACTCCTGGGCTCAAATGACCCGCCCACCTCAGCCTCCCAAAGTGCTGGGATTACAGGCATGAGCCACCGCGCTCTGCCTCATGTTGATACATTTTGGATAAGGGTGTATTCTGTAAATAAAAAACCAATTTCAAGGTTACTATGAGTTTTGTGTTCTTTCAATGGAGAGAAAATAGAAATGATAAAAAAAAAAACTGGAGTGAGCATAGTAAAAAAAGAAAAAAAAGTTGCTTGGAGTATAACTTGGATGGTACACAGACCTTGAAATGCAAGGGTACTCGGCAGTTTGAGATTTTTCCCTTTTAACACAGCTCCCTGCAAAGCAGGGCTAACTCAGGCAGTGCACCCTGAGTGGACATGCGTGGCAGTTTTGACCTTGGTTCTACTTTCCCCTCTAGTAAAACATGCTTCAGAAAGCAGAAACAATAAGGCCTTGTGATCGTCTTCTCCTTTTGCAGACATAAGTAAATCGAGTGGAAGGGAATGTTTTTTCACCAATTTGATCTTTAAGGAAAACTTGAATATAATGGAACTATGCATTTTTTTTCATGAAAAACATGGAATTTTATACTCATTTAGTGAATTTTATGGAGCTCTTCAGTAGGTATGTCTGAGAATGGCATCACTTGCTAAAATAAATGGTATGGTTATGGTCACCAAAGAATGGCATGAGTATGGCCGGGCACGGTGGCTCATGCCTATAATCCTAGCACTTTGGGAGGCTGAGGTGGGTGGATCACCTGAGGTCGGGAGTTTGAGACCAGCCTGGCCAACATGGCAAAACGCCATCTCTACTAAAAATACAAAAATTAGCTGGGTATGGTGGTGGACACCTCTAATCCCAGCTACTAGGGAGGCCGAGGCAGGAGAATTGCTTGAAACTGGGAGGCGGATGTTGCAGTGACCTGAGATCATGCCACTGCGCTCCAGCCTGGGCAACAGAATGAGCAGAGTGAGACTCTGTCTCAAAAAAAAAAAAAAAAAAAAAAAAAAAAAAAGAACAGCAGCAGTGTCACTCATTAGAAATGTTTCAGAACAAATCTGTAATTGTAAAACAGGGTATGTAAGAATACTGGGACAATAAAATAACGTAAAAATTTGTTTCCTTATATAACTGAATGCTTTTAGTTAGCATTCACTCATAATGCTTTAGCTAGAGAAGATTTAGTCCTGTGGGGTGAATCCATATGGCATGAAAAACTGAGGAGATGAGATAATGTATACATTTCTATTTGGTTATCACACATTTGTTGGACCATCTCTAATTACTAATGCTGCATGCACGTAACTGCTTTGAAAGTTACTGTCACTGCTATTTATCCACTCTACCATTAAATAATGCAACCCATGTCTAACTTTTAAACTGAGTTGGGACACTTTGGGTGCCTTTTCTGAATTTTAAGGCCAGGTGAGGAGGCTTCAGAAGGGTATTTGCTGGGGCGGCAGGGACCCTCCCCATTAAAAGGCGAACTTCGCTTGTCTGCTTGCTGTCCTTTCCTTAACAGCGCTCCCTTTCTCCTTACAACACCAACATGGAAATTACAGCTTGGAATTCTTCACAGCTATTATTTCAGAGTATCAACTGGGGGGCTTTTTATATTCTGGGTGGAAATATAACATGGTCCATGAAAGAAATGACTGAATTCGAACAAAAATAATGAATCTCCAAGTAATGTGAAGACATTCTGAAAAACGTGAAGAGCCATGCTCTGTAAAACCTCTTCATTCTCATAAGAATTCAAAGATAGAGAACTAAAGACATTATGAGGAAAACTGAGTTGAAGGGATCAAATTTGCAAGTTGAAGGATCACAAAGATATAAAACTAAGCAAATTAATAACTTTGTCCTTCCCAAAGACATTACCATCTGCATGCTCCTTTTGGTAATATTTGGATTATCCACCAGTGCTTATCGCATCATGTATACGAGTTAAACTTTTATACACACCTCCCCCACAATTTATAACACTTTATTTAAAAAACTGTATCCCTGGATGGTGCGAACACTGGCAGACAGCAATGTTGAGAACCAAACGTACAAAGACAGAAGGCAGACGTTCTCATGAGGGACAGATGGTCGTGGCTGCTGGCAGAGGCAGGGAGAAAGAGGGTGAGGTCCTCCCTGACACTCGGAGCCTCAGTGAATGAAGAGCTCCTGCAACACTGTAACAGTTCTGAGTTTAGAACCCAGGGTAGATGATGACTTCATGTATTGTTGAATCAAAATTTTCAGTTTCAAAATAGGTAGACAGAATATACTCACAGTAGAATTTGTGATATGGGAGAATTCCTGGTTGAGAAAGGCTTACTCTATTGCCAACTCTAAGAAAGATCAAGAAGAAAAAGACCTGTTTGATATCCGTACAGAAGCGCGCACAGGTACACAAATCCCACTGCCATCCATGTTGATCATTTTAAAGTGCATGTCAGTGACCCACTGTTCAAACATGTACTTCGTTTGACAATGGCAGTGTTAACACATGGGATCTTTATTATGTAAGCACTGCGTCAGACCATCTTAGAATTCAACAGCACCTTCAAGATCTTGGTCCAGTATTTTTCAAACCGCACTTTACATCCTATTAGTGGGTCATGAAATCAATTCATCAGGTTTATAACCAGGGATGTTTTTTAACAAAACAGAGTAGGATACAAAATATGTAAGAGTACACAGAATGCATTCTTCTATGAAACTTGTTTATAGTTTCACGTATTTACATACACATGTATACTCATATATGTAGTAAATTATGTAAAATGTATCAACAAATTCTGATAACATGGAACTCTCCAGTAGAAAAGTGAATACCCTCTTCAGCCTTCCCATAAAAATATAGATGACACTGGCTGAGCACCCTCATACATAACTTTGGGTCTGGCACTGTTCCAAGCTCTTCTCATGTATGAATCTATATCATCCTTCATAACAAGCCTATAAGATGGGTGTTATTTACATCTTATATACAAGAACGCTGAGATACACAGAGGGTAAGGAACTTGAACAACGTCACCCAGACAAAAGCAGCAGAGGAGGGATTTGATCCTAGACAGCTGGACTCTAGAGTCATGCTCCATGGCCTCTACCTGAAAAGCCATGTTACAACAGGGAGCTCATGTCCTCCCAAGATAGCACTGTCCAACTCTCACATAATGTTACCAGAGCCAGTTCTAGAACACAGCCCAATTTTCAATCCTGTGCTTGCCATTGCATCTCATGCAACAGTGTTCTTAGTAAAAGCTGTTCCATGAAGCTGAAATCAAACAAGCTCAAAATAAAAGATAGAGACAGACAAGCATACTTGAAAGAGAACATGTTTATTTACATCACTATTTCCTTTTTACAATGCCTCCACCTTTTGAATAATAAAATTTTCCAGGAAATCAGGTCATTTTAAATTATTAAGGTATTTTAACAAATACAATTTTCACCCTATGATTTTTATTTACATGAGTTTTCAAGAGTTTTAAATAGTTCTTTTGAAACTGCACAATATAACCAGAAGGCCTGACTCAGACCCTGCATCTTTTCCAAAAACTTTCAGTCTAGGAAATTATGTTTATAATCAAATCCTTGCACTTTGGATCTTTTCCGATGAGGATTTTATTAACACCTCTAAAATATGAACCTGCTTCATAAATGATCCATATTTTGGCAGCAAGCTGAACCTATTTGACACTTCTTGATAGTAAGCAAAGATATTTTTGATACCTTAATTAAACTGCTTTGATTAAAACTTTCTGGAAGTTTTCCGTATCAGTCATACAACTCCCTATGTTGTTGTGTATGTGTTCTGAGTACACACTGAATTTATGAGAATGATTTATTTCCGGTCTGGCCAGCTCTGAAAGAGACACATGGGGGATTCGGAACTTTATGGCACAGGCACTGGTGCATCTGCTCTCTTTGTCCAGTCACACTTGGGATGCTTAATTTTCCTGATATTATACATGCAAATCACTTACTTTTCATAGAATTTACCATTCATCAAATGACTTTCAACAATAACAATGGTCTGACATTCTTTCATGTCGTACTGAGATTTCAGATATTTATTAGAGAAACTATAAGACAGATTTTCCTAATATTTTTGAAGTATGAGTTCCTCTGAATAGTTGGTATAACATCCATTAAAAAATAGAAAAGGTTAACTTTTTACCATGATCAAAGCTAGAGTTCACAATGAAACACCTGCATAGCTCTGCCCAACATCTCTGTAACAACAGCCAAGGGCCGGTCTTGAACATCATGCAGCAGCAATAGAGGTATCATCCATGAGTCGACCCTGTGGCTTTAAAGTGGGAAAAACAAAGTGGGTTTACAAAATTATAATATAATAACAAAAGCTCTATTAACTGGAAGGATTTTTAAATTCTTGAAACTGTTTTACAAAAACAGAATAAATGAGTGTAAGCATCAAAATAAAAATGGTGATATGGTGATTCTCCTCCTTTCACCCCACCTCTTTCTTTCTTCACTTGCACCTGGGGATGGCCACGGCACAGGCTGGGAGCTGCCCTCTCCTGTAGCCATCACCAGCTGACTCTGCACTTCCACCCGAAGAATCCTCTTCTGTCAGTACTTCTCTCTCAACCCTGCGTTCCAGCAGCTACTGCCAGGCCATCTCCCACATGTGGAATGGAACCTTGTTTATCATTCCTACTTAACTGATAGTTTTATTCTCTCTCTCTTGCTCAGGGCCCTCCTGTGTCTCAAGCTTTAAGCAGGTCCAGAGCCTGAGCTGACAGGTAAGTTCCTTTTGGGGACTCAAGGTTGCCCAATCTCCTGTTTGAGAAAAAGTGTCTGCAGTGAACTCCAATGCATGCTGCAAGGATAAAAGTGGCAGATAAAAACAAAAACTGCCCTATCTCTAAGATCACTGATTGAAAGAATTTAAAACATCACGTCAGAAAAGTCAAGACTAAGAATGAATAAAAGGTATCGTAACTGTTTTTAGTTGTAAAATTTCTGGCAGGTTAACAACATCCCAGAGGGATAGCTAGTAGCTAAAAGAATACAATTCTTACAAATAATTTTATTTTATTATACAGATATACAATAGCAGACCTTTGTGGGGAAAGCAGGAGAAAGATGATCAGGAAATGAAACAGAAGAGTGTTCACAATCAAAAGTGATTTGCTATGCTTTAAGCAGAAAGATTCTGAGGCATTCCCGAGGCAGTGAAGACAGCACTCCTGCTTTCAGTTTGCTGCTGCTGTGGTTGTTCAGATGTATATAGCAGTGTGTGTGTACATACATACAGAAACATAGCTAAGTATAGCTTCCAGACATTCACGGCAGGAATGGAGTGAGTGAAATAGGTTCCCGATCCTTGATTCTTGACTGTTTTTTTAGTACTGATGGGAGCTGCTCAATTTTAGAAACAAAATCATGGCTCAAGCTAGTGAAATCCCTGCCAAATGTAGCTTTTACAAGCAAGAGCAAAAAATGAGTGCATCATACAATTAGAAAACCAAAGCCTTTTATTCAAAGGAAGAAAAGTATGGATTCATCCTTGCCTAGGACGTCACTGTCTGGTATGGCAGTCGCTAGTCACATTTAGCGATTGAGCACTTGAAATGTGGCAGTGTAACTAAGCAAATTTAATTTAAACTGAATCTCAATAGTCACATGTGGCTAGTGGCTATACCGGACAGCATAGCTCTAAAGTTTAATACAGGTGCACTAGGACCTAAAATTTTAGTCAGTGATTGTCCAATAAGTGGGAAAGGGTAATCCTCAGCCACTGTCCTTAGAGTGACAAGTAAAAAAAAAAATTGTAGACATTTACGGTATACAACATGATGTTTTGAAATATGTACACTATATATACACTGTAGAATGGCAATTTTTTTTTTTTGAGACAGCATCTCATTCTGTTGCCCAGGCTGGAGTGCAATGGCATGGTCTCACCTCACTGCAACCTCTGTCTTCCAGATTCAAGCAATTCTCCTGCCTCGGCCTCCCAAGTAGCTGGGATTGCAGGCGCCCACCACACCACACCCGGCTAATTTTTGTGTTTTTACTAGAGATGGGGTTTCACCATGTTAACTAGGCTGGTCTCGAACTCCTGACCTCAGGTGATCCACCAGCCTTGGCCTCCCAAAGTGCTGGGATTACAGGCGTGAGCCACCACGCCCGGCCAAAATTTTTTAATTATAAATTTTCCCTACTGATTAAAGAGCTGGCTCTGCGGAGTCCGGTGAACATTTTTGGCAGCAGTCAAGTTGCTAGAAAGTGGTATCTGTACTCAGAAAAGGATCCCTGCAGTTAAACAGGGCATGCTAGTCATGTTAAAAATGTTAGGCCGGGCGCAGTGGCTCACACCTGTAATCCCAGCACTTTAGGAGGCCGAGGCGGGAGGATCACGAGGTCAGGAGATCGAGACCATCCTGGCTAACATGGTGAAACCCCGTATCTACTAAAAATACAAAAAATTAGCCAGGCGTGGTGGCAGGCGCTTGTAGTCCCAGCTACTCGGGAGGCTGAGGCAGGAGAATGGCGTGAACCCAGGAGGCAGAGCTTGCAGTGAGCAGACATCGGGCCACTGCACTCCAGCCTGGGCAACAGAGCAAGACGCTGTCTCAAAAAAAAAAAAAAGTTTATTTTCTGGAACCTTTCCTTGTGAATTTAAACACTACCCAGAAGAGGTTTACCTTGAGAGAAAATCAAAAGACTGAACAAGCATTAGCTGGGATTAGGTTTGGGTCTCCTGAGCACCAGAGAAAGGAATGAAAGAGAATAATTGATGGAACCAAAAATCTCTCCTTTTCAGTATTAGTTACTCTAGTATTTCAAACAAGCTATTTCTGTGCAGCTAGAATATGATCAAGTCTACATACATCTAAATGATTCAAACAGTACTTCTAAGTTTAAAAATAGCAAACTTCAAAAAGTCTAACAGCTAAAGGGACATTATGGAGGCCACCTGTTCCCCTCTGTTCCCCCACCCAGTCATGAGACTCGTCCCCTGCAGAGTGACTTCACCAGGAGAGTGTGGGGCCAATGGAAATGTCTTTAGACTGAAGGGATCTGGCGAAAATATTTAAAAAGCGTTTAAACACAAGGATATCCAAAATTATGAGATTTTTCTTTTACAAGTTATTTATTTATTTTGAGACAGTGTCTCGCTCTGTTGCCCAGGCTGGAGTGCAGTGGCACAACCTCCACTCACTGCAAGCTCTGCCTCCTGGGTTCAAGCAATTCTCCTGCCTCAGCCTCCCAAGTAGCTGGAACTACAGGTGCCTGCCACCACGCCCGGCTAATTTTCTGTATTTTTAGTAGAGATGGGGTTTCACCATGTTAGCCAGGATGGTCTCGATCTCCTGACCTTATGATCTGCCCGCCTCGGCCTCCCAAAGTGCTGGGATTACAGGTGTGAGCCACTGCGCCAGGCCTCTTTTACAATTTAAAAGTATGGTGTGGAATAGGAGCTTGGGAGGGTTAATTATTTTTATACAGATAGAAAAAACTCTGTATAAAAGTCTGGAAATATAAAAGCTGGCAGAGTACAGAGAATATTATTAACAGATAACTTACCAAATCCTGGATTATATAAACAAGGAACTGTTCCCCCAAACTTGAATAAGACAGACACAAAAAAGGAAGTAGTGAGCAATATAAACTGTCATTCCAAATGAGGGTAGAAACTTAAAAGAGGGCGCACAGCAGTGACATATATTAATGTGTATGTATGTTATGTTAATGTATATGTATGTTAGAGGGACACCAGAAGCATGTGGAGAGATGGCTCTTATTTAGGTATCAGGGAGTGACAATCAGAGGTGGGCTGCTGAGCTAAATTAACCACTCATCCCTCCAATTCACTCTTACACACTGCCCATCGTATGTATTCTTTTATTGTAGGGACCTGGAAATTGTGTAATTAAAAAAAAAACATTAAATCAGAGTATAGTTTCTGAGAGATGATCATTTTCAGAAGAGAGCTAAATCTAATATTACACAGTTACAGGGAATCAGAAAAGTTTAAGGATATTTAAAGTTAATTCATTTTGATGAAATACTAGTTACAAACAAATTACAATTTTAAAGCATACTTTACTAAACCAAAGAGAAAATATGCTTAAGGATATTATAAAGATAAATCATTATTTACCTAAGGAAATACAATCTTTGAAATTAGATTCTATAAAAAGTAACTATAGAAATGAACAGCAATACTGCCAAATACATATAATAAAAGGCAAAACTATCACTGTTGGTCTCAAAATACTGTTCAGTGAAGTTTACATGAAAAAGAAGTCTGTTTGTTTTTAAGACTTTGAATTTAAAAAGCAGAAAATTGCTAAGCTTTACCTTGACAAAAATACTGGTAGGTATAAAACGCCTGAGCAGCTGATTTGTGAAGTTAGGAAATCTAAGCAAGTTGATGTTGAGAGATGGCAGCTGCTGGTATCCAGCCATCAGAGGATAGAAATTATATAGCATTTCCTGCTCCGTGCCAGGGAGGATACGTAATCGAATCTGCATCATAAAAAGTCACAGAGAAAGATAATCAAATACACATATGTGCAATATCTATATGTTGTTACCCTCAATTATTTACAAAAGATTGGATAACCAAATCCTTCTACTGAAATATTCACTCTCTCCTAGTCCATCTTCCAAACAGATTCCAAAGTGTAGGGCTGAATTAGTATGAGTTTAGGACATGGCAGACAGGAAATGTGTAAAAAATATATGCAAGATTTCTCGGTTTCTACCAAGACCTACAATGGGTAACTTATACCTCCTAAAGAATGAGAACTCAAGGCAGGTGAATCTTTTCTCTGCCTTAGCCCAGGTAGCTTTTATGTTCACAATATGTAAAGGGATAATTTGTAAAAAGAGTATCTACTTGTAGACATTATGTCAATACCAAATTAGTTCTTTCTAATTTATTTAGTAGTTTGTTTTGTTTTAAGGATTTTACCTTTGTGTTAAGTAACTGCAGGAGGAAAAAAAAAAGATGTTTTGAAAATCTTTGACAATACTTTTAAAAAGTATACTAACTGGTAAGATTTTAGCATCTTTATATTTCCTACGATTTATGTAAGTCAACACGTGGAAAAAATCAAGACACTCAAGAAAAAAGCTCACTCATTTGTAAATACTATAGTTGGTATATTTAATACTGTATATTATAAATATAAAACAGTACCTGAACATACAGCATATTTCATATAAAATTCTATTTTGCATTTAACAACAAACACAGCACTCAGAATATGCAGAGCAGTTAATTAGTCAGGATAGACACTTCCAGGTGTTAAGACACATATGTTCTCTAATTATGCCCTTGTTAATTAAAAAGTATTTCCTGACTTTGGAGGGTCATCTCTGTTATCCCTCTGACAGTGGAGGACAGGACTCTCACTGAAGCATGGTTTTGCCTGGGTATTTTGTTTGCTCATTTAAAAACTTGATGAACTTTTCCAACCTGATTTGACTGAACAAATAAAAAAATCTAGATAATTTAAAGTATAGAAACAAAATGTATCTAAACACACGAAAGGTTAAGTATATTCTACGCAAAATCAAAATTGCTATGAAACTTCACTGATAGAAAAATGGGCTGTTAATATTAGGACAGTGAAGTCTCCAGGCCTCACACACACACACACACACACACACACATAAACACACACACTCATCAGTAATAAGGGGACATTTTTAAGTTTTTCAGGAATTATAACATATTATAATATAGTCCAAGGATTTGTGGACTTCTGTTTTATAAGAAGAACCCACGTGTCTCGTCTCAATGATGTGACAAGGGTAACCCACCTTTATAGGCAGCTGTACTTAAGGTGCTTAAAAATTCACTATTACCAAAACAACAGGGACCACAGTCAGCTTTACTCAGTTCATTCATAAAAACTAAAGGTACAGCTCTCCGTTTCCTGGCACACTTTTGTGTCAACATAAGCATCACAAGATATGACCTGTACCTGTTTGAGACCTGAGAACATGAAGGCATCACTGGGCTCCACAGAAATTTCTACATCTTGAACTAAGTCGGTCTTATTCTGTAGGTGATACTTGACAGGTAACGACTCTCTGACACGCCCAAATGACGGCAGATCTACAGAGAAAGATGACACACTTCTCTTGGTTTAAAAAATAGCTCCCCACTTATGGCTTCGTTTTGTAAATGAATCTCATTCTGTGGACATAGTATCATTTAAATTAATGACGTTACTGTACTCTTGCCGGATAAGAAAATTCTTTGATTGGACAACAGCAATAAGACTATGATAAAACAGGCTAAGGAAATGAGTGTCCTTCTAAAAATGACTGGCCTAGACAGGGTCTTGGCTATCAGGAACTGAATTATATTTTAAGGATCATTTCTTTTTTTTTTTTTTTGAGGCGGAGTCTCGCTCTTTCACCCAGGCTGGAGTGCAGTGGTGCTATCTCGGCTCACTGCAAGCTCCGCCTCCCGGGTTCACGCCATTGTCCTGCTTCAGCCTCCCAAGTAGCTGGGACTACAGGTGCCCGCCACCATGTCTGGCTAATTTTTTGCATTTTTAATAGAGACGGGGTTTCACCGTGTTAGCCAGGATGGTCTCGATCTCCTGACCTCGTGATCCACCCACCTTGGCCTCCCAAAGTGCTGGGATTACAGGCGTGAGCCACCGCGCCCAGCCAGGGATCATTTCTTAAATCCATAAAAGGTTTCCCAAAATATCACTCATGGTTCCTAAACTAGAATAAGCAAAAGCTGTGTTTCAGTGAAGTTATAAGTAAAACTTTCATTCATTCATTTGTGGATACACTGTTGTTTGGTGGGTGTGTGTGTGTGTGTGTGTGTGTGTGTGTGTTCTGGCAGTTCTGCCATTTTATTTTTCCTAGGATACAAAAACATGGAAGGCTTCATGAATTTGGGTGTCATCCTTGCATAGGGCCGTGCTCATCTCTGCACCAGTCCCATTTACATGTATGCTGTTGAAGTGAGCACTATAAACAGTTTTTTCAAATTATAGACATTAGGATAACCAAACAGTTGATAAAGGGAAGTTTCTCTTGATAAAGTATTTCAGTAAAGAAAGAATGATGGACAGATGTTACCTGCCTCCTGGTGGGAGCACATACACTATGAAGTATTCTTGCCAAAAACTTGACCCTGAATCTGATCAAGCCTACAGACAGGCTGCCAATTTATAGGGACAGAGAAACATTTAAAAACAGCACCATGTAATCTCCAAAATCCAGGTTGTGGGAAACTCTATAGGACAAATGACTTAGTTTCTTCAGCAAGGAAGAGATGCGGGGAGGGAGGAGATGGACAAAGTGGTAGAGAAAGCGGTATTGGAAGAGGTGATGCAGGGGTTAATGGTGGGTGGGGAGAGGAGAGATGGTATGGGGGAGGGAGTAGTAGTCAGCCTAGCTGCCTACCTATAGGTTACAGGATAGTATAAGACTTATCCATCAGTTGCAGTGTATAGTCCTCAAAATAAACTGAAAAAACATCCAGAGTTAACTAGGAAAATTTCAACATTGGAATTTGATGACATTAAGACATTACTGCTAATTTTTAAAGAGGTGATAATGGTACTGTAATTATATTTTTTAAAATAGCCATTATTTTTAAAACAGGCATATGAAAGTATTTATGGCTTTGTATCTAGGGATTTGTTCCAAAATAACAGGGGTAGGAGGAGTGTGTAGAAGTAGAGAGGAAGCAAGACTGGCCATAAGCTACTTTTACAAATGCTGAAAAACTTTCTAAATAGAATGTTAAAATAACTAAACTCTTAGAGGTTAAAATAACTATTATTATTGGGTCCTTCTTATCAAGTAAAATTTGAATTCCGCTACCTGCATTCACATGGAGAGGGATATTCTCCACAATCACGTGCGGCAGAGTGATGACAGTTGTGATGATGGGGATATTCTCCATTGCTGAGGTCCTGTGGCAGAAGAGGTCATCTTTTTAAACTCTTTTTAAACATCTTTTTAAACTATGAAAGAAGTTCATCAAAAACAGGAAACATGTATTCACCAGCTAGTTTCAAAGGAAATGTTACTTATCCATTTCCCAAAATATTATTATTATTATTTTATTATTATTTTTTTGAGACAGAGTCTCACTCTGTTGCCCAGACTGGAGTGCAGTGGCGCGATCTCGGCTCACTGCAAGCTCTGCCTCCCAGGTTTACACCATTCTCCTGCCTCAGCCTCCCGAGTAGCTGGAACTACAGGCGCCCGCCACCACGCCTGGCTAATTTTTTGTATTTTTAGTAGAGACGGGGTTTCACCGTGTTAGCTAGGATGGTCTTGATCTCCTGACCTCGTGATCCGCCCACCTCGGCCTCTCAAAGTGCTGGGATTACAGGCATGCGCCTGGCCAATTTTTTTTTTTTTTTTTTTGAGACAGTCTCACTCTCTCACCCAGGCTGGGCTGCAATGGTGCAACCTTGGCTCACTGCAACCTCCACCTCCTGGGTTCAAGTGATTCTCCTGCCTCAGCCTCCCGAGTAGCTGGGATTACAGGCGCGTGAAGCCACGCCCAGCTAATTTTTGTATTTTTAGCAGAGACGAGGTTCTGCCATGTTGGCCAGGCTGGTCTCAAACTCCTGACCTCAGGTGATCCACCTGCCTCAGCTTCCCAAAGTGCTGGGATTACAGGCGTGAGCCACCGCACCAGGCCTCCCAAAACATTATTAATGGAAATATTTTGTGAAGTTAAGAGCTTTTAAAATCACACTTCTGAGTATTTCCAATTAACAAACTGTTATAACCCAGGGCTGCTGCATGTTACCAGTGGGGGATAAGTGAGGAGGTGTGTCAGACTGTCAATCATGATGCACACGATTTAATACAGTGTTTTGGTAGCAAGACTTTCTCAATTCAGGAACAGTGCAGTGATTTACATCATGACATAAATTCCTTAACTCACTGAGGATGGTTTACAGGTGGGCCCCAGACCACTTTGAAGAGCACTATTGTAACTCACTACACGTATACAGTAGAAACTGAAGAACTAAAAGTATTTTACTATCAACAAACATAGTGGTGTTCCAATATTTATGGAGCTGAAGTAACATTATGAAACTGTTAAATATTTTCCCTGTGGTACAGCTAAAGTGGGAACTATAAGGGTGGTGCCAGGGAAATCCCTTTTGAGCCTAAGGGTGGAGCAGCTGACATGATGTGCAAACTATCACAGAGCAAAAGCAACAGGCAAAGCATCTAAGCCCTCATCAATAAGAAATGAATATACCTCCTGAGCTCCAGCGATCCTCCCACCTAGGTCTATGAAAGTGCTGGGATTACAGGTGTGAGCCACTGTGCCCAGCCCATGAACATTCTTATACACACACCCTTTGTGTACAGATTTAGTTTGGCTAAAATTTCAATAGCATATAAGTCACAAATTATGACAAGCACAAATTCATACTGTAGTATGATGGAATAATTCAGCAGTGCCTTTAAAATGCTATTTTGACACCTACAAACAAAAAAATAAAACTAAACATCAATATGGTAAATTCAGGAATGGGGAAAAGAAAGACAAGTTTATTTACTTCTTAGTAAAATTACATATTTCTCCATTCTTAAAAAGTTTCTGCTTTAGTTTCCAACATGGTAAATATTTATGCATATAACTCACATAAATAAGCTGTTTAGGGTTCTCACTGATTTTTCAAAGTGTAAAGGAGTCTTGAGACCAAAAAGTTTGAGAACTGCTGGCCTACAGTTGTCTTTTTTATTTTCTGCCTTTGTCAGGTTTAGGTATGGGTGCTCTTCATGAACAAACCCAGGGGATTTTCCTTCTTGTTCTATGCTTTGCATATAATTTATAACATGAAAACAATAAGTCATACCATGTAATTACATATACTAAACATATATTCTTTGAAGGCAATTTCATGAATTTCCTCCAGTTACTGGTTTTTTTAGGTTAAAAAATTTTTCCTTTAGTCAATTTTGATAATTTATAACTTTTTCATGACAGCCATAACATTCAGATCTTCCTACTCATTACTCTGAGTTGTATAAACATTCCCTTAAAACTAGTATCTTCTGATTCCTTTCTCATTTTTAAGTAATACATTTTATTCCCTGTTTTAAAATTTCTGAAAATAACTAAGCCTCATCAACAGGATAACACATGAATATCATGTATCTACTTCCCAGTCTAAGAAAGAAATTACAATGATACAATTGAATCTTCCTGCAGAGCCCTTCCTGCTTGTATCCCCCCATCCCAAAGGTAACCACTATCCTGAATTGGGTATTTATCATTCCTATGTATTTTATACTTTTCCAAATTATGTACGTAGTCCTAAGAAATACATAGCATGTTTTTCAATGGCATATAAATGCAATTTATTCATATTCTCATCAGTAGCTTGCTTTGTTCACTTTACCTTAAGATGTTGATGGTGTAGCTCTGGTTCATTCATTTCACTGAAATATAGTATTCCACTGTATGAACGTGCCACAATTTATTCTCTTTTCTATTGATGGGCATTTACGTTTTTTTCCCCCATTTTTTTCCTATTGCAATCAATGCTGCTATGAACTTTTTTTTTTTTTTTTTAAACAGGGTCTCGCTCTGTTGCCCAGGCTAGAGTGCAGTGGCACAATCTCAGCTCACTGAAACCTCCACTTTTTGAGCTCAAGTCATCCTCCCCCCTCAGCCTCCTGAGTAGCTGGGACTGCAGATGTGCATCAACAAGCCAAGCTAATTTTTGTATTTTTTGTAGAGACAGGGTTTCACCATGTTGCCCAGGCTGGTCTCAAACTCCTGAGCTCCAGCGATCCTCCCACCTAGGTCTACGAAAGTGCTGGGATTACAGGTGGGAGCCACTGCGCCCAGCCCATGAACATTCTTATACATACACCCTTTGTGTACAGATTTAGTTTGGCTAAAATTTTAATAGCATATAAGTCACAAATTACGACAAGCACAAATTCAGCTTTAATTATCTTTTTCAGGTTTGTGTTCATATCCACATGACTTCTGCTCTTCAGAATGACAGAAACTCTCAAATATTAAGTGACAAAGATGAATAATAAAGGTATGAGAATAACAGAGACATTGAAGAAAAGACAGGATTGACATAATTCTTACCTTTTCCAAGAGATAATATAATGCCCGGTTGCTACTCCACCTTCAATATTTCCAAGAGATGGGCATTGAAGACAAAAGCATTCACTAGCACTCTCTCCAGTCTGTAAGATAACTACAGGGAAAAGTCTTTATATTCCTTATGCAATGGTTTCATCTACAAAAGGAGAGTTTCACATCCAAGTAACAGAACAAAGAAAGAACACCTCACCCACTATATATTACTTGTAGAGACTTAGAAAGTAGGGTTCAGAGATGTTAAATGACTTTTTCAAGGTCACAAAGTCCACTGTTTTTGCTAATGTACCAATATTCCATCACAGTAAAATCCAATGAGGCATCTGTATATCTGCAAGAAAGTCCTATGGAAACTAATGAATGCAAAAAGCTTAGAGACAGAATCAATATCTTACGGTGATTGTTTTTCTTTTTCCAAATTATTTCATGCCTCCAAAGTAAACACTTTGGGGTAGAGAAAAAGAAAATAGAAAATTTCAGTTACTCTTAAAGTACTCAAAATATCATTCCAGAAAATTGTGGCTTTCTCTGAGTAAACATATACAGGTTGACCATCCCTAATCTAAAAATCTGAAACCAAAATGCTTCAAAATCTGAAATGTTTTGAGTGCCAACATGACACGCAAAGGTTATTCTAAAAGGAAGTGCATCCAGGTGTGGTGGCTCACACCTGTAATCTCACTTACGGAGGCCAAGGTGGGAGGACTGCTTGAGCTCCAGGAGTTTGAGACTCGCCTGAGCAACACAGGGAGATCTCGTCCCTATAAATAATTTAAAAATTAGCCAGGTGTGGTGGCGTGCACCTGTGGTCCTAGCTACTTGGGAGGCTGAGGTGGGAGAATAGCTTGAGCCCAGAAGTCTGAGGCTGCAGTGAGCCATGATCCTGCCACTGCACTCCAGCCTGGGTGACAGAGTGAGACCTTGGCTCCAAAATGAAAATAAATTTTTTTTTAAAAGAGGAAATGTTCTTTAAAGCATTTCAGATTTCAGATTTTTAGATGAGGGATGCTCACCCACTAAGTATAATGCAAATATTCCAAAATCTGAAAAACCCGAAATCTGAAACACTTCTAGTACCAAACACTTCAGGTAAGAGATACTCAGCCTGTATTACTAATAGCACTCATACCGCCTCACTATTGCCTCACATGGCCATTCACCTCTGTGCAAGAATGCTTTCCTTCTGCCAATTTTATAGCAAATTCCCTGATGACAAGATAAGCGCCCATTCAAACCAAGTCTCCTCCACCTTTCAGCTCTCCAGAGCCTGCAATGCCTCAGCTTCAAATGCAAGCAGGCAACAGTACATATTTAACGGCAATTTTAGCAATCTGTGAGTGCAACTCCAAAGGAATAACAACAAAGTTTCTAAACATTAGGCTATTTTTATGGTTTTCTAATGAAGATGGTTGTGACAGATCAATGGAGGTCTGATTGTGGACAGATAACAACAGTGAAAGGGAAAAAAGCTGGATCAACCTTTGCTTTAATTAAGTATTTTTATGTAATGTTAAAGACTTGGAAATGATATTGTAGCCCAGTAAATAAAATACACATCAGTTTGAGCCTCTAGAGATCGTCTTTTAAAAAACCTGGGCCATTCATATTAAACTCTACCAAAGTTCTCCTTAATTGTAAGAAGTTAAATAAAACGGTCACAATGTTTATTAATAATTAACATTGGCTGGGCGTGGTGGCTCACGCTTGTAATCCCAGCACTTTGGGAGGCTGAGATGAGCAGATCACGCGGTCAGGAGATCGAGACCACGGTGAAACCCTGTCTCTACTAAAAATACAAAAATTAGCCGGGCGTGGTGGTGGGTGCCTGTAGTCCCAGCTACTCGGAGAGGCTGAGGCAGGAGAATGGCATGAACCCGGGAGGCAGAGCTTGCAGTAAGCCGAGATCGTGCCACTGCACTCCAGCCTGGGTGACAGAGACTCTGTCTCAAAAAAAAAAAAACCAATTAACATTAGGGTCAATTTGTGACAAAGAAGTGCTACCTGCTGGTTTTGAAGACAGAGGAAGGAGCCACATGAGGAGGAGTGCAGGTGACCTCTAGAAGCTGGAGAAGGCAAAGAAACAGATTTTCCCTGAGAGCCTCCAGAAGGAACGCAACCAGGCTGACACCTTGTTTTTTGGACTTCTAACCTGTAGAACTTTAATACAGTTGAATCTGTGTCATTTTAAGCCACTAACTTTGTGGTAGTTTGTTACAGCAGCAGTAAGAAACTAATATACTAGAAGTTCAAGCCACAGATTATTCCTTAATTTAGTAAACACTTATTAGCTAAGTACTATGATGCTAGCGATATGAAGATGAATAAGACACAACTCAGGTTCTAAGGGAACACACAGTCTAGTAAGGGAGCCATATTTACAAATACGAAATTGCAATATAATATGGTAAGTGTTACAATGTAGGTGTGTACAAAACACCATGGGAATAAAGAAGGAAGAGTACTTAGTCCTGCTTGGGAGGAACAAGAAGTTCAAGTTTACAAGAGCCCTGAAGAGCAAGCCAGAGTTCAACAGGTTGAAAAAGATGAAGGTTTTACACAAAAGTTCCAAAGATATGTTCAAAAGTAGCTGGGGGCAATGTTGGATGAATGCCCTAAGTTTGTCTTGGTTGAAACCTGGGAGAGAGCAAAGGGCAGTAGACAGCCTGGGGTAGAGGCAGCTGGGAAGGTCAGCCAGAGCCTGACCAGGTGAGGTCCAGTGTGTCACAAAGTCTAGTGGCAATATGAAAGGCAGGATAGGGAAGAGAATGACTGCCAAGGAAGAAAACAGTTAAGGACCTACTTCTATAGACCAGGTGAGAGAAATGGTGAGGATGGCACTGAGGATGGAGATGAAAAGCTGGATTAAAAAAATGTTTGGATGTGGGTGTGAAGGATAGATGTGCGTGTGAAGGAGTGTAGTTTTTCTCTGCAGTTTCCAGCTTGGATCAAGTGTACGTACAACAACCCTTACAACCAGACAACCCCTCCAACTGGACGAGGGAATGCAGGCAGCCTAAGGTCGTGTGGCAGCTGAAGACTTGTAGAGAAAGAACAAGAGAACCAACGTCAGGATACTGGAAATGACCAACACTGAAAGAAAAGGAATCAGCAAGAATGGACAAATAACAAGCTTTTATTGAGCTGTTAGAAAATGAGCACTGAGCTATTTCATATGTTCTCATATATATTAATTATTTCACATACATCATCCTCTTTGACTCTAAGAAGTGATGAAAGGAACCATCCAAGTTCATGAAAGAACAAGTTGTAGGGCTGAGAACTGAATCTAGTTCAGTCTGACCCTAAAGCTCATTATTCCCAATTAGCACAATAAGGACAATAAGGAAAAAGGGAAGGAGACAGAAAAACAAAGTAGGACAGAGACAATGATTTCCAAACACACAAGAGAAAACCGAGTTTCAAGGAGAGATGAAAAAAAACTCATGAAGACATTCTGAAAGCAAAAGATATTATTAGTACTTTTTAAAACCAGAAAGGTGTTGTCCTGGATTTGAATCAGTCTTACAAATTGTTTTAGTAGGGTGACTCAGAAAATGTAACTTCTATTTTTCTATATTTTCCAAAGTTTCTTTAATAAATACCTTTTCTCATTTCAAGTTATGAAAAACAGTAAACATTAAGAGTTAATGAGAAAAAAATCTTTAAAAAGTTCAAAAATGAAAAAAAAATTCTTTTTGTGAAGTACATTTTCAAAGTATAACTCCCTTAGAGTAGGAAAAAAGTCTAACCTTTTAAAATCAGGTATACTCAAGCAAATGGTATTATAAATGACACTAATTCCACCTTAATTCCATATGCATTTGCTTTCACGAGTGCAGGTCTCAAGTTCCCTCACTTAGCAAAAAGCTAATTAACTCTTCCATTGCCAGCTTATACACACACACACACACGCGCGCACAATTCTCCTGGTCTTTAAGTGGGAATGAACCAGACTCACCATTGTCCACTTGAGACTCGAGCTGGTCCACTGTGGTCATGGATGGAGCAAGCTGGAGCTCACTGGAAACAATAGTGAGGGCCCAGGGTGAGGCACTTAAGAGGTCCGTCATCAACAGAAAGGGGATGTCAGCATAAACCCTTTCCAGGTGCTCAAACTGTCACAAATGAAGATAAAAGGTCTGTCAGGAATTACCTTAATCCATTTTATCATTTCAGTCCATTTTTATAACCTAAATGATTTCTAGTATGCCTCAAAGAAACATACCTTGGTAGAAACAAATTTAACCGCAACATCAAATGGAAAGACTGTTTCAATTGTTACAGTTTCATCCTGCAAGAAAATGTAAAGGGCACATTCATGGATTTTCTAAATCTTTTTATATAAAGTTTTAAAAAACACAACCTATCACTGATCAATAAATAATCCCAAATTATACATACTAAGAAGTAAAGGCCTTTTAGATAACATTTGTAAAAATCTGTGTCGAGAGAACTGAGTACTAATTTTTTTTTTTTCCTTTGGGAGACAGGGTCTCACTCTGGCAACCAGGATGGAGGACAGTGGCACCATCACAGATCACTGCAGCCTCGAACACCTGGGCTCAAGTGATCCTCCTGAGCAGCTGGGACTACAGGAGCACACTACCACGCCCGGCTACCGTATTTTATGGTTTTAGAGATGGGGTCTTGCTATGTTGCTCAGGCTAGTCTTGAACTCCTAGCCTCAAGTGATCCTCTTGCCTCAGAACCCCAAAGTGCTGGTACTACAGGAGTGAACCACAGCACCTGGCTAAAGTGTTTTCTTATACATTATTTATCTCTGGATCTAATGAAGTGGGCAGGGCAGGCATCATCACCATTTTGCAGAGGAGGAATCAGACGTTCCACAAAGCTAGGGTCTTCCTTTTGTCTAAGTTCCTACTACACCTCAACTCAAAATGACTAATAAGAAAGATAATAATAATGTAATGTGACAGACACTGCTATCATCCGTATACATGTATTATGTAATGTTCATAATCACACAAGGAAACAAGTGCTATTATGATTGCCACTTTAAGATGAGGTCATGGAGCCTACACTCTTAACCAACATGCTACATCTCCTTTCTAAAAGAGTCTGTTAGAAAAACAATGGGGGGGTGGGCATGGTGGCTCACACCTGTAATCCCAGCTTTGGGAGGCTGAGGTGGACAAATTGCTTGAGCTCAGGAGTTCAAGACCAGCCTGAGCAACATGGCACAACCCTGTCTCTACCAAAAATATAAAAAATCTGCTGAGTATGGTGGTGCACACCTGTAGTCCCAGTTACTCGGGAGGCTGAGATGGGTGGATTGCTTGAACCCAGGAGTCGGAGGCTGCAGTGAACCAAGATCGTGCCACTACACTCCAAGCTGGGCAACACAGTGAGACCCCATGTCAAAATAAAAAAATAAAAGAAAGAAGAAAAAAAACCATGGGGTTATTTCATCTTTCAAAACAAATAACACAACCTCTTGGTAAGAAACCTTTAAAAAAGATCATACTGGTTAAAAGCTCAGGCTGTAATGCCAGACAGAGCTGAATTCTAATCCTGGCTCAATACATATTTACTAGCTCTGTGACCTTGAACCTAATGACGTGACCCTGGGAAAGTTATACAGGTTATCTGAAATGCTTGGGGCCAGAAGTGTCTCAGATTTTTTGGATTTTGGAGTATTTGGATTATACTTACTTGTTGAGCATTCCAAGTCCAAAATGCTCCTGGGAGCATTTCCTTTGAGTGTCATGCTGGCACTCAAAAAGTTTCCAAAAGATTTTGGAACGTTTTGGATTTTGAATTTTCAGATTTGGGATGCTCAACTCATGCAGTCTCTTTAAGTCCCAGTTTCATAATCCTCACAGGCTTGTTAGAAAAATCAAATGAGATAATACATATAATGTGCTGAGATTGGCACCCTTATCTCCTAAGCTACCATATAGGACTCTATGTATTATACCAGGCTATGAGAAATTTTCAACAGTACATTACATGCCTTCTTCTCTCCCGCTTGGGAAATACTAATAATTTTGAGATGGTTTTCTTTCCCAATGACTAGTAAATAGCCCACAGCCCAGACTCTGTGCAGTAACAAAACTACAAATCCCCAAATTGCTATAGGCCTTCTCCTCTGCTGGGCTGAGGACCCAATTCCTAAGAGAAAACTAAGACAACATTACTGTCAGGACCAAGAAGATACCAAATATCATAATGTTCTACTAACAAAAGAGAACATAAACATTATATACAGCACAATTGAATCTATTTAGAAACATGGCCTGTTAAAAATCTCTAGAAATAGAAAAGAGACCAATAAGAAACACAAAGAGTTAGCAGTTGCCTTCGAGTTGTGAACTGTAACCGTGATCGTTCCTATTTTCACTTTTATGTGCACTTACCGAAAACAATTTTTACCAATATTTTTTAATAACAGAAAAATGCCTTTCAAAGGGCGACCTCCTTTTCTCCAGAACCCTCTATATGTAAGTCAACTTACAGATTTTATCTCATGTGTGATTTGCTTGAGATCTCAATCCTATTGATCCTCTATACGAAAAGCCATATAGGCCGGGTCCAGTGGATCACGCCTGTAATCCCAGCACTTTGGGAGGCCAAGGTGGGCAGATCACCTGAGGTTGGGAGTTCAAGACCAGCCTGACCAACATGGAGAAACCCCGTATCTACTAAAAATACAAAAAATTAGCTGGGTGTGGTGGTGCATGCCTGTAATCCCAGCTACTCGGGAGGCTGAGGCAGGAGAATCGCTTGAACCCGGGAGGTGGAGGTCGCAGTGAGCCAAGATCGTGCCACTGCACTCCAGCCTGGGCGACAAGGGCAAAACTCCGCCTCAAAAAAAAAAAAAAAAAAAAGAAAAGCCATATAAGCTAATTTTCTGTTTAATGTTTGAGCAGTGAATGCCAGCCTAAACAAATCTCAATATAAGTGATTTTTTAAAAAGTTTAATTAAAATTTATAACAGACTATAAGCACCTAAACTGCTTATTTTATGCTTATTTTATAGGTAAACTAAAATAACACAAAATGGGAATACTCCACATATGATGCTTTATAAAGTAGCTATAAAAAAATACCTTGTGACACTTGCAAACAATTTCTTTTTCTTCAACGGTTGTATTTATCAGGTAAGAAACATATACAAGAAACATTCTGGAACCCACTGTTCCACAGCGAACATACAACATTTTTTCCAGCTGTAACAAAATAAATGTTGTAATTTAATTAGTATTACAGACATTTCTTCTTGATATATATTCTAGGATAATGTTCCCACCTTCTAGAGTTTATTTATACCAACTGGCTAAATTCTTTATCACTTTTACAGAATGTTACAATGTAACTCATCAATGCTCCCACTGTAGTAGAGTACTCTGATTACACTGTGGCCACAGTATAAGGGTGGGATCATTACTACTGCATCTTTTAGAAATTATTGTTCTTTAACTTCCAAAATATTTTTCTATCTAGTTTGGAAGCAGAAGTTGACTGAGAAGTTAACTGCACTAAGTTACAAACAATGGGTATTTTATTAGCCCACTAATTCATGTTAAGCATGTTTTCTAAATTCCCTTGTAGAAAAACTGCTTAAGACATTTTACACATTTACGTATGTAAAATGTGTATGAAATGTTCATTAGTTAAATCACTTTTTCAGTCCTAGAATATGCGTTAAAACGCTCTGAACTGTTAAAAACTCACTATATATTTAAAACTACAAACTAATTGATTTCCTCTTCAATCCCAGTTGACCAAGTTTACCTGTTCCCCTGGATGTAAGTCTCCAACAGGAATGTCAGTGAGTAAAGCCGGGTAGGATTCATCACACAGTTCTGTTCCATGAAGAGTCACGTGAGTCTTCTGAGTTAAATTGGCATCCTGTCCTAAAAGAGTTAATATTGGTTCTTCAAAACAAAGAATTCAAACATTATCCCAATAATCAATACTGTGTGAAGAGCACTATGCCATACCCTCTTGTAAACAAAAGTCCTAGAGTTGACATCACTGATGCTTATTTAATGTTGGATTAATACTGATCAAACTTACAAAAAGGAATGCTTACCTGGTTTTAAGCCAGCGGTGAGCTTCACATCTCTGATTTGGGTCTTTTCATGGGACTGAACAGTCACAACCAAACAATACATTTCATTAGTCAGTGCAGGGGGTTCATGTAGCAGATGTACAGAAATGTTTGGGACTCTGGATATGATCCTTTGAAAAGAAACCTTAGCTAAGTAACTGATCAAAAAAAAAGCAAATAAATTATTCAAATAAAGTATTTAAAAGAAATAAGAGGCTGGGTGCAGAGGCTCAGGCCTGTAATCCCAGCATTTTGGGAGACTGAGGCAGGAGGATCGCTTGAGCCCAGGAGTTTGAAACAAGGCTGGGCAGCATAGTAAGACCCTCATCTCTAGAAAAAATACAAAAATTAGTCAGGCATGGTGGCACCTGGCTGTAGTCCCAACTACTGGGGAAGGCAAGGGTAGCGCCTGAGGTGGGAGGATGGTTTGAGCTCAGGTGGTCAAGGCTACAGTGAGTCGTGATCACACCACTGCACTCCAGCCTGGACAAGAGAGAGACTCTGTCTCCAAAAAAAATAGCAAAAGAAATAAGAGGATGACCTTTAATATCAGCTTAGCAAAGCAGACTTACATTGTGCTTGCCTGAATTATAATGCTGTCCCAGTGAACTTCATTGTCAGGTAGCTTAGGTCGCCTTTTGAAAGACCGAGCTGCCTGTAAGGCTTCTTGGGAGGAAGCAGCATCTCCTCCTCCTCCCTGCCAATTTAAAACCACACATCTTCCCGTCTCATTGCCCAGAGCAAGATCCACTGAAGTAATCTAAAAAGAAAAAAAAGGATGTTGGAAATGTCATCTCATATGTGCTTGTCACCATCTCCTCTCACCAAAATTACATCGTCGACTGCTAAGACCATGGAGTTCATCTAGAGACCCCCAGTGTGACAGAAGTGAGAACACCTGCTATTAGAGGTCTTACTCGGGCTGGGACAGAGACTAACTGCGCTCTGGGTTCCAACTTCTTCACCTTTAAAACAGAGACACTAACCTGACTTTCTGTTGACAGGCTGATTGCACAGTAGTGTTATGATTTTAACATCTGGCATAGTCCCTGATGTAATGAAGGTTCAATTAGTGGTTGCTGAATGAAATAAGTATTGTGATGGCTATGGATACATTATAACCTCATTTCCGACTCCACAAATATTTTTCTCAAAAATATTTACAGTATTAGCAATAAAATGCTTTATTAATTGAATACATGATCTATTCAACTAAAACCATTAACAAAAGGACTCAAAATAGAATTACTAATTATTATTTATGTCTGGTAGGTTCCCTTAGGTACCATGAAAAAATAAAATATGCAATTAGGGCATTTAGTCAAAATCATGAAAGTTTTTTTTTTTTTAATGAATAAGCAAATAATAAAAGCAACATGTTCACAGAAACTGTTATGGGAACACTGGTTGTATAACTTTATATGCCATTTATCTTAGCAATGGTCCCAAGTTTAGATGAGCTAACCATTCCCATTCAAGTCATGAAAAACAAGCACTTAATGAATGCTTACTGTGTGCTAATCACTATTCCAAGCAAGTTACATTAACTAGCTGATTTAATCCTCATGAAATCCTAAGAGATTAGTACTCTTATGATCCCCATTTTACAGATGAATACACTGAGACACAAAGAAGCTAAGTAACTGCCCAGGGCCACAAGCTAATAAGCTAGAGAGCTGTAATTTAAACCCATACAGTTTGGCTCCAGAGTTTATGCTCAATAAAGATATTACTTAGATCCTATATTTCTAAAAGGCATTTCAATTATCTATACTATATCAATCTTTACAAATATATATGTTCATTTTTCTTTAAAAATATGTACTCAGTAATGCTTAAACATCAAAAGATATTCAGTCTGAATAACATAAAAAATATATTTGCTATATTACATAATATACATTATTTAAAACTCCTTAACTGATTATGTGGTCATTAAAAAACAAGATTGGTTTATATACTAACAAGAAATAATATCTAATATACACTATTAAATGACAAAAGCCAGCTACAGTTTATTATGTACAGTATATTCTCAATTTTTTAATTGCAAAAAATTTTAAACTACAAGTATGTTCACAGAAAAATGTCTGAAGGAAACTTCCCAAACTATTATGAATGGTTTCCTTTAGGAAGTCCAAGTAGCAGATTTTCATTTTTTACTTAATCAACTTTTGTATTATTTAAAATATTGATATAAACATACTTTTATTATTAAAAATATTTTAAAACAAATTTCATAACTAACCTCAATTTTCTTTCCCACATCTTCAGTTTTTGCAACAAACTTAAATAACAGTTTTCTTGTTTTGCCAGGAACTAGGCACATCTTTCCTTGAGTCAGATTTTCTAAAACTTCATTTGCTTTGGATGCTTCTTCTATTACACAGAACTGGTTGTATTCCTGAAAAAGGTGAACAGGGGTCATCAAATGTCAGATGTCTGCTAACCCTAAATGCCAAGTGCTTTGGAGCTCATTTAGTATAACTCCACAAACACTGAAGCATTATGAAGGGTTACTAATAAAAGGAAGTATTTTTTATGCCAAATAGAGGCATTTATCCACTTACTGCTGCCATAATATAACAGTTCACTACACATAAACTGTTTTCTGAAAATATTTAGCTATCCCTCTCCCAGAGAAACAGTTTGTTCTTTGTTGCACTGGACACTACTGTTTATCACCTCCTTTTCTTGAAGAGCCTTTTTTTACTTGGCTTCTGTGATGCTATAATCTTTCCTGTTTCTCATCCTGCTTGGTTACTTCCTGTTTTTCCTACCTGGAGTGCAGTGGCATGATCTCGGCTCACTGTAGCCTCAACCTTTTGGACCCAAGGGATAGTCCCACCTCAGCCTCCAAAGTAGCTGGGACCATAGGCATGTACGATCACACTAGACTAATTTTTCTATTTTTTGTAGAGATGGGGTCTCACTACGTTGCCCAAGCTGGTTTCAAACTTCCTGGGCTCAAGTGATCCTCCTGCCTCAGCCTTCAAAAGTGTTGGGATTACAGGTGTGAGCCACCAAGCCCAGCCCCATTCCTTTGCTTTCTTTCAGGTCTTCATTTCTCTCTCTGTTCACTTCATTGGAAATGTATTTGTTTCCACGTTCACCATACCATTGTTGCTAGTATCTCTCACATACAGTTGTCCTATTCTGTCTTATTTCCTTAATTACAAGCTTATATCCACAACTGTCTAGAGGACAAGTCCACTACCACTGAAACTCAGCACGTCCCAAAGTGAATGTGCATCTGCCTTCCCAGAAGAGAACAATCCTCATAGATGAGTAAAGGAAGACAGCTTTCATGTTTCTATCTATGGAATCACTATTCTCATCTGTTCAATAAATATCAAGACCTTTCCAAGAGCCATCTTCTATTCCAGCATATAAATTACCTTCATAGAAATTCTTACACAGTTCAAGTATTATACTTTCCCGCCAATTTTCATTTCTATTCCATGCTTATAAAAACTACTCTACTTTTTTTTTTCTTATGGTTTATATTGTGAATTTCTTTTCTTTTAAGACGGAGTCTCACTCCATCGCCCACTAGAAATGCAATTTCAGCTCACTACAACCTCCGCCTCTCAGGTTCAAGCAATTCTCATGCCTCAGCCTCCCAAGTAGCTGAGACTACAGGCACCCGCCACCACGCTCAGCTAATTTTTGGGTTTTTAGTAGAGATGGGGTTTCACCATGTTGGCCAGGCTGGTCTTGAACTCCTGACCTCCAGTGATCCGCCCACCTTGGCCTCCCAAAGTGCTGGGATTACAGGCGTGAGCCACTGCGCCCCGCCTGTATCTTAAATTTCAAATAAGATATATTCAGAATATAATCTAAATTTTAAAACTAATTGCTTTATATTCCATTTTAGCGTTATTAGTTTTTAATTATAGTAGCTTATATTTTTTGTTGAAAAAAAAAAGGAAAGAAAAGAAATGAAATAGTAGGCTATTAAGGGAAAAGTAAAATAAGAGTCCCCATACTTCACTTGAGCCCAGGAGTTTGAGGCTGAGATGAGTTATGATCACATCACTGCACTCCAGCCTGGGCAACAAAGTATCTCTTTAAAAAAAAAAAAAAAAGAGTCCTTGTGTTGACCCTCTAATTTCATAATGAACAAAACAAACAAACAAAAAAAACCCCTGCCCTTCTGCCCTTGTGGAGCTTAGATTCCAGTAAGGAAAAACAGGTAATTTACCAAATAATCACACAGACAACGGTGAAACCACAGTGTGATTAGTACTACCAAGGCTATGAGAGCCTGGCTAAGTGATTCAGTCATGTAAGTCAGGGGAGGCTTCCCTGAAGAAGTGATGCTTTTAAGTGAGAAAAGGCAAGAAGGAATGAAGTAGTCGGAGAGGAGGGCAAACCAATTCAAGCAGAGGAAAGGGCATGTACAAAACCTCCTGTCCTTCATTCATCCTATCCCCACTTTTCAGCCGCTATATGCACTTGGCAATCCAGATTTATCTATTTTTAAATGCCTCTTATATCCCTGAATCTCCATTCCCAACACCAGCAACTCAATTCCGATACTTGTACTTTTGTACATGGATTAATATAAAGAGCCTCTAATTGGCTTCCATGATATTATTTCTATTTTGCTACTAGAATAAAGTTTCTTAAAACTTTAAGAATAAATTGCATGCTCTTGCTTTAAAATTCTCAAACTGGGCCAGGCATGATGGCTCACACCTGTAATCCCAGCACTTTGGGAGGCTGAGGTGGGTGGGCTCCTTGAGCCCAGCAGTTCAAGACCAGCCTGAGCAACACTCCATCTCTATAAAAAAATACAAAAATTAGCTGGGCATGGTGGCATGTGCCTGTAGTCCCAGCTACTCAGAGGAGGCTGAGGTGGGAGGATCACTTGAGCCTGGGAGACTAAGGCTGCAGTAACTCAAGATGGTGCCACTGCACTCCAGCCTGGGAGATAGAGTGCAGCCTTGTCTCAAAACACACACAAACACACACACACACACGCACACACACTAAAATAAAATTCTCAAACGGATTAGAGGAAATCCCTGGGCAAGGGTCTGAAGTTGAATAGAACATACTGATCTTCAGGTGACCCAGCTTCATCTAATCATTTCTATTACAGAGATATTTCTCTTTTCTTATGAATCAAATCCTAATAAAACAGATAACGTTTCTTTATCACCATCCAATAAATAGAACACAGACAAAAGAACAAATAAATCTTCAAAGACATCTGTTTACTAGCCTATCCCCGCTTAACTCTTCCAGGTTCCTTTAAGCCACCTGGCCTTATTTCCCACCACCCAGCATTATAAACCCTCTGTTCTAGTGAGGTGTGACTTTCCCAGAAACACAGATTGTGCGCTTCTGTTTCCATGCAGTGTTTTCTCATTGCCAAACATGTTCTCCCCCTCCATCTTTTCGACCTATCGTAATTTCATCTTCATTCTTGGAACTCCCTCCCTTTTTTCTGGCATGCCTACTACAGCTGTCCCTCTTTCTAGCCTACACTACGTAATTTAGTCTTCATTACCTATTTGGGCAATCTTTGATTCTGTCCTGGCCCTTGTCCCCAAAATGCCTAAATTTTAATGAGGTCGACATATGCTATACTCAGATTCAGCATGTTAAGAATATCGTAACTCTCAATAAATGCTTGTTGGTGAAAGACTCACTATACTTTCTGGGTAATCAAAAGATGATTATCTACTAAGTGAGTTTATAATAGAGTTGTAATGAAGTACTTGACTATATACTATATAATGCTTCAAATATATTCAAATGCAGGAAATATGATCCCAATTCTGCAAGAAAAAAAGTTGCTTATATATTCATGTGCAGAAAATGTCTAGGTTATTCAAGAAGTTAACGTAGAGGGTGTGTGGGAGAATGGAGAAGAAAGAAGACACACATTTACTTTTCACATTATATCCATCTATTCCATTTCAATTTTTTAAATGTCAAACATAAATTAGTTCCATAATCATAAACTAATAACATTAACTAATAATGTTGAAGTAAAATATAAACCAAATGTTTTTTTAATTCTATTCATTCTGAATATACCTTATTTGGAATTCAAGTATACATTATAAAAAAAATTTAAGGCCAGATGTGATGCCTCACACCTGTAATCCTAGCACTTTGGGAGGCTGAGGTTGGTGGATCACTGGAGCCCAGGAGTTCAAGACCAGCTTGGGCAACACAGCAAAACCCTGTCTCTACAAAAAATACAAAAGTTAGCCAGACGTGGTGGCAGGTGCCTGTAGTTCCAGCTACTTAGGGGGCTAAGGTGGGAGTCCAAAAGGTTGAGGCTACAGTGAGCTATGATTGCACCAATGCACTCTAGCCTGGGCAACAGAGCGAGACCCCGTCTCAAAAAAGACAGAAAAAAAAAGTATATATATACTATATGTGTACATATATATATATATACACACACACACAGAGAATTCTTAAGACTTTATAAACATGGAGTGAAAACAAAAATTGGAGTAAGCAAAGTGTAAACTTGAATTGCTAGAAGTTTAGAAACATATATATATATATATTTTTTGACACAGATCTTGCTCTGTCACCAGGCTGGAGTGCAGTGGCACGATCTCAGCTCACTGCAACCTCCATCTCCCGAGTTCAAGTGATTCTCCTGCCTCAGCCTCCCAAGTAGCTGGGACTACAGGCACGTGCCACCACACCCAGCAGATTTTTTTGTATTTTTAGTAGAGACGGGGTTTCACCATGTTGGCCAGGCTGGTCTCGATCTCTTGACCTTGTGATCTGCCTGCCTCGGCCTCCCAAAGTGCTGAGATTACAGGCGTGAGCCACTGTGCCCGGCCCTGGAGATATATTTTTGAATAGACCTTACCAAAGTTCATTTGTTACTATGAAACCATTAAGACATAAAATTCACTAAGCTCATTTTATCTAGTTTAACATAAGCTACAATAAGATAAACGTGGTAAAAACACATGACATGGCATCATTACCTGATTATTAAAGCTGACACAGAGCTTGGAAAACCTAATGGGATGTGGACAATCAGCCTTCAGATAAATATCAAACTGAACAGGAACATCAACATGAAAACTTGGGGCATGAAACTTGGCTTTGCACTGCACTAGAAATAAAACAAAAGGGCTGTGTTATGCACAACCAGATACCCACGACCCACACACATCCTGTTAACCAAATTGATTCTTCAGAAAGACACATCTGCACTGACCATTCTTACTGACTTCTGCACTTAAGGCACTTCAAGAGACAAATGAGCTAACTTTTTATTATAAAAATAAAATTTAGGCTGAGCACAGTGGCTCACGCCTGTAATCCCAACACTTGGGGAGGCCAAGCCAGGCGGATCACTTGAGGTCAGGAGTTTGAGACCAGCCTGGCCAACACGGTGAAACCTTATCTATACTAAAAATACAAAAATTAGCCGGGCATGGTGGTGTGCACCTATAATCCCAGCTACTAGGGAGGCTGAGGCACAAGAATCACTTGAACCCAGGAGGTGGAGGTTGTGGTAAACGGAGGTCGCAGCATTGCCCTCCAGCCTAGGTGACAGAGCAAGGCTCTATCTCAAAAAGAATAATAAATAGGCCAGGCATGGTAGCTCGTGCCTGTAATCCCAGCACTTTGGGAGGCTCAGGCGGGTGCATCACCTAAGGTCAGAAGTTCAAGACCAGCCTGGCCAACATGGTGACACCCCATCTCTGCTAAAAATACAAAAATTAGCTAGGCATGGTAGTACACGCCCATAAGTAATCTCAGCTAGTCAGGAGGCTGAGGGAGGAGAATCGCTTGAACCTGGGAGGAAGAGGTTGCAGTGAGCTGAGATCATGCCACTGCACTCCAGCCTGGGTGGCAGAGTGAGACCCTGTCTCGAAAAAGAAAAATAAAATAAATGAACAAATAAATAATATAAAATAAAATTTAAATAAATTACAGCTTCAAAACCATCTTTAATTTTAAAAACACAGCTGCTCCTGAAATGTAGATGACAAGATTTTAAATGAAAAAGAACCATTTTATTATTATTTCAAAATACCTACCTAGACAGTAAAGCACAACCTTTTAAATAACTGTCAGGTGTTTCTAATAACACCTGAACTACAAATGAGCAAAGTGTATTTTAAAACATAAGTCAAGTATTTAAGATCCTAACTACCTTTGTAAGTCACTGAGGGGACACAAAAAAAAATCAGTTTATCTATAACATGATTATACTTTGAAAACTCTTTCTTGACTTTTATATTTATTATTCTGCACCTATTCATTTTGTAGAAATAAGACAATTTCTCTGAAATAGTACTGTAGATGTTAGCTACCTACCAAATGGCACAAAGTCCTGTACTCCTATTGTGAAAATATTGCTGCCAGCCAGAGAAATTCGGTCTGCCCACAGCTTCTGAGCAGTTTTCACAGCTAAGATATCACAGTCGGGTTCTGGATCAGGACTTTCATTCTGCATCAACACAGAGTTAACATCCATTCAACTAGTTGAATAAAAACCACTACTTGGATTAGTTGATATAGATATAAGTACACATATTCCTAATAACACACTCTATATAAACAATTCCAACCTACCATTAAAACATTTATGAGGTTCTTTTCTATCCGAGACTTCTGGTCATCTTTCAGAGTTGAAGCTAGTATGAAGAAAGAAGGAAAAACATTTTAAGTACTTATAATTAAGTCTACTACCCCCATTTATTGTTTTAGAAACTTGATATAATAATAAATACCTCTTTAAGATGACTAAGCACAGTGATTTGCACATAGTAAAGTATACTAATTATCTGGGACTAAATTATTCTTTAAATTTTAAAAAGCTTAAAGATGCTAAATAATTTTATGTATCAAGAATTTTACTCAAAAAACATCAGGTTACCTCTACCAAGGAGTTCTAGGGAGTAAGTAATGTAATCCTTTAATTGGGCCATGAGGTAGGAGCACTTCAGAGCTGTAGTTAATACAGAAGTGAGCAGAGTCCACCATCCTTCACTCCGATAATCACACATCACATAATCCAGCAACCTCAAAGAAGACAAAATGTAATACTGAACCGGCTTCACAAGAAAGGGTTCGAAGAGTTCATGGAGAAAAAAATACTTTCCTCATTTTATGTAAGTATAGAAAAATCTTACTGAGATGGTTGAACAGGTATTCTCATATTTAGCTAAACGTGAGATTTCTTAAAACACTGAAAAAGATTGTGCCATCAATAGCACTTGAAAAAAACATTACAGAAATGGAGTTTAACAACAATAGAAATAAATATGAAAATACGAACTCCTTCAACACTGATTTCTATTTCAGTTTCACTTCAGATAATCCAAATACTTGTAAAAGTAAATAGTGAACAGGACTCACTTCAAAGCTTTGGTATAATCCTTTGCGTAATAATATTCCTCTCCCATCTGAACCACTATAAAGGAAAAAAAGATTTATGTATGTAACTTAAAGTCATTCAAAGTTGCATGCAATGGTGACGTTTGTGGATACATACTTAGGTGACTTTTCATTCGCGGGCACTTATACTTCTTGAACTGTGCAACAGCATTGCTCAGAAGAGTTATGATTATCTCCTATTAGAAAAAGTAGAGTGTGAAACATTTCAATACAAATATTTTTCTTAAATAGTGTAAAAAATAGTTTATATTGGACACAAAACTTACAGAGTGAACAACATTTCTCTCCTTCAGCTGAATGGCAAGAATTCCCACCTTTTCTTTTTCAGGATCAGAAAGATCAAAACCTGCGTAAGATGAGACACAACTCATTTTAGACAGCTCATTTAATATAAATCTTCATATGAACGTTGTATGTGTACACTCCTTGAAACCTTTATTTAATATAATCATTTCAGACTCTTCAACATTCTAGAATCGTAAAGGTGCTAAGAGGCAGCTTTATTAACATGGAAACTTCCGTGTTCTGTTCTGATGGGAACATTATTGAGCTCAATGTTCTTCTACCTACTGGAATCAACGATCTGAAAAGCAATGTCAATATCATCCTCTATAGAGGATACACTTGCTGGAGATAATCATTTCCTTTTTTTCTTTTTTTGAGACGGGATCTCACTCTGTTGCCCAGGCTGGAGTGCAGCGGTACAATCACAGCTCACTGCGCATCAACCTCCTAGGCTCAAGCGATCATCCCATCTCAGCCTCCCAAGTAGCTGGGACTACAGGCACATGCCACTATGTGTGGCTAATTTTTGTATTTTTTTGTAGAGATGGGTTCTCACTATGTTGCCCAGGCTGGTCTCAAACTCCTGGCCTCAAGCAATCCTCCCACCTTGGCCTCCCAAAGCGCTGGGATTACAGGCATGAGCCACCTCGCCTAGCCAGTAATTTAACAGTTATAGTTCAATTGCTTGAATTAAATTACGTATAAAGTATTAAAAAATATGCAGAGAAATTGTTTTTAAGGTAATATGAGTTAATGCTGTTTTAAAATGTCAAATCAATTGTTAAAAGTTAACTGGAATTAAAATATTTAAATAAGACAACAGTGGCATGTGTCATTTAAAACAACAGATGTCCAAATGTTGTATTTTTTTTTTTTTTTTGAGATGAGGTCTCACTATGCTGCCCAGGCTGGAGTGCAGTGGCTGTTCACAGGTGTGATCCTTCCACCTCAGTCTCCCAAGTAGCTGGGACTACAGGCATGTGCCACCACACCCAGATACATGTTTTAATCACAACAGCAACTTTAATTATAAGTCACTCTAAGATGCAGTGATACATACAAAGCATTCTAAAAACAAAAACAATGTTTAAAAAGCACACATTTTTACTTCAACATAATTTCTTATGCATGTGCAGCCAATGGAAAATCTATTATAGCTATTGTTGCCTTTTGAGGTTGAGAGGAAAGGACAGAGGGAAAAATTATTTACTTAGTATTCCTTGTCGCCATGATCTTTGTCCATAAAAGTCAAGAACGCCTGTTTGTGTTTCTAAGGGATCAGGATTGGGATACATTACAGAAGCCTGTAAATTAAAACACAAACCTAAATAATAGTTTATGGAACTCATCGCAAATCAACTCTTGCCCAACCTTTGACTGAACAAAAAAGTTTTCATAAATACAACCACCAAATATATATTCAATTATCAAATTTGTGAATATTTTAACATAAATTTTAACAAAAATTAAGCTAAAAATGTTTCATATTTAGGTAGTCTCATAAAAATCAATCTGATTCTGACAAATGATTTCACAGTAATTTCTTCACTTTTTTAATCTTTGCTCTAATAAACCAGTAAAAATATATTACAAATTATGCTCTATATTTATTCCGCATGCATACATGCTCTTTGTGTAAATGAAAACAATGTTACAAGGAGTTCTACAAAGAAGACACTATTTTCCTTCTTTATCACTTCTGTATTAAATCTTGCTATTGTGGGGGAATATTTTTGGCACCAGAACTGACAGATTTACAGTGCTTTTTCTTCTTTTTAACTTTTCCCTCTGAAACCAAAACGTAATACATGAAAAATGCAGAAAACATCCAAAAGGATGAAAATCTAAATTACTTATAAACCTACTACCAACTCCCACTGTTAAGAATGTATGTTATCATTCTTCCAGATTTCACATGCACAAATTTGTTAATGATTAATTTTCAACCTCCTTCTTTCATTTAAATATATTCTGTATATTTAATCCAGCATTAAATGTTCTTCTAAAACATTATTTTTCATGGCTGCTTACTAGTGCATATTTTAACAAATTCCCTATAGCTATTCATCTTATTTCTATTTTACAATTAATTAATAAATCTGTGAGAACAACTTTATAAATAAATTTTGGTACTTATTTCAGAATTTATTAGCTGCCTTAGTTATCTCCAAAAATTAAATTCTAGGTCAAAAGATATGCACAGTTTTAAAGCTTCTCAAATTATTATTTGATGGAAATTTTATTTTACTTTTTTTTTCTTTTTGAGACAGAGTTGTCGCCCAGGCTGGAGTGCACTGGCACGATCTCGGCTCGCTGCAAGCCCCGCCTCCCAGGTTCACGCCATTCTCCTGCCTCAGCCTCCCCAGTAGCTGGGACTACAGGCCCCCGCCACCACACCCGGCTAATTTTTTGTATTTTTAGTAGAGACGGGGTTTCATCGTGTTAGCCAGGATGGTCTCGATCTCCTGACCTTGTGATCTGCCCACCTCAGCCTCCCAAAGTGCTGGGATTACAGGCGTGAGCCACCGCACCCGGCCCATTAATTTACATTTTAACCAATGATATTTATTAATGCCCAGTTCCTTACATTCTTATAAAACCTAGTTTTAGTCACTTTTTAAAATACTGTGTTCAAAATTACAATATGCCAAACTTTAGAAATATAATACACACAATAAAATTACAAATCATACAAATAGCATGGCAAAAACAGCTAAATCATCATTTTAGAGAAAAAAATCCATTCATTTTAAGTACTAATATACAATCTATTCGTTTTTGGAACAGTTTTAAAAATAGTACTACTGATAATATTCACTCATCTTCAGAGAAGAGAACTGCAGGTTTTAAGTGAAAATAAACTACTGTAACAATATAAATATAAATATATTTATATATATATACCACGTTCTTATTTTAAAGGTGTTTATAAGAAAACTGATATCTAAATGTAATCTTCCAAGAAAAAGGCAAACTGAAACATCAAGAAACTATGCAATGAACACTACTCCTCAAACAGACTCTTAAGAGTCTCTACACAGGAGGCCAGGCGCGGTGGCTCACGCCTGTAATTCCAGCACTTTGGAAGGCCAAGGCGGGCAGATCACCTGAGATCAGGAGTTTGAGACCAGCCTGGCCAACGTGGCGAAACCCCATCTCTACTAAAAGTACAAAAATTAGCCAGGCGTGGTGGCGGGCGCCTGTAATCCCAGCTACTCAGGAGATTGTGGCAGGAGCATCACTTGAACCCAAGAGATGAAGAGATGGAGGATGCAGTAAGCCGAGACTGCACCACTGCACTCTAGCCTGGGCAACAAGAGACAGACTCCATCTCCAAAAAAAAAAAAAAAAAAAAAGAGTCTCCATACAGGAAAACCCCAGGAAGAGAAAGAAGTCAAAATTTATCCTCTCCAGTGGGTCAAAACAGATTTCCAAACTTTTACAGCAGTGATCATAGAAACAAAACAATGGATTTATAGTGTGACAAGGATGAAAATGTGGCTTTTAAAGTAATTTTCTCTTGTCTAAATAGTCACTAACTTACTGCCAAAAATTAGTTCTTCAAAGAAAAACTTCTGCTCAATTCACAGGTGAAAACAGAGTACTCAGGCTAAAACCAAAGATCAATGTAATTCCTAAAGCTATAAAAAATAAAAACTAATTAAATTTAAAGACTTGGAAAAAATTATCAACACCAATCAGTTCTAGCTTCTTTCAAAAGAAGAATAACTTTTCTATGTGCTAGATAATACGGAGTGAGTAACTTACTTCGTGGTTACAGAGGGTTTTTGCAAGCTGTTTCCGCTCCTGGGCATAGTATGCTGCCTGCTGGTAATAGAAACCAGGATTCTGAGTTTGAATAGCTGTTAACCCTAACTTAATAGCTTCATCAAATAAATCTCCAAAGGCCTGGAATCTTAAAGAAAAGAAAATCAAGAAATAAAGAGGAATGAAAAGAAAAAGAAGCTTATTTCTGGTAATTCATCCTGGGAAACTTAACCTCAGCAGACTGTGTTAAAATGGTGCTATTGATGAACAGTTAATATTTGTTCTAATTTCTTTGTAAATATTAATACACACTAACTGTAGGTTACAGATAGGTTCTATATTTAAGTCATCTCTTCTAACAAGTCTTTATAAATATACCATCAAACTAGATCTCAACATAGTTCCTACCACTCAAATAAATACACCCAAGTTTCTGGGAACAATTTCATTTTAGCAATTTTTAAACTTCATTCTCAAACAGTGAGCTCCATGACAGCAGGAATTTTGTTTACTGCTATATCCCCAGGACCTAGACATATGGTAGAGACTCAATAAATATATGCTGAATGAAAAAGATGGTACCATGAATTAAATAATTCCCATTAAGGAACTGTATACAATATCAATGTACAATATTACCAGAAACATACTTATGCTACATCATCAAAAACCTACTTAGTGACAAAAAACCTGGTTCAGTTTTAGAACCAAAGTCCATGCTATTTCTCCAAATACTATGTATCATTTTTAAAAAATTCTAAAAGGACAATGTAAAACATACTGTTTAGACATCCATGCATCATGCTCAAAAGACAGCTCTGCACTTCCAATCTTTTTCTTACACAAGTCGATGTGTTTTCGGAACTGAGCAATTGCATCCAATGGGGTGTTGTGTTGAAAACACAGCCTACAGATCTGCAAAATGTAAAATTGATCCCAAAATAAAGGAAAAAAAGAAAGTCAAAAGACATATTCATTTAAAAACTATTTTGAGAATAACATTAGAAAAAGACAATGAAATTTCCTTCTCTGAAGCTCTTTGCAATACAATTAATTTTCCTCATCAGAATGGTTATGCTAAAACCAAAGGTTATATATCCCTTTTAGAAATGAAATAAAATAACTCACTATTTGTACATAATTTATTCTACACTTTAGAAAAGCTTTTAAAAAATATGGAACAGAATTTAAAAATTATCCCCAATGAAGAACATGGACTAAAATAAACTATGTCCAACAGGTAATTGAGATAAGATAGATCAATTTTCAGTTTTAGACTTGTCATAAAGCTAAAGATTTTCTGTAGCATAATTAAAGCAAAGTTACCTCCATATCAAACAAGTATTACAGAAATTCTTGAAAATTTTGTGGCTGGCATGCTATTTCAAAATAGTACTAATATGTATGTATTTGGGGCAAAAGGAAAAAAGGAAGAAACAAAGCCTAAATTTATTTCCATATGCTTGTTACAATTTTCACTTTTATTTTTTAAGTACAAAGGAACACATGAAAAGTCAGTCTCTCATCCATTCCTGTCTCTCAGCCATCTAATTTCCCTTTCTAGAGGCAATCAGTTTCTGCCATATGCTTCCTGATATATTCTACACACAGATAAGTATGTGTATGCCTTTCTAGAAAACTATTGTTTTTATACAAATAACAACATCACACTAAATATGCTAATCTGTGACTTTATTCATCTTGCAATATATTTTGGGTATTATTCCATATCACTACATAGAGCGGCCTCATTCTCAACAGCTTTTAATATTTCTTTGTTTACAGTTATAATTTATATAACCAATCACTTACAACTGGGTTGTTTCTAATCTTTTCCTATTAGAAAAAAACAGCGAATTAAAGTATCTATTTGGCCATACATCACCAACACAGAGTCAGGCATCTTTAAGATGAATGTGAAAAAACTAAAAGCAAACCAAACAGCCGTTGCTTGACTTCTGAGGGCACCTATTCCTGTGATAGACAATCTCAAAATAAAATGCTCAAACAGTAGGTATAAAAGTTTCCTCTGGCTGGGCGTGGTGGCTCACACCCGTAATTCCAGCACTTTGGGAGGCCGAGACAGGTGGATCACGAGGTCAAGAGATCGAAACCATCCTGGCCAACATGGTGAAGCCATGTCTCTACTAAAAACACAAAAATTAGCTGGGTGTGGTGGCGCATGCCTGTACTCCCAGCTACTCAGAAGGCTGAGGCAGAAGAATTGCTTGAACCCAGGAGGCAGAGGTTCCAGTGAGCCGAGATCCCACCACTGCACTCCAGCCTGGCAACAGAGCAAAACTCCGTCTCAAAAAAAAAAAAAAAAAGTTTCCTCTAAGGTGAATAGACACTTCTTTTCTGTGCCATTAAACCAAGAAGAAGTCACATAGTTCTAATAATTTTATCCTTTAAAACTCAGTAATACAGGCAGCTTTCTTCTCAACTCCTCCTTGCTCCCACTGAAAAACAAAACAAAAACCAAAAAACCCTCCAAACTTTTAAAACCTCTAGAACTTATCAATTCAAAATACAACTACTATAAATAGCCTGCTAAGAATCGATGCCCTTCTGAGAAAAAGGATATAAAAGGGGAGATCATAATTAATCAAATACTAACTTTTCAGAGCAAGAAATTAATTTTGATGTTCAAATTTTAAAAAGATAATTTAATATTGAAACACAAATTCCCTGTATTTGGAAGCAGAATTATTACCTTGTAGTTTATAAATCCTGCCATAGTCTTAATTTCCAGAATATTAGTTTCATGGGCTCTCAATTCGTGTACAAGATTATAGGCGGTCCTATAATTCCTAAATGAGGAGGGTGGTTAATGATATAAATTAGTTTAATAAACGATTTCTAAGAACCAAATCACTAGAAATAACAAAGAATATTTACTCAACATTTTAGTGCTCAACAGCTCAATAATGTCAATCTCTGATTTCCTGATAAATGAGCCATTAGTTATTAAATATATGAGAGGAATCAATGATTTCATAAAGAACAGAACCATGACATGTGCGTTGTTCTTCCTGTCATTAACATCTGTCAGTAACAAACAGATAACTTAAAAAAGGAAATTGGACAACTGTCCAGAAAAATCAGCATTCTGTTAAAAAACATAAGTATTTTAAAGTACCATTACAAGCTCTCAAACAAATAGAAATTTTATTAGCAAAGGTGGTATCAAGACAGCACAGGTCAGCCAGGCACGGTGGCTCACACCTGTAATCCCAGCACTTTGAGAGGCTGAGGTGGGCGGATCACTTGAGGTCAGGAGTTTCAGATCAGCCTGGCCAACAGGGTGAAACCCCGTCTCTACTAAAAATACAAAAGTTAGCCGGGTGTGGTAGCACAAGCCTGTAATCCCAGCTACTCAGGAAGTTGAGGCAGGAGAATCCCTTGAACCCAGGAGGCAGAGACTGCAGTGAGCTGAGATCGTGCCACCACAGTCCAGCCCAGGTAACAGAGGGAGATGCCATCTCAAAAAAACAGCAGCACAGGTCAACAGCTTTTTAACCCCAAGTACCTCTACAGGTTAAGTGAATATTACTGGCCTCAGGTAAAGTCTACAGAGCAGGGAAAGATGTCCTTCGGGCAGCTCACGCTGAAGGAGAAGCATGGTGAGAAAGGAGGGCCTGCTGGGAACAGGGCCTACCTTGCACATGGAAGGAAATGAGGAAATCTCAAAACAGGCTTTTCATAGAAAAAGTTTGTTCATAACTTTTCCAGGTAAATGTATTTCTTTCCAGAATTATTTTTGAACAGAACTGAAATTGAAGGATTTAAACTAATACCATCGATAAAAATGAACTACAGGCCAGGCGCAGTGGCTCACACCTGTAATCCCAGCATTTTGGGAGGCCAAGGTGGGTGGATCACCTGAGGTCAGGAGTTCGAGACCAGCATGGCCAACATGGTGAAACCCTGTCTCTACTAAAAATATAAAAATTAGCTGGGCGTGGTGGCAGGCACCTGTAGTCCCAGCTACTCGGGAGGCTGAGACAGGAGAATCACTTGAATCCAGTAGGCAGAGGTTGCAGTGAGCCGAGATCGCGCCACTGCACTCCAGCCTGGGCAACAAGAGCAAAACTCTGTCTCAAAAAAAAAAAATGAACTACATTAAAGCCAGTTATATGAAGTTGTTGAGATTCAGGAAACACAACTTGGTGCTTTGGTACTTAAACATCTCAAAACAACAACAAAAATAAGATGTTTCTGCAATATTCCTGTGAATAATAAAATTATTTTTATTTATTTCTATTTTTCTTTGCCCTCCTCAATTTTGGGATAAATAGCTGTTTTTAATACCTTTGTCTTCAAAAAGTGAGTTAAAGCTACAAAGAGGTCAAGTTTCATTGAATTCTGCTTCGTAAAAGCAAAGGACTAAAATATTTAACCACTGCCAACACATCTGCAACTAATCTTCAAGGCTCTAAGCAGAGACTTCAAATGGAAAATGATGCAACTGACTGATAACATTAAAATTTAATTTAAAAAATTGAATTTAATAAATGTACTAGTGTATAAACCTATAAAAATCAATAGTCTGGTGCTCACTTCAGCAGCATATATGCTAAAATTGGAGCAACACGGAGAAGATTAGCGTGGCTCCTGCGCAAGGATGACATGCAAATTTGTGAAGAGGCACATTTAAAAATTTATTTTGGAAAAACAAAGTCCGATTTAGATAATGTTTAAATCAGCCTCTTACAAGAATTTTACAGAGTATACACAAAATAAAGTCAAGAAGATGGGGAAAATTTTAATATTACATTTCTGTGGCTCATAAAATTTAATTAATCAAACCAGAAAGCTTTATGACACAATGAAATTTACTTCCAATAATAAAATGAAAATTTTTAAAAATCCTAAAATATTATACTCCATTCATCTCTACACTAATTCCTAAATCTAAGCAATATGAACACTTTAAACTTAATTATACTTTGGCTGAGATTCAGAAATTTCCATCACATGTTATTGTTAATATAAAAATAGGAAACATTTAGTTTGAAAGCTTAACTTACTTCAGCGCATTTTGTGTATCTTGTTTCAACTCACTGAAGAAAGCTATTTTGAACTGATGCCTAACAAATAAAAGCTAAAAAGAGACAAAAAAATTACTATTATACATATTCTATTTAAAATGTGAAAATTATAATGTTTATTATGAGGAGACATAAAAGAATGAAGAAAAATATTCAAAACTGAAATACAAGAATTATTCCCACAAATAAAGGCACAATTAAGAAGGCTATAAAAATCTACCTTTAAGAACTTTAAAAGCAAAGAGTTTAATTTAAAAACAAATTAATTTTTAAAAGCATTGAAAAAAACTTTAGAAATGCTGAAACCATTTAAAACATTAAAGTATTAAGAACATGTAATAATCACCTCAAAAATAATAATAATCCGCTCCAGAATGCTTCTATTATTGCAAAAAATCACGCACCTGGTGTGTTGTTTTATTCAAAAATTCTTTATGAGATTTCACTCTTCTGATCTCAGTGTAGTAATAAGTCTGTGCATGTTCATAAAAGGCATTTTCCAATCTGTAAAAAACAAAAACAAACAAGCATTTACATATTGAATTATTTTAAACCAAACTTTTCAAGAATATTTGTGAGACCTGAAAGTAAAATGGTGACAGAAATATCTGTTTTACATTATGAATAAGACAAAGTGAAGCAAAAGATAACCTGAATTTTCAGATCAAAAAGTCTAAAAACAAGACCATCCAAAAGCCATTTAAAATTATTTATAATACAGGATACAACAAATAAAAATACCTTTCTCTGATTCATAAAAACTTGGTAATCTTTTTTTTTTTTTTTTTTTTTTTTTGAGACAGGGTCTGGCTCTGTCACTACCCAGGCTGGAGTGCAGTGACGCAATCTTGGTTCACTGCAACTTCCACTTCCCTGGTTCAAGCGATTCCTGTGTCTCAGCCTATCAGGTAGCTGGGACTATAGGCATGTGCCACCATGCCTAGCTAATTTTTATATTTTTAGTTTAGGTGAGGTTTTACCATGTTGGCCAGCAGGGCTGGTGTTGATCTCCTGACCTCAAGTGATCCGCCCACCTTGGCCTCCCAAAGTGCTGGGATTAGGATCACAGGTGTGAGCCACCGCTCCTGGCCTAAAATTTGATTGGAATCTCTAAAAGCACATTCGCCCCTACTATTTTATATTTTTATAAAAAGTCTGAAAAAAATTATTAATCAATTAGATTTCAGTTTTTTGGTGATTTTAGTATTTAGGATTTAAAAGAATAAGAAAACTAATGGGGAAAGAACCAAAAATGAGAACTGGCAAATAAGGTGAAAACATTTGTGTGATTTAAATCCTCCATCATTCTATAACTTACATAGGAACAAGAAAATCTGACCAGAGATGGATACACAACTCAAGCTTTCTTTGGTGAAAAGAAGTTATCAGGAGTTATCTGCCTAGGGCGTGAAAGAAAGCAGAACTCATAGCCAGATAAAAGACGAACTTAAATATCAGCTATTATATTTTATATTTGATTTTCTAGGTTAAGATATTTCATTTCATTTCATTTCATTATTTCATTTCATTTCATTTCATTTTTGAGACAGGGTCCCGCTCTGTTGCCCAGGCTGGAGTGCAGTGGTGCAATCAAGTCTCACCACAGCCTCAGCCTCCTGGGCTCCAGTGATCTACCCACCTCAGCCTCCAGAGTGGCTGGAACTACATGCATACATGACCACGCCCAGCTAATTTTTATATTTTTTGTAGAGACGGGGTTTCACCATGTTGCCCAGGCTGGTCTCAAATTCCTGGACTTAAACGATCCAAATGCCTCGATCTCCCAAAGTATTGGGATTACAGGCATAAACCCTCATGTCCGGCCTTTTAAGATTTTTCTATTTTCAAAACTGTAGTTTTAAAAATGTTAAAATATGACAAAATTAGAATCTAACCTTGAACCAAATAATGTGTGAAGGAATGTATTAACCTAAGCTATCCTTTAAATTTTGCAAATGGGGGCCGGGCACAGTGCTCACGCTTGTAATCCCAGCACTTTGGGAGGCAGAGGCGGATCACGAGGTCAGGAGATCAAGACCAGCCTGGCTAACACGGTGAAACCCTGTCTCTAATAAAAATACAAAAAATTGGCCAGGTGTGGTGGTGGGCACCTGTAGTCCCAGCTACTCAGGAGGCTGAGGCAGGAGAATGGCATGAACCCAGGAGACGGAGCTTGCAATGAACGGAGATGACGCCACTGTACTCCAGCCTGGGCAACAGAGCGAGACTCCATCTCAAAAAAAAAAAAAAAAAAAATTTGCGAACGGGTAGCAACAAGGCACTGACTAGAATATCTAATGTTATGGTAGCCAGAAATATGTCTACAGACTATTCTGAATGATTCAAAAAACAAAAACAAAAAATCCTTCTCAATAGAGAATCAGTATTATTAATCTAGATTGTCTCAGTAAATATCAAAGATAAGTGTGGTTTTAGTTTTCAAGCTGAATGTGTACTTAGAGATAAAACACCTGTTAAACAGTCAATACAGAAGACTGAGAGTAAGTAGGCTTGGTAAGTGCTATTATTTCCTCTAAACTGAGGGATACAGAGTCAAATCTTTCCCTCGCTTTAACCGTAACAGGCTACAGAGACATCACGGGATAGAGCATAAGTGTTGTAAGGCTTCCACTTTTTAATTCATACACTTCTTTATTATTTGAGGCTTATTTGGAGAAAACCTTATAACCAGTTTCACAAACATAAATAAATAAACGACAAATCTAGTCAAGACATAAGGCTGTTAGTGAAAAGACCAATTCTCTTACCAGATACTCAAACATTACACTTTTAAGGCAACACCAAACATTAAGAATGCTCTTTTAAGGAAAGAGACCTTCAGTTTTTTTTGTTCTACAATAAAAAAAAATCCAACCGATTCAGTCTTCCCATTTAGTGATTTAAACTAGCTGAACTTCAGATGTCCATGCTTTTTTATGACATTCCTCTGTCCAAAATAACCACTACTTCCTCCCACTAATCCACACCTTCAAGCACAGTTGCAGGCCTTCCTCTTCCTTAAACCTTCCCAGGTCACATCTATTTATTTCTTCTCTGAAATCCTGTAAGACTTACAAACTATATTACAGAATTTACACTTGCAGTGCTCTGTGGAATTTAACATGGATGCTTTTGGTCTCCACAGTTAAATCAGCTTCTTTATGAAGGTAGGAACCTGATCAACTTGTTTTGAGCTAGACAAGATGCACACGTACATACACATATACAAATACGCACACAATTATCTGTATTTTATTGTTTGACCTGTCTCGAAATAGAATTTATCCTACCAGATAATTTAGGTTAAACTTTTAATTACGAGCTGCTCCTTATTCTAACTTTTTATTAGAACACATGTATATTTACTCTTAGCAATATTCATATAAAGATCACCTGGAGTCCATTTTCTGCCACCACTGCACTAGCATATCAAGCAAGCACATTTTTCAGAGCATACAAACATATATTTTAGCCACTGCAACTGAACTTTGAAAAACGAGCACCGATTCCAGGAAAGAGAGCTACCGGTTTTCAGGTGAAGGACATTCTAGCTTCTAAGTTATAGATGCAGATTTATGTCTAAAAGGGGTGTTCCCGAATTTTGTAAAGTACCTAAGAGGCAAAAATATTCACACAACTTTGGAGGACAAAAGGAGGACTACTGTATACTTAAAAGGAAGTTATATTGAAGGTAGATCCTGTGCTAAAGGCTGCAAATAAAAGGCACAAGAGCAGAAGCAGGAGCAGCAGTTGGGGCTGCGGGGGATGAGGGGTGGGGTCCTTACATCCTTTCTTCCTTTCTCCTCCAGCCTTTTCAGGAAAAGGGGACAGAAGGGAGAGTGAAACACTGCTTCAATACTGTCCCGCCCAGCCAAATGCTTACAGCAGTTCCAATTTTTAATTTATGGAAAGACGAAGATCAGAGACAAAAATCTAACTGCATGAATCTGTACATCTGCATACATCGTTTTGTATTTTTAACAACGGAGTTCAAGCCCATGGAAATTCTTTGCTTCAAATAATTTTAAACTAATTAGAAAACCGCTTCCAGGGCCGGGAACAGTGGCTCATGAATGTAATCCCAGCACTATGGGAGGCCGAGGTGGGCGGATCACCTAAGGTCAGGAGTTCGAGACCAGCCTGGCCAATGTGGTAAAACCCTGACTCTACTAAAAATACAAATATTAGGCCAGGCATGGTGGCTCACGCCTATAATCCCAGCACTTTGGGAGGCTGAGACGGGTGGATCATGAGGTCAGGAGTTCAAGACCAGCCTGGCCAAGATTGCCTGTAATCTCAGCTACTTGGGAGGCTGAGGCAGAAGAATCACTTGAATCTGGGGGGCAGAGGTTGCAGTGAGCCAAGACCACGCCACTGCACTCCAGCCTGGGCGACAGAGTGAGACTTTGTCTCAAAAAAAAACCAAAAACCAAAAGCAAACAAATTAGCCGGGTGTGGTGGTGCATGCCTGTAGTCCCAGCTATTCAGGAGGGTGAGGGAGGAGAATCGATTGAACTTGGGAGGCAGAGGTTGCAGTGAGCCGAGATTGTGCCACTGCACTCCAGTCTGGGTGACAGAATGAGATTCCATCTTAAAAATGAAAAGAAAAGAAAACTGCTTCCAATATTTTCCAGAGCCATTTTTGGCATATTCTCTCTATAGCACAACTTTCCTTTGAGAAGCATTTGCTTTCTTACTCATTATTAAACTGTCACCTTTGTTTTGAAAGGCAAAGTATGTGCGTGGTTTTTAAACAGCTGCTAGTAAGCATGACACAGACAGCCTATTGTCCTAAGAGGAAAGGTCTGAACGTTGGGAACACTTACTTTTTAATAAAAGAAAAAAGCTTACTCGAATCATTAACTTGGACAACTCCTGTATTTTGCCTTGAAATGATCAGCAAACTTCTCCAATACAAAAGATTTGCACAATCACTCCCAATGCATTACAGAAGTTTTATCAAGATTCTAACATTTTGACACTTAAAAAAACACTAATGAAATCATTGTAGCATGTATAGGTAATACCTCGAAAGGCTCTGAAAGCACAGGAGTAAGTGTGCCATCAGTAGCTCCACTACTTCCCTCCCAGATCAATGAGATGAAGATGTCCTGATATTCAGCTTTACTCTCTCTCTCTCTGAAGATAAAATATAAATCTGAAGAAAGGGTCTATGAGTTTCCTCATCTCCAATGGACTATCTTATGCACTCCCCATCTTGTATCCACATGCTGGAGGCTATGGACCCAGGGCACTTGTTTTTACATCAGTTATTTTGACAATGTACTCCTTATTGAAATGTTTCATCATCCACAACAAAACTACAAGTGGTTAAGGGCAGAGGCCCATCCTCTGTTTCTCTTGAATCCATGACCGCCTAAATTTGAAAGCTGTGGTGGGCAGGATCACTGATGGTTAAGGTAGGGTTCTCAAGCTCAGCACTGCTGACATTTCGGCCAGGTAATTCCTTGTTGTGCAGGGCTGTCCTGTACGCTGTAGAGTGTGTGGCAACATCCCTGGCCTCTACCCACTGGAAGCCAATACAGCAACCCCCTCAGTTATGGCAATCATAAAAGTCTCCAGGCATTGCCAAATAGTCTCTGGAAGGTAATGCTGCTCAGTGAAGAGTCATTACAGCAGGGTATAGCACAGAGGACAACAGCTTTCTAATGAAGGCTTCGTTGAAGCCTTAAATGTTGAGTAAGAGAGAGCCCAGAAAAGGAGAGCTGGCAGGTGGGCATGACTATGAAAGCATCTGACAAGGAACAGCACTGTGAATAGGAAAGCACTGAAGTGCAGAGTCAATGGTGAGCTGTCCAGGCCTGGAGAGCTGAGGCCAGGTGTGATGCTGGGATGAGCCTCAGTGGAAAGAAAAGCTGCCTGAGTGTGCTACCAGCTGCCCCTCTCTTCTCTCTGTTCCCTATTGCTCATATGTCTGCATTTAAGGAATAAAACTCATTTATTCTTTTCCTCTGAATTCTAAGCAATTATCTCAATGTTACCCTGGGCACCATGGACTTGATTTTCTGTGGTGTGAATTCTACTGTTTACTGCTTCCAGTGTAAAGATTTATTTTGCTAATTGCATTTAAGTTTCTTTGCAATTCATCTTTTCATTTGATCCTATTCCTCTGCATGTTCTCTGCTAAATGTATGCTTCTCTTTCTTAGAAGCCTGGTCTTTTATATACCAGTGAGAAGGCCAGGTAACCTCCTGCAGCGGATCATTTTCAGAGGTTTGCTTCTGAGAAAGAAACAAATGCAAGAGAAGCAATACTCAAAAATAAATAAAACTGTTCATGAGTTAACGAAGGACACTTATGCAGAATGAAAAGGAAAACCATTTTACAGTCAAAATCAATGAAAATATTCATATCTAAATACATCCTAGCATAAAATGTACTACTACAAAACTTCTGTGTGACAATAAATGCTACAAAACAATGAATAATGACCACATGATTTTTGAGGTAATGTTGTGTCTCCAGGTAATCTGCCCTTTATACACAAAGGCTTTATAAAAATATTTAAGATATGATAGGGCTCACACCTTCCTAAGAAATTAGTGACATAGATACATCGACAGCTCAAGAATGAAGCAAAAACAGGCCAGAGTGGAATGGAGACACTCTCACAAAAAAGGACATACATGTCACTCAAGGACATGGGTAATTACTGGAAAGTATAATGGAGAAACATATAAACTTTGTTTCTTTAAATAAAGTTGACCTAGATGCACATATGGAAGCATGTTAATGAGGTAATGTTAAGTGGAAGATCACTGTGTATCATATGAGCACATTTATGTTTTTGTGTTTGTGTGTGTGGTATGGATACTATAAAGAAATACATATATTTGTTCTTATACAAAAAGACTTTTTTTGGAAGGAAACTTGAGCAACTGTTGATACTGGTTACCTCAGGGAATTGGAGAGGGTTAAGAATTTAACAAAAAAGACTTTTATTTTTACCCCATAGCCTCTGTATCATATGAATGTTTTTCATGAACATGATTTTTTAAAAAAATAAATGGGTCTAAGCTACCAATTTCTCAATTCTTAATAATCTAAAAAAACAAAACTTTAAAAGACCTCTACTTACCTTATAATATAACCCACAAGGTGGTCAGTGTGCGGCAGTACAAACAAAGACTTTCCTGAGAGTTCACATGCATTGCATAAAGCTGCAGCCCTTTCTGAAGCAATGACATCTTCTCCTGTTGATAATCCCCATCAAGATGAATGAGAAATAAAATAACTAATGTAGCTTCCCAAATAAATATTTCCCCAAGTCTGAAAAAATAGAATTAGGAATAAAAACCCAAACAGCTTTTCATCACACCAACAGGACTCCTGGGCTCCTTGAGAGCTCTGTGTGGTTCTTAGAGGTTACACAGTATATGCCTTTTAGGAAAACACTGTGGAATTTTCTACTGAGCCAGGATAGGTGGCCAAGTAATGCCAACAGATATACCACATAACTATTTCAAAAAACATAACTAAAACTGGAAGCAATAATTCATGAAAGAAGTCTCCAAAACCATTTTGGATGCTATAAGTTTCAACACAGAAACAAAAATATATTTTGGTCTACAAAAGTCTGGGAAAGTGGAAATAAGAATCTGAAACTAAGACATTTTCCAAGAGAAAACTACAAATCCTATAGCCTTTTTCTTTGCCCTACAGAAAATTAATGAAAAAATTTCATATAAGGAATACAGCTTCAAATAGATCTTAGATAAGTAAATTATATTCTTTTTTGGAAAGCTTTGGAAGTCAAAAAAAATTATACTCTTGTAAAAAAATTCAAGCGAATTGTTTTGTGAATTGAACATGCCTTCCTATATCCCCTACATAAGAAGACAAGTGGAACAGGGGAACTAGGGGAACTTGAGATTTGCATTCTTCACTATCTTTAATTTTTTACAATAAGCATTTGTTCATGTATCATTGGTGCTTTTTAAAGTTAACATACTATCAGCCCCATAACTGAATGCATAAAAGATTTAAACATCCAAAAAACCCCTATCTCCCTTTAATAAGAATTGGAGGTATAAAACAATTAATTCATTAATTAGACTTCTGATACCTGGGGGCAAAGGGGTTTTCTTCTGAATCAGAACCACTGCAACTTTTGTGTTTCTTCCTTGTAAACTTTGCCTGCAATGAAAAAGCAAGAATAAAATTAATTATTTTAACTTAAAAAATGTATTCATGACTTCACATAAAATACAACCTTGGTCATTCAACCGAAGATAAATTTCAACTAAAAAAACCAAGATCAGAAGAAATCTTTTCCTGCACACAAAGCACATATATGTCACAATGATTTAAATTCTAAAAGTATGATCTCACATCTTCTAATCTTAAAAATCTTCCTTAAAAGCAAAAGATTAATGTATACTTTTACGTAAAAGTTATAATGCAACTTACTTCTTTATGGTGATACACTGCAGAGTAGTCATCCAAAAGAATTAATTATTTGAAACTTAAACAGTGATAAAGCAAAGCGTTTTAAGAGACTAAACAGTAAATTACTATGTCTCCAAAAAAGATAATACAAGAAAAACATTTGGAAATTCAGACCAATTAGTCTTCTAAATTTCTTCACGTACCCAGCATTATATACAGTCAATAATTATGCTACCTGTGAGGAAGTGAACAAGATTCACTGGAGGTCAATCCGCAAAGTGACCACTGCAGTCTGAACGGTACTCCATTGCCTTCAAGGAATGTTAGTGAATAACACACATGTGCAAACTGACATAGCTGCCCTGACACAGAAGATCATACCTGACTATTTCCACTCTGGTGGCGCACTCAGACTGCTTTTCTTTCCACTGAGGCTCATCCCAGTCCAGTTCATAGAACACAACCACCAGGGCTGGCACCAGATTCAGATGCTTATTCATCCAGCCAGTCTTTAAGATCCCTTTAGGAATGTACCACTCATATGAAGTTCTCTGCAAACATTGGCAGAAATTGAAAAGTTACCTGACAGGAGCAGAAACCACCTGTTACTGAGTGCCAAGCACTTTATGTGCATTGATCTCATTCAATATACACACCTCCCATTTTTGATTAGGAAACTCAGGCTTACAGATTCAGTAAGAACTAGTAAGTGTTGAAGGTGGAATCTCAACCCTGGAGAAGCTATACTTCCCATTTAAAGAATGACTGAAGCCAAAGAGTTTCTATCAGCCCCATAACTGAATGCATAAAACGATGATGCATGTCTAATGATGTCAAGGGTCTCAAATACTTTGCTAAAGAAAAAAAAAAAAAAAAAAGTAGCCCATTTCCAGGTAAATTCTACTTATATTCTTCACCATTCCAGCTTCTGTTCTTGTAAAACTGCTCAAATAAAATATTATCTAAAATCCAATAGGCTTTGTTTATTTCAAAGACATATTGCTGTGATGCATTTCACCTCACTTGTAGATGAAGTACAAAGCAGAGAACAATTCTTAAACAGAAGCTTCACAGCAGCCACTTGAGTCTGGGCACTGAGTGCCACAGAGTGGGAAGAGGATGCTGTAGATTTGAGTGTTAGCCCTGAGGGATGCAGTTGAAACCTCACATTCCTTCCAAATCAGCTGTGCTGGCTCAGACTACTCCACTTCATGGTGATCCAATGTCTACCTCCAGCAAGGAAAGATGAGGTCAATAAGGAAGTCTGACACAAAATAACATGGGGACTCAGCCAAAAGCTGGGAATAGAGAAATGAAAAGCAGCTTGAATTCGAGCATTAAGAGAAAAGAGGGCTTGTGCTGGGCTCCCTGCCTTCTTGACACAAACATGACACTAAAGAAAAATAATCATGTAGGCCTGGCACGGTGGCTCACGCCTGTAATCCCAGCACTTTGGGAGGCCAAGGTGGGCAGATCACGAGGTCAGGAGATCGAGACCATCCTGGCTAACACGGTGAAACCCCGTCTCTACTAAAAATACAGAAAATTAGCTGGACGTGGTGGCGGGCGCCTGTAGTCCCAGCCACTCGGGAGGCTGAAGCAGGAGAATGGCACGAACCCAGGAGGCGGAGCTTGCAGTGAGCCGATATCGCGCCACAGCACTCCAGCCTCGGGGACAGAGCGAGACTCCGTCTCAAAAAAAAAAAAAAAAAAAAAGAAAGAAAAGAAAAATAATCGTGTGAGGGCCAGGGCTGGGATGCTATTACTTGCACAATTTCAGAGAGCTCAGTTTCCAGGGCTGAGTATATGAAATGTTGTCGTGTGGTTCTCAAACACACACAAAAATAATCAGCCGGTGACCAAGTCCTATATTCCCAGAAACCAAAGAGGAGGGCTGCAATCTACATTTTTAATAAATACCCCAGGTTATGATGACATACTTGGTCCAGAGACTACTATGTCAGAGACACTGCTCTAGGGCAAAAGAAAAAAAAAGGATAGGGGTCAGAACTAAAAGGGTTTTATCACCTAACTTTCAAACCAACCTCATAAGATTATGATAAATAACAAATCACTACACATAAACTGCTTAAAACAGTAAACTGTTTTACTGTTTTTTTACAACTATGTTAGCTATTAGTGATACTATCATCATGATAATAATTATTATCTAAGGTAAAGTCGTCTTTACTATGTCGTTCACCTTAAAAGTCAGTTTTGAACTTAATACCTTTCTTCATTCCGCAATGAATAAACTGTGTTAGTTTATGTAAAACTCCTCAAGAATAGGGAACCTGTCTCACTTAAATTCGTATCACTAGCTTGTTGCATGGTTCCAGGTACCTATCACAAAGCAAGTGCTCAAAAAATCTGTGAAATTGAGCCACATTGCACAGACCATGGGATTCAAAAACGACATTAGTAATGATGGTGGGGAATGCAAGACCTTCCTTTTAGAGGGGACTATGTTGGGTTTTTTCCTAAAAACAAAAAAGGGAAAACCTGGGCTCATAGGATAGAAAGCTTTATAAAGTAATTATTCCTCTGGAGTTTAAAAAAAAAGAACTATTATTAAATATACATGCAGTGTATTACATGAAAATGCCTAAGGCTTTCTTTATGCACCACTGTGACCACTGTCTTGATAAACTCCACACACACAACAGAACAAAAAAGACACACACACACACATAGAGAGAGAGAAGGAAAGAACACATGCCATCACAATGCCATTACCTTGGGTCTACATTTGGGATACTCATGGTCACCTGGGAGCACCTTGAAAGAAATTGGTACTCGATCAGCTCTCCGATTTGCACAGAAGGCGTCCCAGACAGCTCGATGGACTGCATTATAAACTACATCCAGGCCCGTTAGAGTAACAAAGGCCATAGGCCGGCAACATAATTCCACAGGGAAGTCCCACTGTGTGGGGCTCATGTTTACGATGTCACAAAAAACCTGAAATACAAATGTTAATACATTCATAATTAATTTTTAAAAACTCATATTCATTTCTCCAGCCTGGGCAACAAGAGCAAAACTCTGTCTCAAAAAAAAAAAAAAAAAAACAACTCATATTCATTTCCAATATATGAATCTCTATTTAAAAATCATTACAAAAAAATAATCATTACAAGGCCAGGCATGGTGGCTCACGCATACAATCCCAACACTTTGGGAGGCCGAAGCAGGTGGATCACTGGAGGCCAGGAGTTAAAGACCAGCCTAGCCAACACAGTGAAACCTTGTCTCTACTAAAAATACAAAAAATTGGTTGGTCGTGGTGACTCACGCCTGTAATCCCAGCACTTTGGGAGGCCTAGGTGGGCAGATCACGAGGTCAGGAGATCGAGACCATCCTGGCTAACACGGTGAAACCCTGTCTCTACTAAATATCCAAAAAATTAGCCGGGCGTGGTGGTGGGCGCCTGTAGTCCCAGCTACTCAGGAGGCTGAGGCAGGAGAATGGCGTGAACCCGGGAGGTGGAGGTTGCAGTGAGCCAAGATGGCGCCACTGCACTCTAGCCTGGATGACAGAGGGAGACTCTGTCTCAAAAACAAAAAACAAAAAATTAGCTGGACATGGTGGCACACACCTGTAACCCCAACTACTTGGAGGCTGAGGCAGGAGAATCACTTGAACCCAGGAGGCGGAGGCTCCAGTGAGCCAAGATCACGGCACTCCACTCCAATCTGGGTGACAGAGTGAGACTCTGTCTCAAAAAAAATAAAATAAATAAAATAATCATTACAAAAAGGCAAAAGGCTTTGAGTATCTGCAAACTGTCAAACAAACAGAAGAGAGAAAAAGGGAAAACTTTAATTCCTGAATTAGATCTATTAAAATGTAATAACTATATGACATTTAAGAAAAAATCTTTCATGTTAAAAATGAAGTCAACTTTAAGACAAATCGGCATTTTCAGTAATGTCTCAAAATGCACACAGAACTTTGAAATTAGTAGACCAAGAAAGCAAGAAGGTGATAAAATTAAAATAGATCTACATGATCTATTTCAACTATAAAAGAAAAATATATTGAAAGAAAAATATAAAAGAAAAACAGTTGACTTACATATAATAAACTTCCCCTAATTTCTCTGTAATTGCTAATATTGAATTTCTGAATACCTAGGATATTATTAAAATAGCCTTTAATTTATGTAATTATCTAAATAGTAGCTATGTTGTCTCATTTCCCACAATATAAAATTTACTCTTTAAAGAAAAATCTGTAAGGGAAAAACTAACAATGAATGGAAACCTCTCGGAGGATGTTTCCACTGCGTCCTTTAGCTAAGAATCAGTCCATAATAAATCTAACGTATGCCCTGACTTTATAAGTATATAAAACTATGTTTATCCCGAACAAGACTGTCATTATATTTTTAATATAATCTTACTTGCAAAAGGATGTAACAACATGAGGTTCTTTTTTTTTTTTTTTTTTGAGACGGAGTATCACTCTGTCACCAGGCTGGAGTGCACTGGCCCAATATCAGCTCACTACAACCTCCACCTCCCGGGTTCAAGTGATTCCCCTGCCTCAGCCTCCCTAGTAGCTGGGACTACAGGCATGCACCACCACACCCAGCTAATTTTTTGTATTTTAGTGGACAGGGTTTCACCATGTTGGCCAGGATGGTCTTGATCTCGTGACCTCAGGCGATTGCCAGCCTTGGCCTCCCAAATGAGGTTCTTTTAAAAGATAATCTATACCAGCATATTACAGAGAATTCAGGTAAGGCACAAGTGGCTCATGCCTATAATCCCAGCACTTTTGGAGGACAAGGCCAGAGGATTGTTGAGGCCAGGAGTTCAAGACTGGCCTGGGAAACATAGTGAGATCCTGTCTCTAAAAGAAATAAAAAAGAAAATAGCCGGGCATGGTGGTGCTCACTTGTAGTCCCAGCCACTTGGGAGGCTGAGATGGGAGGATCACTTGAGTCTAGGTGTTTAAAGTTACAGTGAACTATGATTGTGCCACTGCACTCCAGCCTGGGTGACAGAGCAAGATTGTGCCACAAAAAAAAAAAAAAAAAAAAAAGTTATTCCAAACAAAATTATCACTACATTTTAAATATAATCTTATTTGAAAAAGAATGTGTCATGAGGCTCTTTTAAAAGGTAATCTGGCCGGGCGCGGTGGCTCACGCCTGTAATCCCAGCACTTTGGGAGGCCGAGGCGGGCGGATCACAAGGTCAGGAGATCGAGACCATCCTGGCTAACATGGTGAAACCCCGTCTCTACTAAAAACACAAAAAATTAGCCGAGTATGGTGGTGGGCGCCTGTAGTCCCAGCTACTCGGGAGGCTGAGGCAGGAGAATGGCGTGAACCCGGGAGGCGGAGCTTGCAGTGAGCGGAGATCGCGCCACTGCACTCCAGCCTGGGCGACAGAGCGAGGAGACTCCGTCTCAAAAAAAAAAAAAAAAAAAAAAAAAGGTAATCTACACCAGTATACCAGTATATTATGGAGAAGTCTAACACAATCTTTGTGAAAAGTGAGGCACACTTAGGCTAATACCTAATCCCCAAAACATGGAATATTTTCAACTGAAAGGTTAATTTAGGAAAGACTATTAGTCTTCTCATGTTTACATACTGAAAGAACAACAGGTATTCAATAAATGATTTGCAAAGCTTGCCAGAAATGTCTACAACAGATTGTTTTAGAATTGTTTAAATATTTTTAGGACAGGATTAAGTTATGAGGGCAAAGGATTGCATGTTCAGAGAAAGAAACAGTCTAGTTCTGGGTAATGTAGGAATGAAAATTAAAAAGGGGTGACCAGGCTGGGTACAGCGGCTCACGCCTGTAATCCCAGCACTTTGGGAGGCCAAGGCGGGCGATTCACGAGGTCAACGGTTCAAAACCAGCCTGGCCAATAGGGTGAAACCCCGTCTCTACTAAAAATACAAAAATTAGCCGGGCATGGTGATGCGTGCCTATAGTCCCAGCTACTCGGGAGGCTGAGGCAGGAGAATGGCTTGAACCCGGGAGGCGGAGATTTCAGTGAGCCGAGATCGCACCACTGCACTCCAGCCTGGGCAACAGAGCAAGACTCCGTCTCAACAACAACAACAAAAAACAAGTGACCAAAATACAATACGGGCCCCTTTGCTTAATATGAACGAGTCTAGACTAGAGGCCATTTCCTGTAATAACTCCAGAGGCCCAAAAGACATAGCTGTGGTCTTTAAATATGGAGTTGAAATAAGAGGAACTAAAAATGACTGTCATCCAATAGAAATACAAGTCACATAAATAAATTAAAAATTTCTAGCAGTCATATTAAAAAGTAAAACGTGGATGGAATTCATTTTAATATTCAATTTAACGCAGTACAGTATGTCCAAAATATTATCATACTGACAATAATATAAAAGTTATTAATGACATATTTTACCTTTTTTTGTACTGAGTCTTCAAAATCTGGTGTGTATTTCACACTCACAGCACATCTCAATTCAGACTAGCCTATTTCAAATGCCTGATGTAGCTACTGGCTACAGAACTGGACAGCAGAGATCTAAATTATGGGAAATGTGTCCCAAAATTGCTGCACGAAAATTGTATCAGAAAGTCTTGCCACATTCTCCTATGTCACCTGAAATGGTCGTGCTTATTCTGCAGCAAAGGAATTTGAATGAGAACCCCGATAACGCACAGGCGCAGATCGAATGGATTTCAATGACAGGCTGGAAGGAGAAATTTTCAGATATCCAATGGAGCAACCAACGAAACTATACACGAAAGGAGGCGCAGCTATAGAAGGTGAATAATGGATGGGAGATCAAGTAATGCAAGGGAAGTAAACTGGAAACTAGCGTGAAAGATAAGAAAGGTGACCCAATCAAATTGGCAACTAAAAAAACCCCAAAACCTAATGTGGTTACTTTTTTTTTCTTTTAACTAACTGGAAGTTCAGGGTGTTAGGACACAAGGCTGCTAAGAATGGGATTCAGAGATGTTCAACTACAAAACGAACAAAAGAGGAACGACAGTGTGGGGACGAAATGATGTTTCGATGTTAAAGATGAGAAGCAACAATCCAACGTAGGAGAAACACCGTCCCCATGGTCCCAGTATCTGTTCTGGTAGCTCCAGTGAGGAAAGGTAGAGAAATAACCTTGCAGTCCCTAAAGGCAGATATCTTCCTCCTCTTATTCCCCCGTCTTAAACCTGGGAGGCCCTAGAAACGGGTGCGTCTTTCCTCGGGTCTAAAAGAGAAGTGCCAGGATTGCACCCGTCGATGGGATTGCAAAACGCAGGCCCCCAAACCAGCATTGTTAAGAGCTAGCTCTCTTCCTCGGCGGTCCCGCCTGGCCCCGCGGGTCTCCGGGCCCGGACTCACCCAGGCCCCACGCCCCGGGCCCGCTGCAGCTGAGGCCGGTCGCCGCCAGCCGGGAGAAGACGAGGGGAGGCGGGGGGATGTCACAGAACGCCGTGGCCCGTCCCCACCGCCGCAGCCCCACAGCCAGTTCCAACAGGCGAGACTTCCCTGTACCCACCTCCCCCGGCACAGGAAGCACTTTCTGGGCCTGAGTGACCGCGCTCTACACCAATCGCTGTCCCGGAACTTTACGCCGCTCCTCCAAGCGTCAGGGAGACGCTGCACTTCCCAGGCCCCACCAGCCGCGGCTCCGGCTCGTAGCCCACAGCCCACTGCCGGCGGCTGGGCGCTGCCGAGGCTCGGGGCGCGCGCAGTTGGCGTCTGCCAGTGCCAAGACTGTGCCGCCCCCACAGCCGAGGCGCGAAAGGGGGACGCCCGGCCTCTGGGCCGCTGCCTTCGCTTTCTCTTCGTTGTTGCGAACGCCGTCCGCTCAGGAGGCGCCCCGCGACCGGCGCGATGAGTGCCAACGAGGACCAGGAGGTGAGCCCCCCGGCTCAGGGCCCTCTCCCAGCGCGGGCGCGGCGCGCAGCCCCGGGCCCCCGTGAGACCTGGTGCCCGGACAGCCTGCCCGGCACGTGCCCTGTGCCCTCGGAGCCGGCCGGGGTGCCCCGAGTTCACCGGCGTCCCACCCAAGCGCGCGTGAATGGCCAGGAGTCCGCCTCTGCCACTCTTCCCCCCTCATTTTTCATTTTTGCAAATCCGGGAGTCTCCCCTGGTTACTTAATAACAGGGATGAGCGTCCTTGGTGCACGATCCAGTGCTCTTGGCTCTCCTTGAATCCCATGTGTTCAGTGCCTGTTTACTGAGTTAGGCTGATCACCTTTAAATTTTAGTCTGGTCATCTTTAAATCTCTTGGCTAGTAGAGGGCTAATTGAGTTAGTTACATTTCTCATGGAAGAAAATGACACTGGTGGTGCATCTGAGTTTCTGTCCATATTGTTTGGGGAAATCTTTTACCCATCTGTCTGTTTTGAGCATTCATGTACCACCTGAATTTATGGTTTATGCTCAAATATTTCCTTGTGAGATGCCATTTTGACATTGAATCATATAATATTAGAGTTGGGGGGTGGGTGCTACGGGCCATCTGTAGGGGAACCTTCTAACTTTGATAGGTGGGTCGATGATAGCCGCAGGGCTGCACAGTAAGTACGTGGTAGAATCGGGACTAGAAACCAGGTCTTATTGGGTGGTAGATAAGTTCACTGTTAATTTAAAGTATAATGCTTGAAACTTACTACTTTTACATGATAAATGTAATAGAATCTCTGGATTGGAAGTTAACCTTTAAAGGACCCAAAGTCCAACAAGCTAGCTAGTTGATATCTGAATCTCTTCTAAAATATTCTTGCCGGGTGAATTTCTAAGTGAATGCGTTAATAGCTTCTTCTCCCTGCAAAGCAAAGAACATACAGTGTAATGTTTCTCAGAGTTGGACCATAGTCCCCTACCTTAGAACCATTTAGATGGTTGCTAGAAAACAGATGCGTGCACTCCACCCCAGACCTACTGAATCAGAATTTCTGTGGTGGGCCCAGGAATCTCCAGTTTAACAAGAAAATTTCATTCTTCTTTCAGATGACCGATGTTCTGATCTTTGAAGATAGTTTCCTGCCCAGTTTCTCAGACCTTCTCTGAGGAAGTGGTTCCTTTTAGCTTGTCTTCATATATCCATTCTTTGTTAATCTCTTCACTATCCTGGAATCACGTGTTTGTGGACAGATTTTAATTTTTTAAATGTCCTGTTTCAAAATTGTGGCATCTTGCTGTTTTGTCTAGTTAAATTTACTGTCAACTGAAATCTTTTAAGTGCTTTATACAAAGCAATTTGTCTTTCATCTTCAACTTCTACATTTAGGTATCTGAGTATTGATACAAGTTCTACTTACCCTGCTAAATTTCATCATTAGCTTGCTTTTCAAAGACTTTTTGGATTCTTATTCAGCCATCAGCATTATTCACTGTCCCAACAAATTGTCATCCACAAATTTAATAAACTTGCCTCCTATTTTTGTACCTGTCCAAGTCATAAATTAAAATATGGGAAAGGATTAGGGACAGAAGGAGTAGTACTATATCTTGAGTAAGGTTTTTGTTCCAATCTAATCTTAGTTATTCTTGAATCCGGCTTGAATTTCTGTATTTTGTTTTTTTTTGTTTTTTCTGTAAAGGTAGCAAGAGAAACCTGTGGAGCCTGGCTGAAATCTATATAGTCGGTGTTTTATGCCTTTCTTCATTGTGCCAATCAAGTTTCCCTATCTAAGAAGGGTATATCTTGTTTTTCATATACTTACTAGGTCTTAGGGTCTACTCCTTAATGTCCCAGTTCCTCACACACTGTTTCTTCAACAATGTCTTTTTGCTGTTGTTGTTGCTATTTTTGAGACGGAGCCTCGCTCTGTAGCCCAGGCTGGATTGCAGTGGCCCGATCTCGGCTCACTGCAACCTCCGCCTCCTGGGTTCAAGCGATTCTCTTGCCTCAGCCTCCTGAGTAGCTGGGACTACAGGCGCCCATCACCACACCTGGCTAATTTTTGTGTCTTTAGTAGAGATGGGGTTTCACCGTGTTGGCCAGGCTGACCTCGAACTCCTGACCTCAGGTGATCCGCCCGCCTCGGCCTCCCAAAGTGCTGGGATTACAGATGTGAGCCACCGCGCCCAGCCAATAATTTCTATTCTAAAATTTTGACTGTAGATCAAGCCCACTTTCACCATCTTTAGTTTGTAGAATTCATGACATGCATCTTTTTGAAAAACTTAAACGTGTACCCAAGTGCAGTCTTGCTTTACTTCTTTTCTCAGGTATTCATCGGTGATCACAGTGATGAACTTCTCAGTTGTAATACCAAAATGTTCTAAGAACTATGTCCAAGCAAGGATTACTAGTTACATTTTCTCTGACAGTCCTGTCTCATCTTGGGTAGATACTTGTCAGCCTTTTTCTTAAGTTCTTTTTCTTGCCCTTAGGTGTTTTTTAGAGCTTTGTATCACTGTGGGAAGGATTACATATAAAAGAAATGTATGTAAATAATGGGAAAGTATTGTTTTTCATAGTTCTTATCTTTAGGTTTAATGCTCTTTGCACCCAGGTTCGTCTTTAGCCAAGTTCTAAGAGCGCTTGCTCTGGAGTGGCTTTACAGGGAGACTTCCTTGCTTCCCTAGGAAGGAGAAAATAATAGGAGCCTCTTGACAGGGTTGATTTGAGAAGTCAGCGCGATCATACATTGTACAGTGCTTAGTAGTCCCTGACACAGAGTTTGAAAGTAAGTATCATTGGTAGTAATATTGTCATGTGTTGCTGCATGCACCTATGTGGTAAGTATCTAAGGTTATATAAGTTAGTCAAGCTTTTACATAGTTGAGTGGGCTTGAATGAGAAAGTAAAGACCCTCTATTTCTAATTCATTTATACCACTAAACAAAACTCATTCAGTTCTTTATTTCAGATGGAACTAGAAGCATTACGCTCTATTTATGAAGGAGATGAAAGTTTCCGGGAATTAAGTCCAGTTTCTTTTCAATATAGGGTAAGACATGGCATGAATAAGAGCACTTAGAACTTTTCTAGAAAAGACTGAAAGTGGCTAAAAATGCTTATTTTGTTTTTTAAACTTGTTTAAATTTATTATGTCTGTATTTTCTGTAGCATTTAAATGGAAACATCACCCTAACATCAGTCATTTTTAACGTTTGAAAACTTAATTCAGAAGCTTAAAAAACCAAGATAAACTTGTTTTTATTGTACCAGAATCATAAGATACTAGAAATGGAAAAAACCTTAAAAATTATTTAATCTTATCTTTAACATAAAATAGTAACAGTAGGGCTGGGCGCGGTGGCTCTCACCTGTAATCCCAGCACTTTGGGAGGCCAAGGTGGGCGGATCACGAGGTCAGGAGATCGAGACCATCCTGGCCAACATGGTGAAACCCCACTGTCTCTACTAAAAATACAAAAAATTAGCCGGGCATGGTGGCGGGCGCCTGTAGTCCCAGCTACTCGGGAGGCTGAGGCAGGAGAATGGCGTGAACCCGGGAGGCAGAGCTTGCAGTGAGCCGAGATCAAGCCACTGCGACAGAGCGAGACTCTGTCTCAAAAAAAAAATAGTAACAGTATTTTATTTTGTAAATAAGTCATATAAACCTTTTATTCAAATGATTATAAGTAGGCGGGGCACAGTGGCTCACACCTTTAATCCCAGAACTTTGAGAGGCCGAGGCAGGCGGATCACCTCAAGTCTGGAGTTCTAGACCAGCCTGGCCAACAAGGTGAAACCCTGTCTCTACTAAAAATACAAAAATTAGCCACGCATGATGGTGCATGCCTGTAGTCCCAGCTACTTGGGAGGCTGAGGCAGGAGAATCACTTGAACCCAGGAGGCGGAGGTTCCAGTGAGCAGAGATTGTGCCACTGCACTCCAGTCTGGGCGACAGAGCGGGACTCAAAAAAAAAAACAAAAAAAACACACAAATAATTATAAGTAGCGGAATGGGGAAGTTTTTTTTGTAAAAGATTTACAGTTATTATTAACATTGTCACAGTTTAAACTATTAGAAATGATTCTTATGCATGATCGATGGATGACCATCACAGAAAATAAGTTTCTGTTCTCAATTCCCTTTCAAGCTTAACAGTCCTTACACCATCTCCAAGTATGTAATAACCATGGACCTCAAATGTCCAAAGTTAACAGTGGAGCTAAGTCCTAGGCCCTTCGGTTTGAATCCAGTTGCTACTCTCTCCTTAGCAAATGGGAGGTCGAGAATTTCCCTATACTCTCCTAAATATCTCATTCACAATGGCAGTGATTTAGAGCATGTTGTGCAGAATGCCCTAGGACATTTATATGTACTATAAGATGGACACTGACGTGACCCATAGGATGGATTTAAGAAGAATGATACATGAGATTAGGAGACAGTGTGTTGATAGTCAAAGGGCCAGGGGTAAAGTTCTTCCTGTGGCCTGAGTCACACCCCTCAGTTCTTGCACGGAATAGTCTGGTAGCCTCCTAGTTGACTTCCCCGGTTTAATACTTTCTTTAGCTTCCCCCTTATACTCCACCATGAGTCCTCCAACAGTACTAGTTGGCACTCTGAAGCATTTAAGTTGTCATCCCATTCTCTTCTTTAAAAATGTTTTTCTCTGGGTTCCTCTTGCCTATAAAATGAGGACGAAATTTTTTCACTTGACACTCCAAATCCTTCTGTTTGTTTCTGTCTCCAAACTTTCCCCTCCACTCACATGCCTTAGACATAATGGGTTGTGACATTTCCCCCCGTGTATTTTTTTCTAGTACTATGCTTTTGCACACATTGTTTGATCTTTCTCTCACCTCAGGTCCATTATTCCCCTGCCTCTCCTTTAAGGCCTAACTCAGGCCTTCTCTGTGATACATTAATATTTGGGCCATGTCTCCTGTCTCTGCTCTGACTTTGAATCAGAATTAGCCGTTCCCCATTTCTTCATACTTTGTTTTGTTACTTTTGAACTATTATTCATATTGCAGTTTTGTAAGTTATATAAATATCTGTCTGAAGACAGGAATAGCCTTGTCTCTATCTTTGTATCTTCGGTACCCAGCACAGTGTGAGGCATGTGATAATTTATTCCTAAATGCGCCATGAGTAAGGACGTAGTGATTGCATCAAGCAGGTAACTTTTATCACTTTTTATCATCTATATTTAAACATAAACCAATGACATCTATTATGCAGATAATCCTTATCCAGGTCTATCAGTAGATCCCTACATTTATTTTAATAACAATACAGAGGAGATTAGCATAGCCCTGTGTAAGGATGAGATGTTGATTCATGTATCATTCCACCGTTTTACTAGAAGATCACCATTTTGCAACCACCAGTATGATAATTGATTCAGTTACAGTTAAGGACTGTTAATGAAGGCTAAAACCTTTGGGTGAAAGGTTGTTGAGAAACAAGGTATTCATACAGTTTTGTAGTGTTGCCCCACAGACGATGATGATTTTTTTTTTTTTAATAGAGACAGGGTCTTGCTGTGTTGCCCAGGCTGGTCTCTAACTCCTGGCCTCAAGTCATCCTCCCACCTCACCTTCTCAAAGAGCTGGGATTACAGACATGAGCCACCTCACCCAGCGAGATTATTCCTTAATTACAAAATGAAAAGGTTTGTGTTGAAGAGATCTGGAGAAGATCACCTAAACCATGTGATCAATCTTAGTGTCACCAGTGATGATTCTGGAAGATCTTCTGTGCCTCCTTATATGATGCTATGGGAAGATGCCACATCACCTCTGTAGTTTTCTTACCAAAAATGTTTAATTTGAATCAGTTCAGATCTGGGGACATTATACAAGAAAACTAGCCTGTATTCTTTTTGGCTTAAAAGGCAGGGGAAGCCAGTCACAGTGGCTCATGCCTATCTATAATCCCAGCACTTTGGGAGGCTGAGGCAGGAAGATCACTTGAGCTCAGGAGTTCGAGACCAGCCTGGGCAACATAGGAAGACCTTGTCTCTACAGAAAGTTTTTTAAAGTCTGGCATGGGGCACACGCCTGTAGCTCCAGCTACTTGAGTGGCTGAGGTGGGAGGATTTCTTTCTTTTTTTTTTTTTTTGAGATGGAGTCTTGCTCTGTTGCCAGGCTGTAGTGCAGTGGCACTATCTCGGCTCACTGCAACCTCTGCCTACCAGATTCAAGCGATTCTCCTGCCTCAGCCTCCTGAGCAGCTGGGACTACAGGCGCATGCCACCATGCCCAGCTAATTTTTGTATTTTTAGCAGAGATGGGGTTTCACCATGTTGGCCAGGATGGTCTCGATCTCTTGACCTCATGATCTACCCGCCTTGGCCTCCCAAAGTGCTGAGAGTACAGACATGAGCCACTGTGTCCAGCTGATTTCTTTTTTTATTTTATTTTTTTTTACTTTTGCCACAGACTCTTGCTCTGTCGCCCAGGCTGGAGTGCAATGGCACGATCTCAGCTCGCTGTGACCGCCCCGTGATCAGCTGGACCCCAGCCTGGGCAATGGAGTGAGACCCTGTCTCAAAAAAAAAAAAAAAAAGCCAGGGGAGAGGGCTGGGGACTGTTGTAAATTAAAGCAGAATAAAGAGGCATAACAACTCGTGCAGTCCATGATCCCTCAATGGATTATGGATTTGTGGGTTGAGGTGATGTCTATTAAAGGACACTTTAGATATGATTGGGTAGTTTTTAATATGGTTTATGTATTAGATAGCATTTTTGTACCAATGTTGAATTTCTTGGGTGTAATAATGATCTTGTGGTTATGAAGAAGATTGTCCTTTTCTTAAGATACTTTACTCACATATTGAGGAAATTTCATTACTGTTAGATGTTTAAGCAAAAACCAAAGGGGAAAAAAATCACATTGGGAGAGTAGGGGTTGATTCTATGGTGGAGAGGGGGAAAGATAAAGTAAATGAGGCAGAAAGTATTTGGTGAATAAGATGAATGTCAGAGTGTTCATTATACTATTTCAGTTTTTCTTTAAGATTAAAAATGTTTAAATAAAAAGTTAGCAGAGCGGAAGAAACAAGGGCGTCTTTATTCAGAAATTGTTAGCAGCTGAAGACATTCCTGTCCCTTATCCTTTGCCTTTTCCTTTTTTCTCTCAGTTTTAAATTTCATTTTCTTGACTCTTGGGGTTGTGCCTCCTAGGATTTAGCAGTTGGATAACTTAAAACAAAGATGAGGTGTGTCGAGTTTGTGAATTATTTTTGTCCATTCTCTTTCTGTATCCCACGGATAAGTTGATGTCTTATTTTCATCCTCGGAAAACACTAAAAAATACCTAAGATGTAGGCGTGGTACTAGAAAAGCTGGTAGGCTGGTTAGGGACAGGACATGGGCATAAACTGAACCTATGAAGCTATACTAGGACTAAATTAAAGTCAGACTGTCCTGAGACTCCCTTCACCCCTGCTCAGTCCTAGCCTGTGTCACTGGACTTTTCAAAATATTACATTTCTGATCTGAGCATGAGTATTGGAAAGAATTCACCCTTTTGAAGATTATAATTTAGTTTTCTGTCTTTTTATCACCTTTTACAAGCCTAAGATTTCCCCTTCTCTTCAGATAGGTGAAAATGGTGATCCCAAAGCCTTCTTAATAGAGATTTCCTGGACAGAAACATATCCCCAAACACCTCCAATTCTATCTATGAACGCTTTTTTTAACAACACCATGTGAGTAGTGTCTTGTTTTTACTGCTTTTCATTTCACTCTCTGTTATACTTTTCTCTCAGCAAGGTATTTTTGTTGTGCATTGTAGATCATCAGCTGTAAAGCAGAGTATATTAGCCAAGCTACAGGAAGCAGTAGAAGCTAATCTTGGAACCGCTATGACCTATACATTGTTTGAATATGCCAAAGACAATAAAGAGCAGTTCATGGAGAATCACAATCCCATCAATTCCGCAGTGAGTATGTGATTATTTTTTTGCCGGATTCTTTTGTTGTTTTGGTTTTGCTGTTAGCAATAAATTTGTACTACTTAATATATATTCAAAATCGGAAGAAGACTTGTTAAAGTGAGAGTTACACCTGAGTTAAATGAGAACAATGGATTTCAGATTTCTTCTATTTAACCTAGAAAATGATATTATATTCTCTAGATTTTTATCCTTTATCAAAGACTAGAATATATATAACATGCCCACCAAAACTGAGATATCATAGAACCTAGTATTTTTAATATTTGTTTAATCTCTCCATAAAGCTTAAACAGCTAAGGGATCTCTTATGCAGTGCTAAAATAAGTATGAAATTGCTTTCTGCATGAGGCTTGTTTCATTGTAAACAGTCTTGCCACAGTTCAATGTGTAGATGTTGCAGCATGTGGAAACTTTATTGAATAGAAAAAATTGTTTTATTATTATTTCTAGAATAGTTTTAGGAAATATTTCTTTCATGACGTTAAGCATCTGTGTATGAGGCCCCTTTGCACCACGTCATGCACTAAAAGACTTTGAGGGGTTCGGTATAATTTAGTGTTGTCTTGTGAACCAAGGGCTAAGCTGTTGGCAGCAAGGCCTGTCTTCTGTGCAAGTGGTTTTGGCTTTCACATTCCCAACAGGACACAGAACCCCAAGAGGCAACTGGAGGAGCAGTGGAGGGTGGTAGCTAAGATCATGGACTCTGGGCCAGACTGCCTGGGTTCACATCACTGCACCACTCACCAACTCTGTGACTTTCGGCAGGTTTCTTAATCTTTCTGTGCCCAGTTCCTCATCTGTCAAATGGGGGTTATATAGTATCTACCTTCTAAGATTGTGCTGAGGATCAAATGTGTGGTATATGGAAAACATTTGCAGCCATGCTTAGACCTAGTAAGCATTTTACATTTTAGCTATCATATACCCTGACTGCATTAACCCATGTGTCTTAAAATTTTTCTTCCGGGAACCAGGATGTTCTAGGTAGGCACACGTGATTTTTCTAAAGACGTGTTTAAATTGTCAAGTGTTCACATTGAGAAAAGCTCTGTAAAGAAAAAAAAAGGTTTTAATTAAATTTCCAAATAATAGCAAGTTAACTGAATTGTAAACCTACCTTGGAACCTCAGATCTTCAACATAAGGCTGATAATCAGATCTTCCTTCCCAGGATTTTGGTTATAACAATTGAACTAATATTACGTCCTTTGATCTGAACTTTTAAAAGAGTAAAACCAATAATGTGTTAAGGGCACTTGATTTTAAAAATGAATCATAATAATATAGGATTCTTTTATTTCATAAGTGTAAAAATTATCAACCCACTTCAGGATATAGCTGTATTTAGTGTAACACAAGTTGTAAGGTATGAGGCTGAGAATTATTTCTTTTTTTTTTTAGACATCGATAAGCAATATCATCTCAATTGAAACTCCTAATACAGCCCCATCAAGTAAGAAAAAAGACAAAAAAGAACAACTTTCAAAAGCCCAGAAGCGTAAGCTGGCAGACAAAACAGGTTTGTGTGTGTTTCTTTTCTTTTCTTTTCTTTTTTTTGACAGAGTCTCACTCTTGTTGCCCAGGCTGGAGTGCAGTGGCATGATCTCAGCTCACTGCAGCCTCCACCTCCCAGGCTCATGCGATTCTCCTGCCTCAGCCTCCCGAGTAGTTGGGATTATAGGCGCATGCCACCACACCTGGCTAATTTTTGTATTTTTAGTAGAGACGGGGTTTCACCATGTTGGCCAGGCTGGTCTCGAACTCCTGACCTCAGGTGATCCACCTGCCTCTGCCTCCCAAAGTGCTGGGATTACAGGCGTGAGCCACCACGCCCAGCCGTTTTTTTTTCTTTTATAACCCAGATAAATGGATTGCTTCTTAGTGTGATATGGTGGATATATTTAGATTAATTCTTACTCTTTCTTCTTGGAACATTTGGGCCAGTGAACTTTTGGGTCACTGACCTTTTGGGTCACATATGTATACTGAAAATATTTCGAGAGGCTGAGGCAGGAGAATTGCTTGAACCCAGGAGGCAGCCGTTGCAGCAAGCCGAGACTGTGCCACTGCACTTCAGCCTGGGCAACAACAGCAAAACTCTGTCTCAAAAAAAGAAAAAAAAAAGAAAATATTTACTACTACTTCATCACAAGAGGTCACCATTTGAAAAAAAAAGGTAACCGAGTGGCAAAGTAACTATAAATGAGTCTAGAGATTGAGGAGCATTTAAATAGTCTACAAAAACATGTTCTACCTGGAGCTCTAACATGTTTGGGATTTGTTTACCTCTTTAGTAGCTGTGTGTTATTAAAAATTTTTTGAAATACAGTTTTCATTTGAAATGGATACCAGTATACCATTAGGTCTTAGTGTGATAAGTAATTTAACATTTTTGCCTGTAGTTAATTATACAACAATAATATTTAAGAATAGAATTCTCATATGTTCTAAACAAGAGTTCTTTAGAAGAAGATAATAAACTCTAGCTCATATCAACAATAATATTTGATTGCTTTTCTTTATTTAACCTGAAAACTTGCAAATTGATAACAGTCTGTAAACTTTTTCACAGTTAGGGAAAATGAGGACGTCATTTGTGTACTTGCACATTTACACTTATGTATGTATCTATGCGTGTGCTACTATGTCAGGTTAAAAAGTTTCTCTTTATTGAGAAGAACCGACCCTTTTATTTTGGTGAGGGCCTTTTTTTTTTTTTTTCTTTTTTCTTTTGAGACGGAGTCTCGCTCTGTTGCCCAGGCTGGAGTGCAGTGGCGCGATCACTGCAACCTCCGCCTCCTGGGTTCAGGCAATTCTCCTGCCTCAGCCTCCCGAGTAGCTGAGACTACTGGCGCATGTCACTATGCCTGGCTAATTTTTGTTATTTTTTGTAGAGACAGGGTTTCACCATATTGGGCAGGCTGGTCTCGATCTCTTGACCTCGTGATCTGCCAGCCTCGGCCTCCCAAAGTGCTGGGATTACGGGCTTGAGCCACCGCATCCGGCCTGGTGAGGGCCTTTTAAATGTCCTTTCTTCTGTAATGGAATGGCAGTTTTTTTGTGGTTTATGTTTTGTTTAATGTCTGTCTGTGGCAAATAGCAACTCTGTGTTTGTTTCCAAAATACATTTTTGAAATGGTAATGGTTTGTGAAATAAAAAAATCTAAGAATTCATTCTACCTAATGTCAGAGCAGCATTAAACTCTAAAAACAACTGAAGCAGTAAGTTGTTAGCCATTACAGTTTGTTGTCTAGAATTTGGTTTATCTCTCTTTGAATATTGTAGCATCTATGTCAGTTAGGTAATATTGCTTTCATACATAATGACCTGTGATCACTCTATTTCATTAATAGCTCCCTACCTTCATCTCTTTGATGATGCCCACCTAAAGCCATTACCTTCCCATAATGACAGTATACGAGTTTGTGACTTGGAGCTTTCATTCTAAATAAAATTTTAATGGGACAGCCACGGCACTGTGGCTAAGTTTTAGTTAACCAAAATTGGTGATGTGCCCCCTATAACCAGTAACCAGGGGGATACGATTCTTCTTGGCATGAAAGAGAAAAGAACCGATAGCATCTAAAATTGAGCTCCAGTAATATTGCTTCTCTCCTGTAAGTATCATGGGTTAATTTCTTTTTCCCTAGCTGGAAAATTCATATAATGTACTTGTTTTGAGTTTAAATTTTTAAGGTTTCATAAAGTGGAGACATGCATGGCATACATCAAGCATAAAGGAAATCAAGCCATTTTAAATTGAAGAATTTTTAGATAATATTTGTTAAGCTATTCTTTAAATTTGAATATTCTGTTAAAATAATAAAAGCACTTTGCAGACTATGAATTATAAGCTAGTTTCCAAGCAATCCCAACAGATTAAAGCCCTTTTTAAAGAATGTTAGATTAAATAATGAATATGTTATCAGATCACAGCAACTAATACATAAGTTAGCCAGCCCTTCTTTTAGTCTTGAAGCCAGGCCAGACATATATTTGTGAGTCCTCCTGTCTTGAGCCTAGCTTCTGGGTGCGAAATGCTAATTTATTAAACAGAACAATACAACTTATTACTTAAATAAGCAATGACCTCTTATATAAAGCAGTAGCTTCATGCAAATGCATGAAACTAATAAATGGATTAACTGCTTTTCCTGGCATTACCAACCCATCTCTATATTTTTTCCTCATTATCAGGTTTTGTCTTGGATAGCAATATCATAAATGTAAAAAAGGAGTATACCTAAAATATTTTGCAAGTATTCCTAGGAGAACAGTATCGATTCATAATGATAAACTCTTTTTCCAACTTAGTAATATGTCATTTAAATTTTTAACCTATTTGTTGTGTACAGTAGTATATAAAATCTTAATTATTATAAAACTAGCTGGTTGGTCTTAGAAATAAAGTTACTATTTTTTATCTTCTAGATCACAAAGGAGAACTTCCTCGAGGCTGGAACTGGGTTGATGTTGTGAAGGTATATAACATTTATATTCTAGTCTTTAAACTTGTTACAATTATTACCAGCAAATAATGAAATTCTTATTTTTTGTTTTCCCCTTCACAACCTTTGGAATTCACTGGGATGTCTGTTTCCTTTTTTACATTCAGCATGTAAGTATTTTTGAAATACCTTTTACATTCTTCTTTTCCCTGCACTCTCAATTTTAGATCTTTTTTTTTTTTAAGTAATGGAAAATTTGCAGAAGTTAAAACTACAATATAGTATGACTATGTAAGCACATCTTAAGAATGCAGATACTTAGGGGACAGTGGCTCACACCTGTAATCCCAGCACTTTTGGAGGTCAAGGTGGTTGGATCACCTGAGGTCAGGAGTTCGAGACTAGCTTGGCCAACATGGTGAAACCCTGTCTATACTAAAAATACAAAAATGAGCTGGGCATGGTGGCGCACGCCTGTAGTCCCAACTACTCAGGAGGCTGAGGCACGAGAATTCGCTTGAACCCAGGAGGCGGAGGTTGCAGTAAGCTGAGATCGTGCCACTGCACTCCAGCCTGGGCGACAGAGTGAGACTCCATCTCAAAAAAACAGAAAAAGAAAAGAAAAGATAACGCAGATTCTTAAATATGACTCCAAGTTATCAACAATATATGGAAACTGAAGAAAACCAGATGTGGAAAAGAATGTTTTACTTTCTTAGTAGAAATTACTTTTAAGTTTTTGGTTTTTGTTTTTTGTTTTTGAGACAGGATCTTGCCCTGTCACCCAGGCTAGCTGGTGGCATAATCACAGCCCACTGCAGCCTTGGACCTCCCAGGCTTAAGTGATCCTCAGCCTCCTGACTAGCTGGGATCAAAGGCATGTGCCACCATGCCTGGCTAATTTTTTTTTTTTTTTTTTTTGCAGAGACAGATATGTTGCCCAGGCTGTTCTCGACCTCCTGGGCTTAGGTGATCCTGCTACCTCGGCCTCACAACGTGCTGGGATTGCCGGCGGCAGCCACCACACCTGGCCTTGGCTTTTGTGGGTTTTTTTAAGGACAGACCTTAAACGTGGTTGTTCATCATACCAAGAACAATGCTCTGTTTCTGTTTAAAATTGTTTGCTTTCATTTTGAATTTTGCTGCCTACATGTCTCAGATTTTTCTTGTATTAGCTGTAGTTTCAAATACGTTACACTAATATTTAACATAGTAAATTAATTCTCTTTGTAGGACTTCACGAAATAAATTTTGCATTCCATTTAGTGCCACAACTCCTGTGAGAAGTGTTTAATGGGATGCAAGGGTAGTTAAAGATTAGGATTTTAGTGAGGACCCACAAATACAGGTAATTTACAAGCAGTGTATTCTTAAACCTTTTTGGTTGTTGTTTTGGGTTTTTTGTTGTTGTTTTGTTTTTGAAGATGAGGTCTGTTTCTGTTGCCCAAGCTGGAGTGCAGTGGCGTGAACATGGCTCACTGTAGCCTTGACCTCCCCAGATTAAGCGATCCTCTCACCTCAGCATCCCAGGTAGCAGGGGCCACAGGCATGCACCACCACACTCAACTAATTTTTTTATTTTTACTAGAGACAGGGTCTCACTTTGTTGCCCAGGCTGCTGGTCCCGAACTCCTGGGCTCAAGTGATCCTCCCACCTTGGCCTCCCAAAGTACTGGGATTACAGGCATGAGCCACTGCTCAGGGCTATTTTCTTTTCTTTTCTTTTCTTTTCTTTTTTTTTTTGAAGCCGAGTCTCGCTCCGTCACCCAGGCTGGATCTCAGTGGCATGATCTCAGCTCACTGCACCCTCTGCTCCTGGGTTCAAGCAATTCTTGTGCCACAGCCTCCCAAGTAGCTAGGACTACAGGCATGCACCGCCACACCTGGCTAATTTTTGTATTTTTAATAGAGATGGGCTTTCGCCATGTAGACCAGGGTGGTCTCAAACTCCTGGCCTCAAGCGATCCCCCCTCACCTCTGCCTCCCAAAGTGTTGGTATTACAGGTGTGAGCCACAGTGCCCGGCCCTGGCCATTTTCTTAAACTTTATTTTAAAGCCAGCTGTTTGTTCCATTGAATGCATTTTCTATTGAAACTTTAAAATAATCTTAGTGCTGCTAGTAACTAGTACAAAAATATTTCCTGGGAGTTGGGCCCTAACTTACAATTGGAAGAGACACAGTATTTCTTCCTCCCCTGTGTAAGATACTGTATGAGTGAAGCCTCTCCGGCATTCTCTCATTTCCCAGGACTTTCTCCACTGATGCTTGATGGATACTTCATGTTGTCCTACATATACCAACATATAGCCTAACCAGCTAAATTCATTCTTTCCTCCAAATATGCTGTGCTCCAAAATGAGCAATTTTCTTAGTCAAAATGTTGCCTCTCTTAGTGCAGCTCTAAGCTGAAAGTGAGAAGAAAAAGAATCTGATCTAAAGGTGTTGATAGTGCTCCTCCTTCCCTAGCTCCAGAAGTTTTTAAGAGTCCCTGATAATAGAAATAAAATTCCAATTTGTAACAAAGAGTAAAATTCAAATTACCAGTAATCTTGGGAGATGAAAGAAGTTTTTTTTGTGGTTTTTGTTTGTTCGTTTGTTTTTGAGACGGAGTTTCGCACTTGTTGCCCAGGCTGGAGTGCAGTGGTGCGATCTTGGCTCACTGCAACCTCCACCTTCTGGGTTCAAGTGATTCTCCTGCCTCAGCCTCCCAAGTAGTTGGAATTACAGGCGCTTGCCACCACACCTGGCTAATTTTGGTATTTTTTAGTAGAGATGGGGTTTCACCATGTTGGCCAGGCTGGTCTCCAACTCCTGACCTCAGGTGATCCACCCGCCTTGGCCTCCCAAAGTGCTGGGATTACAGGCTTGAGCCACCATGCCCAGCCCGAAAGAAGATATTTTTAAGGAGGTTACCACCTAGACATAATTTGGTCTCTGAATCTATTATGCTAAGCCAGTAGTTTCCAGCTGTGGGCTTTGGACCCCTGGGATGTCCCTGAGACTCTCTCAGGGGGTACACAAGGTCAAAACTATTTGCATCGTAATAGTAAGATGATGTGTGCCCTTAAATGCTTTTTTTTTTTTTTTTTTTTTTTTTTTTTTTTGAGATAGAGTCTTGCTCTGTCACTCAGGCTGGAGTTCAGTGGCGCAATTTCAGGTCAGTGCAACCTCTGCCTCCCAGGTTCAAGCGATTCTTCTACCTCAGCCTGGGACTATGGGCATGCGCCACCACGCCTGGCTAATTTTTTTATTTTTAGTAGAGATGGGGTTTCACCATATTGGCCAGGCTGGTCACAAACTCCTGACCTCAAGTGATCCACCCACCTCAGCCTCCCAAAGTGCTGGGATTACAGGTGTGAGCCACCATGCCCGGCCTTAACCCGTTTTCTTTTTTTTTTTTTTTTAATTTTTATTTTATTTATTTATTTATTTATTTATTTATTTATTTATTTATTTATTTTTGAACGGAGTCTCGCTCTGTCACCCAGGCTGGAGTGCAGTCACACGATCTCGGCTCACTGCAATCTCCGCCTCCCGGGTTCACGCCATTCTCCTGCCTCAGCCTCCCAAGTAGCTGGGACTACAGGCACCCACCACCATGCCCGGGTAATTTTTTGTATTTTTTAGTAGAGACGGGGTTTCACCGTGTTAGCCAGGATGGTCTCAATCTCCTGACCTCGTGATCCACTCGCCTCAGCCTCCCAAAGTGCTGGGATTACAGGCGTGAGCCACCGCGCCCAGCCAACCCATTTTCTTATGAAACTTCTCTGGCGTTTTCCAGAGGCTGCATGACATTTGATGATGCCATCACTAATACTCTTAAAGCACTAAGAGAATGTGTGCTTGTATTTTCTTGTGTTTACCAGAATTTTCTCAATCAGTAGGTTGAGGATGTGCATATTAACCCAGGTTGTTCTTAGTACTTATACTGTGCTGTTGTTAGCTGTCTTCCATTATACCTGATTTACTGTTGAAGCATATTTGTGAGAAGCCAGCTGTCTTCCACTGAGCTAGATAATAAAGAGATTTGGGGTGGGGCGTGGTGGCTCACGCCTGTAATCCCAGCACTTTGGGAGGCCGAGGCGGGCGGATCACGAGGTCAGGAGATCGAGACCATCCTGGCTAACACGGTGAAACCCCGTCTCTACTAAAAATACAAAAAATTAGCCGGGCGTGGTAGCGGGCGCCTGTAGTCCCAGCTACTTGGGAGGCTGAGGCAGGAGAATGGCGTGAACCCGGGAGGCGGAGCTTGCAGTGAGCCGAGATCGCGCCACTGCACTCCAGCCTGGGCGACAGAGCGAGACTCTGTCTCAAAAAAAAAAAAAAAAAAAAAATTTTAAGAATGGAAAGAGGTCCTCAGGCCGAAATATTTGAGAACCAACACCTTTAGTAGTTTCTGCTTTTCATGGCTTCCCACACTCTCTAGTGTTCTTGGAGTTGTCAGGTGCGGTGGCCTTTCTCAGTAGTTGGAGCAGTAGTCTGATCAGAATCATCTTTGTATTTTATCTGCCTCCCCTTACCCCAAATTTGCCAACCCCTGCCAAAGATTTTTCTTAGAAAAAAATTGCAATGCAAAAATAAGACTTTTATCATATTTTCAAAACTATAAGAATTTATTGTCTGGTTAAGATGGTAAATCTTAGGTTACGTATTTTTTTATTTGACCACATTTAAAATTATTTTTTAAAAATTTTAAAAAGAATATGTGATGGAAAACAAGAACTTTTGAAGAGTGTCATTCATTTTATAGATGGTACCTTCTATTTGTATATTCTTGGTTCCAGTTTACTTCCTAGAAAGCTTCAAGAGTGTCCCGCTCACCCACCCACACACCACCTTGTTCTGTTGAGTTTAGATTTTTGTCAAGGTTACATTTTGAAACCCGTTTGAAGTAGCTGAGCTTGAAGTTGAAAAGTAGCTACATGTGGTAAAAACTGTAGGTGATTTAAGTTACTTAAGCCTCGTTGCCTATAGTTTAATTTTGATACTCCATGGAAATAGTGAACTCAGAAAATACCACTTGTTGACTATTTTCTCTCTTTTTTTTATAGTTAAGCAAAACTGGCTCTAAGGATGATGAGTAGCACTTGGAATTTGAGACAAGGAAAGAGCATTCTTTAAAGAGTAAAACTGGGTTCAAAATCTTTCATTACTATTTTCTGGTATTGAGGCGACTTTTTATAAAACACAATTTTTTGTATGTTTCTTACATTAAAAAGGTTGTAAGTTGAAAGTTCATGAAGAGATCTTGTTGTATTAAATTATTTTCACAAACTTGCCTTAATAAAAGGTGAAAATGTTACTGTTTAGTATACTTTATGAAGCCCCTTGAGCTTTATAAATGGACAGGCATGGGGAATAAGAATCAGTGTTAATTTAAATGATCTTATCCTGGTGGATGTGCTATTTTCTTAAAGGAGTATGAAGCCCTTTTCAAACTATCATCCCAGTGGAGCGGAGTACTCAGTGAACAGTTACTCCATAGTGCAATCCATATTAATAGGCTTCTTCTCTTAAGTCTTCATCTCTTCTTTTGCTTAATTACTGAACCGTAAATTACTTCAGAGAAATTTAAATGCTGGTATTTGAACTTTATACATGATACTTTTTGTAGTTTCTTTTAATTTTTGAAAGATGAACTGCTTCCTTTTAATAAATTAATATCTATTTATACTTTTCTCTTGATTTGGGTCAAGATGTTTGATCATGAGTGCTTTGAGTGGTATGTGGAATAGGAGAATATAAAAACAAATCTGCCAAATACACTAGAAAGCATTTTAGTAAGAAATGCTGGCCCTTTCTTAAAACATTTCTCTTGCATATACCAGGATGGGAGTAAAAGATGCCTTAATATTTAGTTTTTGTATTGTTGGAGACATTGATTTTAATAAAATCCTATTTATCTGCTGTTGTGTGCTTTTAGTTGTTGGATAACTGAGGTCTCCTAAATGGTTCAACATAAAACCACATTTCAAGTCTTGTTTCTTTTTGGAGTGTCTTTTCAAGTATTCAAATGTATTTCTCAACCTGAGCATCTTTTTAATCATATACATGGGAGTCTTTTAAATGCTGAACTGTTACACATGCTTGATTTAAAAATAATAATAATAGAGGAAACTATTGGTCTAGTTGTGCCAAGAAAAGTTTCTGATGTTTATGTGTGATGTACAGTGATTTTGTATATGCGCCCAGCTTTAAGAACACATAAAACTATTACGTCTGGTAGGAAGATTGTTAGTGCCTCAAGTTACACCTGTGCAGCTTGGGTCTGAGTTTTGATAGAACAGTAAACATTTAAAGAAGTTAAGAGCAGTTTGAGCTGTATCCGCGGTTTTTACTCGTTAACTGACTTCAGCTAAATAGTTTGAATTATAGAGTAAGTATAATTACAGCAAAGGAGTTAATCTCATTTTCAAAGCTGTTTCTCATTTTATTTCTTGAATTAATGTAGAGCAAAACATGTTAAAATTCAGGACCACTGGAATATGGCAACTTATGTTTCAGGGTTGTGTGTGGGTAGTATTTGTGGTTGTATTGGTTTGTTTTTTGTTTTTGGAGAAACATCTGCTAGTGGAATAAAATACTTTGTTTTGCTCTGAAGAGACTGAAATTGTTCAGGCTTATTATGGCTCATAGATTACAGAGAATGATGCTAGTTACATGCCAATGAACTATTTTTACTCTTTTTATATGAAATGTAAAAATTTGTAGGGGTTCTGGTGATGGTGGTACCTCTTATTACCTTATGTAAAACACTTGAACAGCCTCATCAATATTGCCGTCATCTGTTTAACACTCCCAGTATATTTTCTCAATGTCTGTTTACTTAAAATTTTGTGGAGTGACATAATTAATAAGCAATAAAGTCTGAATTATACACAGCGATTTTTCTACACATTTTATTTCAGATCACTTCAGAGAGAATTGTTGATTTTATAAATCTGCATGGCCTTATGGTGCAAGATGTACCCTCCTACTAGAAACTATTCAAAATGTTGGATTAAAAAATGTTTTTCAAATGAGCTCACAGGAGAAAAGGAATGCCTAGAGGCCAAAAAATTCAGTGAAAGTTGGAACCTAGAGGTTAAGGACAGCTTTAGTTTTCAGCTTCAAGGGCCCAGAAGACAAGAGATGAAGGCCAGGATCAGCCTAGGTTAGGGAGTCATACCCCCGACACATCTGTAAGACTGAGGCCCATCCTCCAGTGCGAGCCCTGAGGAAATTTCTGTCTTGGAACTGGTTCTGGATGGAAGAGTAAAATATAAGTATATACATATATATACACATATATAAGTATGGATACACACACACTCCTGACAGTTTGTGCCCCCAAGTTACCTCACACTTGGATTTCAGCCCAAATTCCTCCCCCTATGTATGATTTTAAAACAGACAAAACCTCAAGCCAATATCTTAGTTGAACCAAATCAGTAGGGGCTCTAGGTAACTGTTAGAAATGAACACACATCTCTGTTCTTTCAGAACTCAACTTGAACCCAGACCACCAGTGAGGTGCCCCATAAAGAGTTTATGGAATGTGTCCTCACAGTCAAAAATCACAATACATAAAAGCAAGGCATGAGAGCCTGCCCAAAAATCTTAGGGGAACAGGAGCCACAAGGGTATAGTGATACTCTACAGACTCAAAGTGTGTTTTAAATAAATAAACTGAATGGGGAACAAGACAATTATCAGAAGATTTGAAAACCAAAGAGAACTTCTTGAAATGAAAAAATTGAAATTGAATTTAAAGATGACAAATACACTTGCAGTGAACCTTGACAAATCTGATATGTTTAAATATCCTATGGAATGAAACGGGTACTGGCCGGCACTTTGGATTTTCTCTTTTTGATTGCAGCATTAGAATCATTCCACACCGTTTTGTCACAGGCCACAGCTTTTTTTTATTTGTTGCTTGATTCAAGCTTTCACCAAGCCCTGCTTGGTACTGTAGATGTGCCTAACCCTGGATCTTGGAATTTTTTCGGAGGGTTTTTCTTTTCTTTTTTTTTTTTTTTTTTTGTAGAGAGATAGGGTCTTGCTCTGTCACCCAGGCTGGAGTGCAGTGGCACGATCATAACTCACTGCAGCCTCCCCAGGACCTAGGCTCCCGAGTAACCAGGACTCCAGATTCCCAGAAGAGAGCAGTATTGAGGATTCGGCCAGTGTTTCCAGAGGGCTGGCTGTGATTGCTTTAACCATAAATTTGGCAGGGTGTGGTGGCTCACTCCTGTAATCACAGCACTTTGGGAGGCCGAGGCAGGCAGATCACTTGAGGCCAGGAGTTCAAGACCAGCCTGGCCAACATAGCAAAACCCCATCTCTACTAAAAATACAAAAAAACTAGCTGTGCGTGGTGACAGGCACCTGTAATCCCAGCTACTCAGGAGGTTGAGGCATGAGAATCGCTTGAACCCGGGAGATGGAGGTTGTGGTGAGCAGAGATCACACCATTGCACTCCAGCCTGGGCAACAGAGCAAGACCCTGTCTCAAAAATAAATAATAAATATAAAAGTCATGCTATGTAGTAACAATAGAGATTTGTGTTTGCGTGTTTTTACCTTTGAATATTCCAGAGTGAAAACAGAACAAGAGGGATTGGACATCTAAGATTCAAAATTTCAGTATTTTCAGTTAATGTGACAAAAAAATAAGTAATATGTAACCCAGAGTGATTTTCAAATTTGTGTTCCTTTAGTGAGGAAATTAATTAGGGGTCTTTACTAACATTTTTTAATGGAATGGGAGACAATAGAATTGAACAGAAAATACCAGCATGCACTACCTGTTGTAAGAGGGTTTTTTTTCCCTGTGAAAACTTTAGTTTGGGGTGTGCATGTATGGGTACTGAGTCACTATGTAAAGTTTATTAAAATGAGTCATGAAAAAAGTGTGAAAGCCACTGATCAGAGCACGCGAAAGATGAAACGACTTTTATATGAAGATTGTTAATTTTCAGAGGCACAAAATGTGCCTTTCAAAGGGCTAAGGACTTTTATCATTGATTTTTGCATTATTCCTGAAGATCAATTAAGTAAAGCTACATTGCACAATATGAGGAGAGGAGCAAGTGTTTGATTGAGAATGAGATCTTTAATGACTTTGTAAATTTGTAATAATGAAAATTCTTGCATGATAATTTTTGCTTATATGAAGAGCTGAGAACATTTTAAGAGGCAATGCCTGAATAAATAAGTAATTTTAATAGCCTTAATTTCTCACTAATGAGAACCAAAAATAAGAAAATTATTTTAACTTTCCCATTTCTAGAGGAATACCATTTTTGCTTGCTGAGCTTCCTGTATAAATCTAGTTTCCAGAATAAATTGTCGTAATAGGTTGATTGTGGTGATACAGTAAGGCAGGAAGCGTCCCCACCCCTGCCCGTTTTCTGTTTGTTATTGCTGGCACCTGGGAAGTTTTAAGTGATCTTGCCTGTTTGGCTGCAGCCTTCTGGATCTATAATAGGTCCTTTTCTCTGCCTGCCACGAAGTCTGGCCTGTTGGGAAACTATTCTTGATATTTTAAATAACAAACTACGTCTATGCTCTGTTGTTAGTGAAAGAGAATCCAGCTTAGAAAAGAAGGAAACTGTTGGGGAGTGGAGGGGGGGATGCAGATTTAAAATATTTTGCTTCATAATTGGGTGATTAGAAATCAACCTTAAAAGTTTAACACTGGGGCAGTTTTTAGAGTACACAAAGCAATCGGGGAAAATCTTTGTGTTTAACATGGCGGTGGAATTGACTAAGGAGGAAGCTTTTCCTCCTAACTGCTCCGGCTCTTCATTCTCCTGCTCCTACGGCAAGAAGACGCTGCATGCCATATGTTTGTTTTTACAGAGGGCAGTAGGTGTTCTGCATTGCTTACAGTCAGTCTCATCTGTGAAGGAACATACGAAGATTTGGACCCTGGAGCCTACGGGAGATTTTCATCTCTGAGGCTTCTTCGCAGAAAGCCAACACTTTAGCTTTCATATTCTCTTCACTATCCTTTGTATTACTAAAATCACACTTTTTTCAAATATCTACGCAACAGTATGATTATTTTTAAAACACAAAACTATTGGCCTGGTGTGGTGGCTCATGCCTGTAATCCCAGCACTTTGGAAGGCCAAGGCGGGAGGATCAGCTGAGGTCAGGAGTTCGAGACCAGCCTGGCCAACATGGTGAAACCCCATCGCTACTAAAAATAAAAAATTAGCTGGGTGGCCTGCAGTCCCAGCTACTCAGGATGCTGAGGCAGGAGAATCGCTTGAACCCAGGAGGCAGAGGTTGCAGTGAGCCGAGTTTGTGCCTCTGCACTCCAGCCTGGGTGACAGAGACAGACTCCGTCTCAAAAAACAAAAACAAAAAAACTATCAAACCTTTTCCTCCCCCTTCTGTTTTTCTGAAGATCGCTAAACCTACCATTGTCACTTTGCCATTTCACTTGATAAATTACACTAACAAAATATTCTTTACCTCCCACGGGCATCTCACAAATTTTAAATTGATAGATGTTAGTTTTTTTTGTTTGAAATTCTCATGATAACTGAGGAATCATGCAGTTTTGGTTATAAGAATGTCCGTCCATCTGCTGAAGGAAAGCTGAACTCCCGCTGCATGCTGACAAATACCATCTGTTACATTTTTCCGTTGGTTTCTATATTTTTCTTTTTATATGTCAGTGTTTTAAAATTTCTTATTTTTTATTTTTATCAAAGTCATACATGTAGATAGTTTTAGAAGGCAAGTAGTTCTGCAGGGCTTTTAATTTTGTAAAAAAAAGATCTTTTTCCCTTCTCTCACAATCTCCACCCCGCGGGGGTAACTAGTTTCGGCTACTTTTAGCGTGAACTAGTCTCTAAGGCCATAGACTCCTGCTAGCTCTGGCCCTCCCCTCGTCTTCCCCAACATGATCCTGCCTGTGGCCTTTGTTCTGGCTGTTTCCTCTGCTCCAAGTCTGCTTTTTACTGAGTGAGGCGGAAAGCCTTCAGAGGGTATGTATTGAGCGGAGGAGTGAGGGGATCTGACTTGTGTGTTGAGAATAGGCAAGCAAGAGGGAAGGCAGGAAGGCCAGTTAGGAAGCTGTTGAGGAAGTGGGTGAAGAATGACGATTCCTTGACAAGGGTGGGAGGTGGGAGTGGGTGAGAAGCGGTCAGTTTCTGGATATATAGTGAAGGAACTGCTGACGGGCTTGCTGGTGAATCCAACGAAGGATGTGGGAGAGCTAGAGGCATCGAAGCTAACTCCAAATTGGATTTTAGCCTAAGCAATTGAAAAAAAATCAATTGATAATGATACTAGTTTTGTTTAACTGATCCTATAAATAAGGCAATCCTATAAATAAGTAAGGTAATCCCAGTGAAACTGCAACTGGATTTTTAAAAGAAAGAAAAGCTGACTCCAAAGTTCTTAAGGAAAACTAAGCATACCAGAATAGACAAAAAAAAAAAATTTTTTTTCAAAAACAGTGATGATGTGAGTTTAGTTCTTTCAATTAGTCAAACATGGCCCAGCGCAGTGGCTCAGCCTGTAATCCCAGCACTCTGGGAGGCCGAGGCGGGCGGATCACTGGGTCTGGAAATCAAGACCAGCCTGGCCAACAATAATGAAACCCCGTCTCTACTAAAATACAAAAATTAGCTGAGTGTGGTCGTACACACCTGTAGTCCTAACTACTTGGGAGACTGAGGTAGGGGAATTGCTTAAACCGGGGAGGTGGAGATTGCAGTGAGCCGAGGTCACACCACTGCACTCCAGCCTGGCGACAGAGCAAGACTCCATCTCAAAAAAAATAAAAATAAAATTTAGTCAAACATTTCCAGCAGCAAGAATTAAAGTGATACTGTGCTGATACCTGCTCAGATCAATGAAAGAAAATAGAGCCCAGAAATAGACCTAAATATATATATATGAGAAAATTTAATATGCAGTTTCTTCAATGTATGGTATTGGAGAACCAAAGAGCCACTGGGGGAAAAAGGAAAGGTACTCCTATCTCACTCTTAACATCGCAGTAAATTCAGAGAGATGAAAAAAACTTTTAAAATAAAATGGATTTGTAATCCCAGCATTTCGAGAGGCCAGGATGGGAGGATTGCTTCAGCATAGTAGTTTAAGACCAGCCTGGGAAACATAGTGAGACCTCCATCTCTACGAAAAATTTTAAAAATTAGCCTGGTGTGGTTGCATGTGCCTGTAGTCCCAGCTACTCAGGTGGCTGAGGTGGGAGGATCGCCTGAGCTGGGAAGGTCAAGGCTGTAGTGAATCTGTGATCATGCCCGTGTGTTCCAGCCTGGACAACAGAGCAACACCCTGTCTCAAAAAAAAAAAAAAAAAAAAAAAGAAAGAAAAGAAAAGAAATGGAGATTTTAAAAATAGTTTCAGGATGAGACAACCTTCCCAAAGTATGACACAAGACTCTGAAGCCATAAAGAAAATGTTACATTTGATGACATAAATGTAAAAAATTGTGCGTGGAAAAAATTGCATAAATAAAACTAAGAAAAAGTACTTTTAGTATACTTATACATAAAAAACTCTTAGATGTGACAGTTTCAGAAAAGGAAATGTAAATTTATGTTAAACAAAAGGACACACCCTCATCACAAGAGAAACTAAAACTGCAGGGAGATTCTGTTTTTCTCCTGTGACACTGGCGAAGACTGAATAGCTTGGTGACATATCAAAGGTGTGAGGAAACCGGTTCTCTCTCACAAGTTGTTTTGAGTGTAAGCTAATGCAACCTTGACAAAGGACAATTCAGCAATATCCATCAAAATCACAAAGGCCTTTGGTCCAGAAATTCCACTTCTAGAAATTGTTTCCACGTCTGTGCTTGTCTGTGTGAAATGATCCATGTACAGGGATAAAGTCTTGTGTCATTACTTGCCCATACTCATCAGTATCTTCAGGTATGTCCTGGGTCAAAGGAGCCGGATTAGACAGGGGATCAAAGAAAAGCATTTGCATCAGAGTAAGGGGGATGTACGAGAATGCATACCCTGCCACATTATTTGTGTAGATGTAAGAAAATGATGTCTTTCGGCCGGGCAAGGTGAGTCACACCTGTATAATCTCAGCACTTTGGGAAGCCGAGGCGGGCAGATCACCTGAGATCAGGAGTTCGAGACCAGCCTAGCCAACATGGTGAAACCCCGTATCTACTAAAAATACAAAAACTAGCTGGGCGTGGTGGCAGATGCCTGTAATCCCAGCTACTTGGGAGGCTGAGGCAAGAGAATCGCTTGAATCCAAGAGACGGAGGTTGCAGTGAGTCGAGGTCGCGCCACTGCACTCCAGGCTGGGCAACAGAGCAAGCCTCAGTCTCAAAAACAAACAAAAAAAGAAAATAATGTCTTTCCACTATAAAGTGGAGAATTATTGAGAGAGTCAGTCCACCACGGGCCCCGGGACCCTGCGTGTCTTTGCAGACTATGCCAACCTGCAGGGCCCACCACGCTCTGACCAGGGTGTAGCCATTTGTGTAGCTAGTCGTAGAGGCAACCACAGCACGACTGCCAGGCCACTGTTTGTCCCATAGGGAGGAGACTGGATTGTTACCACTTGCTATCAAAGGTGCAGAGCCTGGCCTGTGCCACGGGACTTGGGGTCAGGAGACCAAGCTCTGTCATGCTGAGCTGCTGTCGTGTGCTGTGCTGAGAGTAATGAATTGTCTCGCTCGGATCCACCAAGTCTTATCTACTGCCGGCAACCATGCGCTGTGGCAAGTCCATCGGCTTGCTTGCTCGGTCATCTCCTTTGGGTGTTGTTACTTCTGGCCATCCTCTGTGAGGTTGGGGTTCATCCCTTGATGGGAACAAGAGTACCGTAAATTACAAGGTTGTTTAAGAGATTGGAGAAAATGTTTGTAAAGAGCCTAATACTATAAGAGTAGGCAATAAGTGGTGGTGATTATTTTTAAAATAAATACTTTGTCACCTTTGTTCTAATCAGATGTCCTTGAATATTAATATCAAATGTTTTCCGGTTTATAAAATCTTGGCTGTTATTCTAATACATAAATGATCAAAACAGAGAAAAATACATTTTCTAAACCTGTGTGTTTCAGGCAGGCTGGTTTGTAACCTAGTAGTGGATACAAATTCAATTTAGGGCTGGGCACAGTGGCTCACACCTGTAATCCTAGTACTTTGGGAGGCCAAGGCAGGTGGATCACCTGAGGTCAGAGGTTCGAGACCAGCCTGGCCAACATGGTGAAACCCCTTCTCTACTAAAAATACAAAACTTAGCCTGGCGTGGTGGCAGGTGCCTGTAATCCCAGCTACTCGGGAGGCTGAGGCAGGAGAATCGCTTGAACCCAGGAGACGGAGGTTGCAGTGAGCTGAGATCGCGCTATTACACTCCAGCCTGGGCGTCAGAGTAAGACTCTGTCTCAAAAAAAGAAAAAAAAAATCAATGTAGTAGATTTTTAGCAACATCTTTTTTAATGAACAAAACAGTTGAATAGAATATATTGATCGGAATGCAATACGTGTTCTGAGAGTAGATACTGTTTGTGAAACATTTTTGGCTTGCTTTAGAATGGGCGTGTGTGTGTTTAAGGACTGGGTTGTGGCATAAAATCTACTATGAGTTCTATTTTAAAAAATTGAAAACCACTTTTCTAAATCTTAAGTTGCTGCTCGACTTTAATGGTTGTGAGGGTTTCAGTGGAATCAAATCAGACGACCTTGAATTGAACCAGAACAGTGCTTAGATTGGGCCAAAGGTGGCAGGGAGTCAGTCCGGTGAATTCTAGCAGTCCACTAGTTGGAGTGTCCAGAGCGTTTTCTCTCTGGCACCAACCCACTTAACAGGGCAAGTGTCCTAGAGAGTTCAGTCTGAGACTGAAAAAACAAAACAACACACAAAAAAAAACCCGACCACTTTCCACTGTCAGCAAATAACTTCTTTAAGATTTTATTTTTTTCTACCTATAAAATGGAGCAAACTATAATATAGAGCAAAATCCTGCATTTTACTTAAGCCTCCTGTTTCTTTCTTTCTTCTTTTTTTTTAGACTGAGTCTTGCTCTGTCGCCCAGGCTGGAGAGCAGTAGCACAGTCTCGGCTCACTGCAACCTCTGCCTCTGGGGTTCAAGTGATTCTAGTGCCTCAGCCTCCTGAATAGCTGGGAGTACAGGTGCCCACCACCACGGCAGTTAATTTTTGTATTTTTAGTAGAGATGGGATTTCACCATGTTGACCAGGCTGGTCTCGAACTCCTGACCTCAAGTGATCCACCCACCTCGGCCTCCCGAAGTGCTGGGATTACTGTCATGAGCCACCGCACCTGACAAGCCTCCTGTTTCTTAATAAGCTGCAGAATTTGTTTTACACTATTTTCCACTTGAGCTGTACCTGTCATTCCAACTGCGTCATGCTTGAAATCAGGACATCTACTTCTGCATTGAGTCAGTGATTAAAAACAAAAATATATTCAATTTCTGCACTTAAGTTGTAATTCTTTTTTTTTTTTTTTTTTTTTTTGTGAGACAGAGTCTCAGTCTGTTGCCCAGGCTGGAGTGCAGTGGGGTGATCTCAGCTCACTGCAAGCTCCGCCTCCCGGGTTCACGCCATTCTCCTGCCTCAGCCTCCCGAGTAGCTGGGACTACAGGCGCCGGCCACCACACCCGGGTAATTTTTTGTATTTTTTAGTAGAGACGGGGTTTCACCGTGTTAGCCAGGATGGTCTCGATCTCCTAACCTTGTGATTTGCCCACCTCGGCCTCCCAAAGTGCTGGGATTACAGGCATGAGCCACTGCATCCGGCCCTTTTTTTCTTTTTTTTAAATTTGCAACCCTATTAACTGACAAGTTGTGATTTTTGTTTTTGGTTTTTTTTTTTTTTTTTGAGACAGAGTCTCAGGCTGTCGCCCAGGCTGGAGTGCAGTGGTGTGATTTCGGCTTACTGCAACCTCCACCTCCCGGGTTCAAGCGATTCTCCTGCCTCAGCCTCCCAAGTAGCTGGGATTACAGGCACACACCACCATGCCCGGCTAGTTTTTGTATTTTTTGTAGAGACGGGGTTTCACCACTTTGGCCAGGCTGGTCTTGAACTTCTGACCTCAGGTGATCCACCCACCTCGGCCTCCCAAAGTGCTGAGATTACAGATGTGAGCCACCACGCCTGGCCTCCACGTTGTGATTCTTTAAGTGAAAGGAGAAACGTCATTCTGAAGAAGTTGAAAATCAGTTTAAAATTTCCTCATCTTTCTAAATGTCACCTTTAAATCATTTCCCTTTTGCACATTCAGTGATATTTGTTATTGAAAGAAATGCTGAGTGACTGTTTCAGAAGGGAAGACGTGGCAGACATCTCCACTTAGACAGTGGGCCCAGGTCTGGCTGCAAAGTAAACACTTGACCCCATGTCTAAATCTGGTTCCAGGGAATTTTGTCCCTCTTCTGAGGCCATTGGGCTGGGCAGCTTCCCTAGCAATTTTCTTAACTCTTCCCCGTGGTGGAAACTTTTTTTTTTTTTTTTTTTTTTGAGACAGAGTCTTGCTGTGTCACGCAGGCTGGAGTGCAGTGGCACAATCTTGGCTCACTGCAACGTCTGCCTCCCAGGTTCAAGTAATTCTTGTGTCTCAGCCTCCCAAGTAGCGGGGATTACAGGACCACACCACCACGCCCGGCTAATTTTTGTATTTTTAGTAGAGATGGGGTTTCACCATGTTGTCCAGACTGGTCCTGAACTCCTTGCCTCAAGTGATCTGCCTGCCTCGGCCTCCCAAAGTACTGGGATTACAGGTGTGAGCCACTGCGCCGAGCTGAAACTGATCCTCGTTGACTGGCTCAACAGAATTTAGTTTCTTGGATTTATAGCTTAGATCAGGAATAGGCAGATCTGTGGACACTTAAGTAAAAGATTTTGGTGAAGAGTCATTAACTCAAAACTTGCAGCACTATCATAGACAGCCTAGGCAAAACTTACTGTAAAGAATGGCAATTCTGCTTCCATCTCTTTTCCCGGTCCCGGCATAGACGCCCTGTTCCATAGACACTCAGAGCCCACATGCTACAGTAAAACCCCAGAGTTCCAACTTCATGTCCCATCCCCTTACCTGCTTCTCTCAACCATATCCTAAGTTCATGTCCCCTTTCCCCATGAAACTCATATTAATGCCTCTGATTAAGTGCCATTCTGTGTTTGGAGGAAAACTGTTTGCTTTAAGTAACTCATCTGCCCAGCACCACAGCTACATCCTGGTTACAGGAGTATCCATATTCGATTTCCTGGTGCACAGGATCAAATGCCTCTGCTCTTACCCGAGGCCCACATCTTCACTTGGGTTCTTTCTGTTTTCTTTGTTTGTTTGTTTTGTTTTTTTTTGAGACGGAGTCTCGCACTCTCGCCCAGGCTGGAGTGCAGTGGCACCTTCTCGGCTCACTGCAAGCTCCACCTCCTGGGTTCATGCCATTCTCCTGCCTCAGCCTCCCGAGTAGCTGGGACTACAGGCGCCTGCCACCGTGCCCGGCTAATTTTTTGTATTTTTAGTACAGACGGGGTTTCACCATGTTATCCAGGATGGTCTCGATCTCCTGACCTTGTGATTCGCCCGCCTCGGCCTCCCAAAGTGCTGGGATTACAGGCGTGAGCCACCGCACCCAGCCATCTTCACTTGGGTTCTAAACCCCATTGCCTCTAACGTTCTCAAAGGCTTCCACAAATCAACCCTTTCTCTCTTGTATCCGCTTTCTTTCTACTGAATCATTCCCTTCAGCAAACAAGCATGCTCTAGTATCTCTCAAACAACAAAAATGAAAGCCCTTGGTTGATCTCCCATCCATCTCCAGCTCACTACCCCTCTTTCTGCTGACCTGCACAGCAAAGCTCCACTTTAATATTAATAACTGCCCAGTCTCTGATCTCCACATGGGGTAGAAACCAGTATTAATCCCATTTCACAGTGGATCCATTTATTCTGGGTTGCCTCTGACTTGCCCAGGCTGGTGCGTCTTTCCATGACACACAACAGCTGGCATTTTCATGCCTCTGAAGACCTGCCATTTCATTTCACTGGGGACTCACTGCAGTGCAGACAAGCAAGCATGTTCCCTGAGTCAAAAGGGACACACCAGCTCACACAGCGCGACCTCTACCTGATGGGAGCCCATAGTGTACCGAGAAGGCCACAGCAATGTCTTCCCTGATTCTGGACGTCCACTGGAGGCCAAGGGCCGTCAAAGCCCCAGAGGGTCCATGTCAAGTCTGGCTTCCTTGGAGTAAGTTCATTTTTGTGTGTGTGTTTCTTGGGAGATCCCAACAACCGCGCATTCAGCATTCAGAACAGATGGCCTTTATTTCAGCAGGTGTTTCTGGCTGACAGCTTATAGAAGATGGGCATCACAAATAGCATCAGCCTCTACAGAAAGGGGGAGAAAGACAGCTGGGAAAGTTGTAAGGAGCCCCAGAGCAGCTTGTTCTCCCTCGCCATGGGCGGTTGGTTCTCCCTTGGCCCACGTCCTCAATCTGAAATACTCATCCCGCTCCTCTTGTCCTTTACCTTCCTCCAAATATGGCTCAGGAGCAATGTCCTCCTAGAAGCCTTACTCTCCCTGAAATCTAAACACAAACACAGTAGATACATGATCTTTCCTCCAAGCCACCAGAACCCTAAAGACATGCATCAAAAATCTGAGATTGCAAACAAATGGAAGTGCAAAAATACAACATTCATGTGCTGTTGGAAGTTTTGGTCTGGGCCGGGTGCAGTGGCTCACACCTGTAATCCCAGCACTTTGGGAGGCCGAGGCGGGTGGATCACCTGAGGTCGAGTTCAAGACCAGCCCAACCAACATGGTGAAACCGCGTCTCTACTAAAAATACAAAATTAGCCAGGCGTTGTGGTGCTTGCCTGTAACACCAGCTACTCGGGAGGCTGAGGCAGGAGAGAATCACTTGAACCCAGGAGATGGAGGTTGCAGTGAGCCGAGATCACGCCATTGCACTCCAGCCTGGGCAACAAGAGCAAAACTCTGTCTCAAAAACAACAACAACAACAAAGGAAGGTTTGGTCTGGACTTACTAAGAACCAGTAGTATGCAATGAGATTTGGCAGGACTCCAAGGAAGATGCTCTTGCTTTCTGGCTTAAGCCAAGAGGCTGTAAGGTTTGAACTTGCTGCAGTCTCACCTTGTGATCAATGGAGAGTCAGATAGTAGCAGGGACTGAATGCTAAAAAACCGACAGGGAGCTGGGCACAGTGGCTCAACCTATAGTCCCAGCTACTCAGGAGGCTGAAGCAGGAGGGTCGCTTGAGCCCAGGAGTTTGAGGCTGCAGTGAGGTATAATCACACCACTGCACTCCAGCCTGGGTGACAAAGCGAGACCCTGTCTCAAACAGACAAGAACCACAAAGCCTACAGGGGCTGGGCTGTCACAAAATGTAAGCAGGTTCGGTTTAGAGAAAAAAAACAACACAAAGCACTAAGGAATGATGAGTTTCTACTTAGCCTCCAAGTCAGTGACAGTCAGGGGTAATGGGGAGTATGGTGATTTGTGGAGTTCAAAGTTAGCCGCTGCTATGTGACTCCAGCCTGTTATTGCCATGGAAGAAGAAAAGTAGAGCATTACTAGATCTTTTAAACAGTAGCCAGAAAGTCATGTTTTCATTTTTATTTATTTATTTGGAGACGGAATTTCGCGCTTGTCACCCAGGCTGGAGTGCAGTGGCACAATCTCAGCTCACTGCAACTTCCACCTCCCAGGTTCAAGCCATTCTCCTGCCTCGGTCTCCAAAGTAGCTGGGATTACAGGTGTGCACCAGCACACCTGGCTAGTTTTTGTATTACTAGTAGAGACAGGGTTTTGCTATGTTGGCCAGGCTGGTCTCGAACTCCTGACCTCAGGTGATCCACCTGCCTCGGCCTCCCAAAGTGCTGGGATTACAGGCATGAGCCACCACACCTGGCCTAAAAGTTGTGTTTTTATGTAGACTCTCCTGAATTTTACACATTTGTACTTAAAATATTCAAAAAAACAGGCCTAAAAAAATATGGCCATGGGCTAGAATTCAACCCCTGGACCATAAGCTTGTGATCCCGGCAAAGCAAGGCCATCCTGTATGTTTGTACTTGCTCAAGGGGCTCACATGAATCACCAAGCTGTATGCCCAGGCTTGAGACAGTCTCAATGTGGACGAAGAAAACCTTTTTCCTGGTTGGTCTGCCAAAAGGATGGGTTTCCTTTTCCCAGTTTGTACAAAGGTGCCTGTATGTACCAGCAGTTATCCTGCAGCCAAGATAAACCGCCCAATAGTAAGGCTACTGAGAGGTTTCCCAGGACACAGGACTTTCAGTGATAAAACGGGTGCAGTGGCTCGTGCCCGTAATCCTAGCACTTTAGGGAGGCCAAGGCGGATCTGACAAGTTGGTCACCCTCAACATGACTGTGCCCAGCCTCTGTTCATGATGTTAATTTCTTTGGTTCTTTGGTTAATTTCTTTGCGGGATCTGTGCAAGCTGTTCTGTTAAAAGTTAAGTAGAAGTACATTTGCTTATAATTACAACTTACAGTAGATTTTATGAAGGAAAATACAGGGTTTTATGAGCTAGATTGATGGGAAGAACCCACACTTGTAGCCAGGTGGTAGGTACAATTCATGCTGAGAAAAGGGTGCCAGGTGCCTGTAGCCGACCTCTGCATCCCCTATTCCTGCTCCAGGCAGGCAGCCTCCTGCCTACGCCCCTGTGACTCCAGCTGGGCCAGGCCAGCCTGGGGTAGCACGTAAGACATCCAGGTCAGCTAGTAAATACTCCTTTTTTTTTTGAGATGGAGTTTTTGCTCTGCCGCCCAGGCTGGAGTGCAATGGCGTGATCTTGGCTCACCGCAACCTCCACCTCCTGGGTTCAAGCAATTCTCCTGCCTCAGCCTCAGCCTCCCGAGTAACTGAGATTACAGGCACATGCCACCACGCCCAGCTCATTTTGTATTTTTAGTAGAGACCATGTTGGCCAGGCTGGTCTCCAACTCTTAACCTCAGGTAATCCACCCGCCTTGGCCTCCCAAAGTGCTAGGATTATAGGCATGAGCCACTGCACCCGGCCTACTCCTGCTTTTTTTAATTATCATTGGTGGGTACTAGTGTTTGGCCCAAAGACCACATTTCTCTATTCAGCCTCTCCTCTGCAGACAGTTTTTAAACTTGTGTGTGTGTGTATATATATACATACATACATATATGTATATATATATATATATATATATATATACAGTCAGCCCTCCGTGTTCATGGGTTCTGCATTGCTGGATTCAACCAACTGTGGATCGAAAACACTCGAAAAAAAATCGTGCCTGTACTGAACATGTACAGACATTTTTTGGGGGTCAGTATTCTCTAACCAATAGAATATAACAATTGTTTACATAGCAATACATTGTATTGGGTATTATAAGGAATCTAGGGATGATTTAAAGTATACGGGAGGATGTGTATGGTTCTAGGCAAATACTAAGCCATTTTATATCAGGGACTTGAGCATCCTTGGATTCTGGTATCTGAAGGGGTCCTGGAACAAATCTTCTGTGGATACTGAGGGAATCCTATATCTATATTGGTCTTTTTTTCCCCTACACAACAGTAATGGAGAGAAACAGCCAGCTCTCCTACTCCTTTAACATCTTGGATTAATCAAAACAAGTCAGACAAAGACTTACCTGCTTATTCCAGCTCAGGGTCGGGAGTGGCCACACAGTCCTTCACAGCAGCCTAGGGCACCAGGTGGGACCCGCCCTGGCCAGAACACCCTCCTGTCCTAGGGCGACTCATAGTCACCCACATTCACTCACACTTACTCACACTCACCCTCAGTCACACACACACCCATATACACCCACATACCTTTGCCTCGTCTGTGACTCCCTAACAATATTTCTCTAGCCTGGAAGTCCTCCCTTCCCTGACCCAGTTCTTTGGTATCATATGTGAGAGCATTATCAATAAATATAATGGGGGCCGGGCGCAGTGGCTCACACCTGTAATCCCATCACTTTGGGAGGCCGAGGTGGGTGGATGCAGGTAACTAAATCCACAGAAAGTGAAATCGCCGATAAGGGGGGATTACTATATATATGTACATGTATATATAGAGAGAAATACATTAGGAGAGAGACAGAGAAGGAGAACAGTAAAGTAAATATATGGAAGACTGGGCACGGTGGAGTTGGAGACCAGCCTGGCCGACATGGTGAAACCCCATCTCTACTAAAAATACAAAAATTACATGGGCGTGGTGATGTGTACCTGTAATCCCAGTTACTCAGGAGGCTGAGGCAGGAGAATCACTGGAACCTGGGAGGTAGAGGTTGCAGTGAGCTGTGATCGCACCACTGTACTCCAGCATGGGTGACAGTGAGACTCTGTAAAAATAAATAAACTCCAAAAAATAAATGTAATGCGTTTCAATTATTTATACAAAAATTTCAGGAAAAATATAAAATAAAAAATTATTATTTTATTTTATATTTCCACATGCTAATTTTAAAATTGTTGCAATAGGCCGGGCGTGGTGGTGGTGCACATCTGTAATCCCAGCACTTTGGGAGGCTGAGGTGGGTGGATGGCTTGAGCCCAGGAGTTCGAGACCAGCCTGGCCAACATGGCGAAACTACTACTAAAAATACAAAATTTAGTGGGCGTGGTGGCAGGCGCCTGTAATCTCAGCTACCCAGGAGGCTGAGGTGGGAGGATCACTAGAGCCTGAGGAAGTCGAGGCTACAGTGAGCCCAGATCACACTACTACACTAGAGCCTGGGCAACAGAGCAAGATGCTGCCTCAGAAAAAAAAAATTGTAACAATATAATGTGGACGCGTATTTATTTTCAAGACTGTTTAACTGTTGCCTCGGTCAACTCTGTGCTGAGATCTTCTTGCAAGCATGAAGTGAGCTCCCTCCCTCTGTAATTCTCACCTTTGAATGGCCGCACAGTTCCAGTTTGTTAACAGTGCTGGCTGCGTGGGTTCCACCCTTGGCTCTCCGGCTTTCTAAGCTGATGAGCTTGTGTGCTCCCTAACTTCTCTGTGCTTCAGTTTGTCCGTCTGTAAAGTGGGGACAGGAGCATGAGTCGCCACCTGGTGGGGTTTTATGTACAGTATTTTGTATTTTCAGTAGAAACAGGGTTTCACCATGTTGGCCAGGCTGGTCTTGAACTCCTGACCTCGGGTGATCCACCCACCTCGGCCTCCCAAAGTGCTGGGATTACAGGCATGAGCCACTGTGCCCGGCCCACAGAGTGTTTTCTATAGGGTCCTCCATGGTCACTATAGTTAGCTAGAAACTACAGATACTACTTAGCCCTGAGCTTTCTGAATGTCAAGGATAAAAGGGAAACAGTTTCATACTTTAAACAGGCAAAAAGAGAAACTCTACAACCTTTGGAAAAAATTAAAGCTTTTATAGGTTTTAATTGTAAGAATTTGCTCATATGAAGTTTCACAATTGGGATGCAGAGGTTTAAGCCTCCCACAAGTATAGTAATGGATTTCATAAGATTATTTCTTCTATTCATTTCATTTTTGAAGTAATTTCAGACCACAAACAATTGCAAAAAATGTACAAAGAGGTTGCTAATACTCTTCATCTAGATTCCTCAATGTTGTATTTGTTGTATTTTCCCATATATTCACTTTTTTTTATTTTTCTGAAATGGAGTTTCACTCTCGTTGCCCAGACTGGAGTGCAGTGGCTCAATCTTGGCTCACCTGCAACCTCTGCCTCCCGGGTTCCAGCGATTCTCCTGCCTCAGCCTCCAGAGTAGCTGGGATTACAGGCACATGCCACCACATCTGGCTAATTTTTGTATATTTAGTAGAGATGGAGTTTCACCATGTTGGCCAGGCTGGTCTTGAATTCTTGACCTTAGGTGATCTGCCTGCCTCAGCCTCCCAAAGTGCTGGGATTACAGGTGTGAGCCACCGTGCCCAGCCTCCCATATATTTACTTTACTGTTCTCCTTTTCTGCCTCTCTCCCAATGTATTTCTCTCTCTATCTCTCTCTATACACGTACATATATACAGTAATCCCCCCTTATCGGCAATTTTACTTTCTGTGGATTCAGTTGCCTGCGTCAACTGGGGTTTGACAATATTTTGAGAGAGAGTGAGAGACCACATTCGCATAACTTTTATGACAGTATATTGTTATAATTGTTCTTTTTATTAACTATTGTTGCTAATCTCTTACTGTGCCATGTTTCTAAACTGACTTTTACCACAGGTGTTCCCATACAGGAAAAATATAGTATACGCATGGATTGGTTCCAGACATCCGCTGGAGATCTTGGACTGTAAGAGGGAATTACATATTTCTGAACCATCTGAGAGATAGCTGGAGACACTATGCCCCTTTACTCCTGAACACTACAGTGCATACTTCCTAAAAACAAGAATGTTATTTTCTGTAACCACAGTGCAATGACCAAAATCAGGAAGTTAACATGAATACAGTAGTATTTCCTAATATACAAGACTTTTCAGATGTTATCATTTTTCTTAAATACCTTTATGGCAAAAGAAAAAAAGAGTTTTTTGGTTTCTTTTTTCTGCTCAGTGATCTTATCTAGGCTCAAATTTGTACCTGTCATCATGTCTCTTTGGTCTTTAATCTGGAACACTTCCTAAATCTTTCTTTGTCTTGGAAGCCCTTGACATTTTGGACAGCACAGGCCAGATGCTTTTGTAGAGTGTTTCTGAGTCTGGGGTTGCCTGTTCTTCCTCATTAGATCCAGATTCAGTATTTTCGGCAGGGACATCTCAGAAGTAGTAGTGAGTCCTCAGTGTATCCCATCAGGGGGCACAAGATATCTACTTTTCCCATTACTGGTGATGTTACCTTTGAATGCTTGGTTAAGGTAGCGTCTGCCGTTTCTCCACTGTAAAGTTACTATTTTTTATCTTTATAATTAATAAATACTTATAAGGAGACACTTTGGTGTCATAAAAATCTCTTGTCTCCTATCCAACCTGCTAGTTTCTTTGCTGACTCTTCCATAAAACAATTATGTCTACAACAATAGACAAGTGGTGATGTTCGATGTTCGAATTCCATTATTCCCTCTGCATTCATTTGTTGGCATTCCATGGTACTTCCCATTCTCCTCCACATATTAATTGACATCAGTACAGACTATTTCTTTTTTTTTTTTTTTTTTTTTTTGAGACAGTCTCGCTCTTGTTGCCCAAGCTGGAGTGCAATGGCGCGATCTCAGCTCACTGCAACCTCTGCCTCCTGGGTTCAAGTGATTCTCCTGCCTCAGCCTCCCAAGAAGCTAGGATTACAGGCATGTGCCACCACGCCTGGCTAATTTTTTGTATTTTTAGTAGAAACAGTGTTTCACTATGTTAGTCAGGCTGGTCTCGAACTCCTGACCTCAAGTGATCCACCCACCTCAGCCTCCCAAAGTGCTGGGATTACAGACGTGAGCCACCTCGCCCGGCCAGTGCAGACTATTTTCATGCTGGGTTAATTCTGTAATCCATTTATCATTACTTATTTTGCTGCTCAATTTCTCTCAGATTTGTCCAGTAAATGCCACATCAGGCTAGCACATCTGTCCTTTGACAGGTCCCCATGATGCTTAATTCTTTACTTTCTGCACAGCAATACTCACAAGGTTGTTTCTTAATGAGTTATTGGACAAAATCCTAAAATGTGGCTCCATGAAAACAGTTTTCTGGAGTGCCAAGACTCTGTGATCCAGAAACACTGCTATGGGCTTGCTTGATTCCAAGCTAAAACTCAAATAAATTATAGAGATGGGCATCCTTCCACCAATCCTCCGTAAATATTGCTTCTCCTAAGCAGGCTTTTTCTTTTCTTTTTTCTGCCCATTTCTGGTGTAAACAGGCTTTTTATGAAACCTGGACACCAGACAATTCAAGACTTTGTTTCCTGCCAAAGGTCAGCAACACTGTCCAATGTAACTTTTTGCAATGATGGAAGTGTCCTTTAGCTGTGTTCCCTGATAAAGTAGCCACTAGCCACATGTGGCTATTGACCACTTGAAATGTGGCTAGGGTGACGGAAGAACTAACTGTTCATTTAAACTAGTAAATTGTAATTTTCATTTACATAACCACATGTGGCTAGTGGCTGCCTTATTGGATACACAGGTCTAGAGGGAAGGTTTGCTATGGTGTTGATAGAGGATGGATTGAAATATAATAAAGATGAAATAATGAAATGTAGCCCTAAATGATTAAACAGTTAGAGAGTTCTGTGGCATTATTGAACATACACCACTTAAGTAGTTTGTATTTATTGCATTATTTAAACAGTAAATTGTAAAAGTACCACACTCCATTGAGGCCACTCGTAATTTGTGACAACATCATCACAGCGTTAGCTGATGGGATATTTGTCCCTGTTGTGTTTTTTTTTTTTTTTTTTTTTTTTGAGACGGAGTCTCACTCTGTTGCCCAGGCTGGAGTATAGTGGCGCCATCTCGGCTCACTGCAACCTCCGCCTCCCAGGTTCAAGCAAATTCTCCTGCCTCAGCCTCCCAAGTAGCTGGGACTACAGGCACGTGCCACCATGCCCAGCTAATTTTTGTATTTTATAGTAGAGACGGCGTTTCACCGTGTTGGCCAGGCCGGTCTTGAACTCCTGACTTCAGGTGATCCGCCCGCCTCCGCCTCCAAAAGCGCTGGGATTACAGGCGTGAGCCACCGCGCCTGGCCGTCCCTGTGTTTTTTCTTGCACGCAGATCATCTAAAAATTATTTCAAATCAGTAACATCTTTGGGCAATGATGAGGGAGGGGGACGGAAAAAACAAGCCCTATTTTATGTTCCCTCAACAATCTAAATGTTACTTAAGCTATGCTTTGTTTATGGTTGTCTGTATACTTTGTGGAAAGACAAACAGGACAGTCTGACCCTGAAGATATGGGTTGCCTGGCAACAATCTAAATGGGACCAGAACCTCCCCCCTCCCCCTGCAGGAGGGGCTGTGCCCAAATGGAACTTCTCACAAGGTCAACAGGTGCTGGCAACAGGCTCTCCAGACAGCGAACTGCCTGAACAGCTGTCACCTAAGCCCAGCCTGCCCGATGCCCAAGCAGACATTTTGTTCCCCCTGGCAAGGCCACTCGGGTTTGCCCTTTAAAAAGAGAACCCAAATGAGTGGGGGCGGGGCCTTGAGGCCTTTCCTTGCAGTCCGGGGCTGTCTTAGTCCAACTAGCCGGACCCAAGCGTCCCTCCGCAGAGGTCTGAGGGGTGGAGACTGATCTTGCGGCATCTCTGCGTGTGAGTGCCAGCCTGCACCAAAAGACGCACTGTTGTCTGCCCAAACCCTTTCAGTGACGCGTTTTGTAAAAATCATCTATGTTTTCCCCCAAATAGCTGTCATCAGTGAAAAGCATCAAAGAAAATCCAATATATGACCACAGAAGAGATAATGCAAAAACTAAAACTGTTCCAAAATAATGCAATAAATATGTTTTCTAACACATGCAAATCAATTTTCTAATAAGATTTGTATGTATGTGTTAGCAAACCTTTATTAGGAACTAAGAGTTAATTCAATGTTAGTTAAACAGTGTGTAGGAAATACTAAGTCAAACTTCTGGAAGTGATTGCGAAAGAAAATCAATGTTTCTTTGAAAACAGATAGTTACAGAGACAGTGATGGTTCATTATGTCTCAACTTGGCTTGGCTGTGGGGCCCAGCTGCTTGGTTAAACACTAACTTGGATGTTGCTGTGAAGGTATTGTGTAGATGTGATTGATACGTACAATCAGCTGACTCTGAGTAAAGTAGATTATCCTCTTGAATGTGGGTGAGCTTCATGCAATCAGCTGAAGGCTTTCAGAGCGGAGACTGAGCCTTTCCCGAGAAAAAAGGAATTCTGCCTCGAGCCTGCAGCACAGAAACTCTGAGTGAGTTTCCGGAGGGCTTGGCCTGCTTTGCAGATTTCGGACTCGAGACGGTAACATCAACTCCTGCCTGAATTTCCAACCTGTGGGCCTGTCCTAGAGATTTCAGACTTGCCGGCCTCCTCAATTACTTGAGCAATTCTTTAAAATCTCTCTCGCTGTCTCTTTGTATGTGTATGTATACATACACACATACATATATATCTCTTATTGGTTCTGTTTCTCCAGAGAACCCTGACTGATACGATTATTTATTCTATTAAGCATTTTACAGAAGTTATTTGAGCAAGAAATGTTTAACAGCTGAGTTTTTCTTTTTCTTTTTTTTCTTTTTTTTTTTTTGAGATGGAGCCTCGCTGTGTCACCAGGCTGGTGTGCAGTGGTGCGATCTCGGCTCACCGGAACCTCCGCCTCCCGGGTTCAAGTGATTCTCCTGCCTCAGCCTCCCGAGTAGGTGGGACTACAGGCGCCCGCCACCACGCCGGGCTAATTTTTTGTATTTTTTAGTAGAGACGGGGTTTCACCGTGTTAGTCAGGATGGTCTGGATCTCCTGATCTTGTGATCTAACCACCTCTGCCTCCCAAAGTGCTGGGATTACAGGCGTGAGCCACTGTGCCCGGCCTCTATATTTACTCTTACTGTAAATGTCATGAGTCAAAGAAATTCCTCAACTGCACTTGGTCACTTGTTTCAATGTCAAAATATATTTAATGTAATTTTGTCTGAAAGTCTAATTTGACTTTATTTTACTGTCATCTGAACATATTCTCTCTTATTTTCCACTCAATGTGAAGATTAAAGTCTCAATCTCTGTGGACTATACAGTAAAGGAATTAAGCCATATGTAATACTACCTTTTCCAGCCAACAGTAATTATCTTAATCAAATTTAGGATAATATGATATTTGGATGATTTCACATTTAGTTCTAAGTAGTAGTATTTAAGAAAAAAACAGGCTGGGCCCAGTGGCTCATGCCTGTAATCCCAGCACTTTGGGAGGCCAAGGTGAGTGGATCATTTGAGCTCAGGAGTTCGAGACCAACCTAGGCAACATGGTGAAACCCCGTCTCTACAAAAGACACAAAAATTATCCCGGTGTGGTAGTGCAGCCCTGTGGTCCCAGCTGCTCAGGAGGCTGAGGCAGGAGGATAGCTTGAGCCTAGGGTGGTCAAGGCTGCTTTGAGCCAAGATCAGGCCACTCTGTACTCCAGCCTGGGTGACAGAGCCAGACTGACCTTGAAAAAAAAGAAAGAGGAAGGAAAGAAAGAAAGAAGAAAGGAAGGAAGGAAGGGGAGGGAAGGGGAGGGAAGGAAGGGAAGGAAGGAAGGAGACAGAAAGAGAGAGAGGAAGGAAGGAAGGAAAAGAAAGAAAAAGAGAAGAAGGAAGGAACAAAAAGAAAGAGAAAGAAAAGAAAGGAAGGAAAGGAGGGAGGGAGGAAGGGAGGGAAAAGAAAGAGGAAGGAGGGAGGGGAAAAAAAGAAAGAAAAATAAAAGAAAAAAAGTAGGGCTTAGTGGCAGTCCCTGTATTGTTTTCACCTGGCAGGCCGCGTAGTGTGAGGAGAGTGGAGGGGTCTGGCCAGGAGGGGAGACTGAACACACACAAGAGGGATTAGTCCAATAGTGAAACATATTGAAAGTGGTGGGAGTCAGGCTTTTCATTGTTGGAAATGAGCTGCAGGGTGAATGATAAGACAACTAATCTGAACCTTATGGTGTTGGATTGGAATTAAAGGCATTGGTGCAAACTCATGGTTTTGAATATATAGATAAGGGTCGGGTGCAGTGGCTCACACCTGCCTTTAATCCCAACATTTTGGGAGGCCAAGGTCGGAGGATCACTTAAGGCCAGGAGTTTGAGACCAGCCTGGGCAACACAGTGAGGTCCCTTCTTTACAAAAAAATTAAGAATTAGCCAGGTGTGGTGGTGCACACCTGTAGTTCCAGCTACTTGGGAGGCTAAGGTGGGAGGATCGCTTGAGCCCAGGAGGTTGAGGCTGCAGTAAGCCAAGATCGTGCCACTGCATTCCAGCCTGGGTGACAGAATGACACCATGTCTCAAAAAAATTATATAGATAAATAAAGATATAATATATTATACAAATATGTGTCTATATTATGTATAATATGTAGATTTAAATGCAGATGAGTGTGTATAATCCTGGATTATGGGGGGGAGGTCCCCAATGTGGTCACAAGGGCGCTTACACAAAGCAGCCATGAGGAGCAGAATCAGAGAGAGGATAAACGGATGAAAGCAGAGGTCAGAGAGGAGGGAAGGTGCTATGCTGATGGCTTGAAGATAGAGGAGGGGGCCATAGCCCAGGAATGCAGGCGTCCTCCAGAAGCTAGAAGGCAAGGGAACGGCTTCTTCCCTGGTGCCTTTAAGAGGAACACAGGCCTGCCAGTGCCTTGATTTTAACCTAGTGACACCGATGGGGAACGTCTGGCCTCCAGAGTTACAAAATAATACATTTAAGTTGTTTTAACCCGCTAAGGTTATGGTAGTTTGTTATAGCAGCACTAATACAGTATGACACACAATAGGACACTAATGCAAGTGGCAACAAGTAAATGGAGAAAAAAATGATGCAGTTAGAAAAATCACTGTTTGGTCATTAATAAGGCAATAATTAAATCATCCAAAAATATCAATGGAAGCTAAAATCAGTGAGTCAATGTTTGATAAGAAATGGAATATTGAGGCTGGGCACGGTGGTTCACGCCTGTCATCCTAGCACTTTGGGAGGCCGAGGTGGGCGGTTCACCTGAGGTCAGGAGTTCCAGACCAGCCTGGCCAACATGACGAAACCCAGTCTCTACTAAAAATACAAAAATTAGCCGGGCGTGGTGGCGGGCACCTGTAATCCCAGCTACTCGGGAGGCTGAGGAAGGAAGATTGCTTGAACCTGGAAGGTGGAGGTTGCAGTGAACTGAGATCACGCCACTGTACTCCAGCCTGGGCAAGTGAGTAAGACTATCAGAAAGAAAGAGAGAGAGAGAGAAAGAGAGAGAGAGAGAGAGAAAGAGAGAGAGAGGGGGAGGGAGGGAAAGGAAAGAAAAGAAAGAAGAAACAAAGAAAGAAATGGGATATTTAAATAGTCCCACGTTTCCTTACTGATTCCAAAACATTAGTCATGCACAGTGGAGAAATCTGACAAATACCACCTTAATCAAGTTGATCTCAGCAGAAACGGACAAATCAGAATCATTTGCCACCTGATAGAAGGCAGCGAGAAGACAGCCTCTAGATTGAAAGTGAGTAGAGACATGACCAGTGAAAGCAGCGGGAGACCCTGTCCTGGATCCTTTGACTATAAAGGATACGACTGGTGCAATTGGAGAAACTGGGGTGGAATCTGTAGAGTAGGTGGTAGGAAGATTTCATTGTTAATTTCCTGATTTTGCTGGTGGTATGTTTGCTTGTGTAGGAGAATCTCCTTGTTTGTAGGAATTACAAACTAAAGAATTCAGAATGATGGGGCTTTGTGTCAGCATTACTCTCACATGGTTCAGGGAAAAAAAGTCCTACTATTCTTGAAAATTTCAGTATGTTCGTAATTGTTTGAAAATCAACAACAACAAAAGAGGTATAGGCTCCAGGGAAGATTTTGTCTCCTTGCCTTTCCTGGCTTTTGCATTTCTTTACTCAAGGCCCCTTCCTCAATCTTCAAAGCATCTTCGCCTCTCTCTGACCTCTGTGCCCATCCTTACATCTTCTCTCTGACCCTAACTCCACTGCCTCCTTCTTGTAAGTACACTTGTGATTACTTTGGGTTCATTAGGATTATCCCGGGTGCACATTGCTTATTTTTTTAAACAATATATCTTAAGGGTCTTTCCCTGTCAGATCTTTTAAACATAGTTTTCCTTACTATAAATAAACTGTAATTTATCCATTTCTCTATAAATTGTTTCTAATTATTAGCCATTGCAAACCATGTTATGTGGTATATTCCTGCACTTGTATTCTTCTGCATGTGTCAATATTTCTGTTAAGTCAAAGAACAATTGCTGTACGAAGACATGGGACATTTTGTTAGATGGTGACAAATTGTCATCCCAGAAGACTGTACTTTTAGACTCACTCTGGGTGCACTGCCGAGGAGTTAGCTCTGGAGCAACTAAGGAAAAAAAAAAAAACAGAAACAACTATACCTTTAGATTCCTACCAACAGGCAGAGACCATTCACCCATACATTTACTGAAACAGGATAGTATCAGCTTTCAAATGAGTAAAATATGGTATGTTGTCATCATTCTTTTTGCACTAATCTACTAGACTACTAGAGAATTTGAGCATCTTTTTATGTGCATAAGGGCCATGTGTGTTTCTCTGACTATTAGTATCCTTTACACACATCTCTACTTGATGTTTATGTTTTCCTATTTTTATATGCAACGTGGCAGCGAGACATGACAATCGGCAGTCAGCCTTTTAACTAAGGTCTGTGTTCATTTCTGTTGACCCTGAGCTTGGAGTTTCTCTGGGGCTCTGTTTGGGAGAATGGCACGCCTCTGACAATGCCTGTGTTTAGTGGTGGAACTCTCTGCCTTAGTTTCTTCATAAATTGAGGCCATTTGTTTTCAATATTCCAGAAATCTGTACCACCACCCCCACCAAATTCTGCTTTAATGGTGACAGCCTTTCTTCTTTCCCAGCTCTGTGATGGAGAATGGATTGATTCTCTTAAGAACATATGTTGTGTATCCTTTTCATTAGATCTTGGGAGCTAGGGAGGGAGGTAAAGACAAGCACTGACTGTGTCACCCTCAAACAGGAGGCTCACTGCATTTTCCCCTGGTCTCTTGGGTCATTTTCCAGGACAAGTTTTCAAGTACTGTAGTAAAGGAACGGATTGTCACCCTCAAAAGAAAAGTAGCTCCAATACCAAGAAGAGCTCATGGCAATTTGTGCATTTTACAGAAAAGAGGGGAGGTGAAAGTCATTTATTCCTGAAGATTAGAGCTGCTATATACTTACTTGATAAGTGATAATAGACTAAACAATTATTAAAGAAGTATCTTCCCAGCTGCATTTAATTAAATGTGAGCATCCCTAGGCTGCTGATAGAGCATCCGATGTTTCAGTTTCCAAATGGTGGGGAACTTAACATGAGGATTAGCATACCCAAAATCAAAACTAAGGCATATAACTGAGCATACAGGAGCTCAGGAAATAACGTGATGATTAGAATTCACATTATAGTCTATATCTAGAGACTCAGAAAGAGAATCCATTTGAATATACACGAAGTCCTCATTTAATGTCATAGATAGGTTCTTGGAAACTGTAACTTTAAGCAAAACAATGTATAATGAAACCGATGTTTGTCCCTCATCGATATTATAACCAATGTTATTCAAGGACCTGCTGTACACGTTGCTTAAAGTCACAGTTTCAAAGACTCTACCTATGATGTCAAGTGAGGACTTACTGTATAAATGTACTAATTTTTTTCAGAAAGGAGGTTTTGGTGATAACCTCTGAAGGTAATTAGAAACGATGGCTTCCCCTAGAAATGTCTTTCAAAGAGGAGTTAGGAAACCAGAAGGAGCTGTGATGCTGACGTCCCTGAGAGCTGAGTGCAAGTCGGCGATGCTTGGTAGTCATCAGCTCAAGGACAGCTCAAGGGGCAGAGTGTGTCTGAGCAGGGGACGGAGAGATATGAGACAATGACAGCATGTGTGAAAACGACCCCTGTACTTGGTAGGACCGGCCTACATGGGAAGAGACAAGATACAGCAGAGCCCATGCACCCGGGGTGGGGGACAGGGAAGCAAAGCCGCCATGCGACCAGTGAAGGGGGAAAGCCGGCGTCACGGGGCAGCCAGAAGCATGTGTGCAAGGATGCGCTGGAGGGAACAGAGCCGACAGGACGTGTAGAGATTTATATTCAGAGATTTGTGCCAGGGAATTGGCTCACACAGTCCTGTTGGAGGCTCACACAGTGCTGTTGGTGAGCCCACAGTCCGCAGGGTAGGCTGGCAGGCTGGAGACCCAGGAAAGCACTGATGCTGCAGATCAAATCCCAAGACAGTCTGCTGGCAGAATTCCTCCTTCTTCAGGGGAACCTCAGCCAGTTTTCTCATAAAGCCTTCAACTGCTTGTGTGAGGCCCACCCACATTACAGAGGACCATCTACTTTACTCAAAGTCTAGTGACTTAAATGTTCATTTCATCTTTAAAATACCTTTGCACAGCCTGGGAAACATGAGGAAACCCCCTCTACAAAAAATACAAAAACTAGCCGGGCACGGTGATGCTCACCTGTAGTCCCAGCTACTTGGGAGGCCGTGGTGGGAGGATCACTTAAGCCCAGGAGGCAGAGGTTGCAGTGAACCATGTCTGCACCACCACACCTCAGCTTGGGTGACAGAGTGAGACCCTGTCTCAAAAAACAAAAAAGGAAATAAAATAAAAAAACAAACCTTTGCAGCAACAAAGATGTTTGAGGCTGAGTGTGGGGCTCATGCCTGTAATTATAGCACTTTGTGAGGCCAACGAGGGCAGATCACTTGAGGCCAGGAGTTTGAGACCAGCCTGGCCAACATGGTGAAACCCCGTCTCTACTGAAAATACAAAAATTAGCTGGGTGTGGTGGCGGGCGCCTGTAGTCCCAGCTACTAGGGAGGCTGAGGCAGGGGAATCGCTTGAACCCAGTTAGGGGAAGTTGCAGTGAGCTGAGATCGTGCCATTGCACTTCAGCCTGGGTGACAGAGTGAGACTCTGACTCAAAAACAAACAAACACAAACAAACAACAGGGGTGCTTAATCAAACACCTTTGTTGCTGCAAAGGATTGTGTTTGTTTGTTTGTTTGTTTTTAGGCTGGTGTTTGATCAAATATGTGGGTGCCATGACCTACCCAAGTTGACAGCTAAAATTAACCCTCTTCTCCACCCTTTTTCCTGGGTTCCTTTTCAATTGTTCAAGAGGCCTGGGATGAGGCAGATGGCGGAAATTCCCGCAATTCTGCAGATAGTGAAGAAATGCTGTTTGGTTTCTGTTGTTATTGCCTGGGAACTAATCACCCTGCGGGAAAATTAACGTCGTTATTCCATGCCACACCACATGCACATGCCCACTAAGTACATGGACACACCTACACACAGATATCTTCCCAAGTCCTGACAAGTCCCTCCTGTCACGACTGAAGCCCATCACCCTAAGCCTCAGTCCTCAAAGTTCCAGAGGAGAAAGGAGCCATACGTGTGTGTGTGTGTGTGCGTGTGTGTGTGTGTGTGACGGAGTCTCGCTCTATCCCCAGGCTGCAGTGCAGTGGCGTGATCTCAGCTCACTGCAACCTCTGTCTTTCAGGTTAAAGCAGTTCTCATTCCTCAGCCTCCTGAGTAGCTGGGCTTACGGGCGCTCTACCACGCCCAGCTAATTTTTGTATTTTTTTTTTTAGTAGAGATGGGGTTTCGCTATGTTGGCCAGGCTGGTCTCAAATTCCTGACCTCAAGTGATCCCCCTGCCTCGGCCTCCCAAAGTGCTAGGATTACAGGCATGAGCCACTGCACCCAGCCTGTTGTTTTACTTTAAGGAGGAGAAGACAATATCAAAGCTCCCTGTTTTTTCATTTTCTAGAAGAGAGCAAAGATTGATTCTTCCACAAACCTCTGAGCTTTGCATTTCTTTGGAATGAGACTATGTGTTTCTGAGGAAGAAAAACGTGTTTGTGAGATCAAAAGTTTGTCTTGGCGTCTCCCAGCAAAAGAGCAACCGTGTGTCATGGAGAGGCTGTTTGAGAGGAGGACAAAGTGTTCTGCAGAGTACTCTCCTGGCTTTGAAGGGATCCCAGAACTGGGCCATTATAATAAGTGCAGAGGCTGTTCAGGAATCAGGCGGGTCTGGATTCTGAGGCTGGTTCTGCACAAGCTGATCATGTGACCTCCGGCAAATGTCTTTCTTGTTCCGCCCCTCGAAATGGAGATAATAGCACATGCCTGTCTCCCAGAGTCACTGTGCTCATCAATTTTGATAATAGATATGAATGTGCAAAGTGCTATGTCAATGTGAACAACTATCACTTCTTTGAACACAGTCAGTTGATTTTATGGGTAACAATTTTGAGATGGAGAGACTAAGGTTTCAGTCCTTTATCTGAGAATTTTTATCTTTTATTACTAGGTAGTAGGAACCCTGTAACTAAAGCTTGCTAAGTCTGTGGAAAGAGGGAGTGTTTGGGGGCCAGTTTGCTATAAATGTTATGAACTATGGAAATGTCAATTGCAATTTTTATTTTTCCTTCAAATCTGAAACCAGATGAGTCATGGGGATACTGAGGGGTTGCAATTATATCTAGCCAGCATTCCTTCCCTTTGGGAAAACTCCCTTCTCCATCCCATGTGACTCTGGTGAAGCTGTCAATCATTTGACTCCTCTTTCCCCAATGCACATGAGCGTGTGACTCAGGCTGGCCAATCAGAATGCCTGCCTCCCTTGACACAGTCCAGGCGTGGTCACATGACCCAAGCTGATTCCTGAGTTCCTTATGGGACTGATATAAATGCTGGGGAAGAGAGATCCCCTCTCTCTTTGGGATTTTGAGTGTGTTGTCTTTGGCAGCTCACTCAAGCAAATAAGCATGTAGAGGATGGAATAAGTGTCCCTCTGAAATCTAGTCCACCCAGAACCTCAGGGTCTGACCTTATTTGGAAATAGAGTCTTTGCAGATGTAATTAGTTGAGGATCTTGAGATGAACTCTTCCTGGATTTAGGGTGAGCTCTATATACAATGACTGGTGTCCTTAAAAAAAAAAGAGAGGCCGCAGAGATTGGAGTGATGTGCCTACAACCAGGGAGTGCCAAGGATTGCTGGCAACACCAGAAGGAAGCTAGGGGAGACACTTGGGGCAGTTTCTCCTCAACAGCCCCCAGAAGGAACCAATCCTGCCCACACCTTGATTTTTTTTTTTTTTTTTTTTTTTTTGAGACAGAGTTTCACTCTTTCGCCCAGGCTGGAGTGAAGTGGCGTGATCTCGGCTCACTGCAACCTCCGCCCTCCAGGTTCAAGTGATTCTCCTGCCTCAGTCTCCTGAGTAGCTGGGATTATAGGTGCCCGCCACCACACCCAGCTAATTTTTGTATTTTTAGTAGAGACGGGGTTTCGCCATGTTGGCCAGGCTGGTCTCAAACTCCTGACCTCAGGTGATCCACCCGCCTCAGCCTCCCAAAGTGCTAGGAAGACAGGCGTGAGCCAACACCTTGATTTTGGATTTCTGGCCTCCTAAACTGTGAGAGAATCCAGTTCTAGTGTTTGAAGGCACTCAGGGGTGGCGGTAGTTTTTATAGCAGCCCCAGTGTTTCACGGGAACTCCAGGAAGAGTTGATGGCAACGGGCCCCAGAAAAGGCAGAAAAGGCGGGAAGCAGAAAAGCCCCAGAAGCCCAGCAGGGCACTGTGGACCTTGAGTCTCATGCTCTTCTAAGTGACGCAGTTCCCAACTCTTTCAGGCTCAATCTCTCAATTCAAATAAAACAAGAAAAAAGTCTGACTCAGCTTATGTCAGATACCTTCTCTTGGTCAAATCACTGTCCCCAAAAGAAAGTCATGTACCAAAGTTAAACTTGTCAGGACCCACTACTTGTGGATAGAGAAATAGTTCTCAGAAAAGCAGGTCTGCAGGAGTTCGGTATTTCTAAACTCATCTACTGCACACCTATTAAGTACTAGAAGATTGAGATAGACAAGTAGCTTCTAAATCTGCCTGATCATCATAATCCCCACAGGAACTTTTACAATTGTTACTGGGCCTATTCCAGATTTACCTAGGGGAATCTTTAGAAATCTGGCCTGGGATTTTTTTTTTTTTTTTTTTTTTTTTTCAAAAACTCATAGGTGATTATGATGATGAACTAGTGGAAATACTAGGCCAGGGAATGCCTTAGTCAGTTCAAGCTGCTATACCAAAGTACCATAGACTGGGTGGCTTGTAAGCAACAAATAAGTATTTCTCACCATTCTGGAGGCTGGAAGTCCGAGATCAAGGTGCCAACGTGGCTGGGTTCCTATGAGGGGTCTGTTGGGGTGCAGGCTGCCAACTTCTCATTGTATCCTCACTTGGCAGAAAGAGGGCGAGGGAGCTCTCTGGGGTCTCTTTCATAAGGGTACTAATGCCATTCATAAGGGCTGCACCCTCATAACCTGATCACCTCCCAGAGACCCTACCTCCAAACACCATCACACTGGGGGCTAGGATTTTAATATATGAATTTTTGGGAACACAACACACAGTCCATAAGAAGAGTTACATAAGATTTCTGGTTAAGTAAGATTAATGGGAGGTGTGACTTGAGCTGAGTCTTAAAGGAAGCATAGATCTTTGTTTGCACAGAGCAACAAATTCCTAGCAGATCCTTCAAAAGATTCTAGGAGTCCTCACAAATTAAACTGAACTCCTCATAAATTAAACTGAAATACATAAAAATGGCTGCAAATGAAACAAGTGGATGTGTAAGAAAGATTGTTAGTTTTTGCGACCTGATTTTCCTGTATGGGTTTGTCTTTGAATTTATTACTTAGCATTATGTCATGATGAGTTTAATGAATCAGCCAATTTTATCCCTGTTTCAAGGAAAACTGTGTAATAACCTGAAAGGAATCAGGGCGCACACGCCCTGGAATTCAAAGGCTTTAATGGAACACAGTGAACTCCATCCTGTACCATCTGAATTTGAATCGACAATTTATAATGGAAATACTGACATTCCACCAGCAACCAGGAACATAATTTATTTCAATATCTCTGCCAAAAATCACTTCTTAATTTCTGATTTGGAAAGATTTTCATTCTTCAAGCAAGGGTTTGGTACTTATCTGTATATATTACTATACTGCTAGTGATACAGGACGGGGGGGCAGGAAAGTGCTGGGTAGAAAAGGGCAGGGTCCCTGGCGAGAGCTCCACCCTTGGGCTTGTGCCCACAGATCTAAGTGAGAACAGGCGCTCCTGTTTTGATTTTGTGCCCAAATGTTGCATTTTCTAAGACCTCTCTGGCCTGACACGTGCCCCCAGCCTGTGTCCATATAAGCCCAAGACCTTAGCAGGCACAGACACAAGTGGCTAGGCATGGAGAGGAGCAGAGGAGCACACCAGCAGACACCGGCAGACCAGGGATGGCAGAACTAGGTGGACACCGAGGGGAGTTTGGCTGGGGGGCGCTGGGCGTCCTAACTCCAGGGGAAGACCACCTTCCCACTCCATCTCCCTTTCGGCTCCCCACCCATCTCACTGAAAGCCACTTCCACCACTCAATAAAACCTTGCACTCATCCTTTGAGCTCACGTGTGATACAATTTTTCCAGTACACTGGGTAAGAACTCAGGATACAGGACACCCTCTGCCCTTGCAGTAAGGCAGAGGGTCTATCCAGCTGATTAACACAAGCCATCAGCAGACAGCAAAGCTGAAGGAGCACACTGTAACACACGCCCACTTGGGCTTCACTGCCTTGGGGGTCAGAGCCCAAAAACGCTCCCCACGACCTCTGCACCTGCCCATCTGCATGCTCCCCTAGGGGTCTGAGCAGCAGGGCACGGAAGAAGCCAGCCACACGCCCTGCAAGGGAGATAAGGGAACTCTCCCATTTCAATAGGTGTACTGAAAGCCTAGATATGTTCTTCCTAAATATTCCTATTCCAGAAAGTGGAGTTCTGGAATACAAATGCACTCACGCACTCTCATACACACACTCACACACACATGCACACACACATACTCACATACACACACACCCCGCTTCCCAAGGTCTTCATTTAGAATGAAGACCACTTCTAGCCAATCTTGCCTCTATTTAATACTTATTAAATTACTTGCTGTGAATAATATGGAATTTAAGATTTTGTAAAATAGAGAGCCTTAAAAGCCCTTGGGAACTTAACCTGTAGGGAAGAAAGGAGTTAGAATATTATCTTACAATGGAGTGAGCCACGGAGTGAATAGTGAGCAAACACTTTCGAATCGCTTACTATGTGCCAGGTACTATTTTAAGTGCTTCTGTTAACTTGCTTAATCCTCACAACAAGCTTATTAGGGAGGTTTTATTATTATCGCCATTTAACGGACGAGGAAACTGTGATTCATGGAGATTACTTAAGGCACCCAAGTCACACAGCTCCTAAGTCATGGTGCTTGAGTTCATACCTAAGCCCTTTGGCTCTGAAATATATTTGGCTGGGTGCAGTGGCTCATGCCTGTAATCCCAGCACTTTGGGAGGCCGAGGTGGGTGGATCATGAGGTCAGGAGTTCGAGACCAGCCTGAGCACCATAGTGAAACCTCGTCTCTACTAAAAATACAAAAATTGAACTGGCGTGGCGGTGGGTGCCTGTAATCCCAGCTACTCAGGAGGCTGAGGCAGGAGAATCGCTTGAACCTGGGAGGCGGAGCTTGCAGTGAGCCGAGATCACGCCTCTGCACTCCAGCCTGGGCAACAGAGCAAGACTCCATCTCAAAAAAATAAAAAAATAAAAATAATAATAATACGTATATATTTATATATTTTATATATATATGTCCTTTGTCTCAGATTTCTGCAACAAAGCTCTTAAAACCCTTGGAATTTCCTGAACGATAGGAGTGGCTTTTGTCTGTGTTAAAAAGTCCCTTTCTAGAACCTTTAAGTTGTGCTAATGACGTGACTTAGGGTGGGGCCCCTAAATAGCCTTAGGATGGGATTGGTAACCAGAAACACCAAGTGATTAGAAGGTTGTAACTTTCATCCCCACTCACTGGAAAACAGCTCTCTGAAGACCCTTGAACAAGAGTTGATGAACTTCCAGGTTGCTGAGCTCATGGAGGTGCTGGGATGGTGGCCTGCCCCAGAGGGCGTGGAAGCTCCATGCACCCCCACCCCATACCTTGACCTATGCATCTCTTCTGTCTGGCTGTTTCTGAGTTGTACCCTTTATAATAAAGCAGTAAACATAAGTAAAGAGTTTCCCTGAATTCTGTGAGCTGTTCTACCAAATTGTCAAAACTGAAGACGGGATCCTGGGAATCCCTGAGTTACAGCTGGCAACATGGTGAAACCCCGTGCCTACTAAAAATACAAAACTTACCTGGACATCGTGGCACACGGCTGTAGTCCCAGCTACTAGGGAGGTTGAGGCACGAGAATCACTTGAACCCAGGAGGCGGAGGCTGCAGTGAGCCGAGATCACACCACTGCACTCCAGCCTGGGCAACAGAGTGAGACCCTGTCTCAAAAAAAAAAAAAAGCAGAAATTTATTGAAAACAAAAGTACAGTCTACAGTGTGGGAGCGGGCCGGAGCATAGAGGCTCAAGAGTCCTGTTACAGAATTTTCTGGGGTTTAAATACCCTCGAGAGGTTTCCATTGGTTACTTACTGTATGCCCTTTGCAAATGAAGGGGATGAAGTAAAGTTATAAAGTCATTTACTCGGTGTACGCCCTATGTAAATGAAGAGGACATTTCCTATCCTACTGAAGTGTTTCCGTTTGATTTAGTTGTAGGAAATCCTTAGGTTCCCTGCCTCATTGGGACAAAAGAAAGATCAAAGGAAACAGAAAAAGAGTCAGAGATAAAATAACTCTAGGAGCAGCGGCTCACACCCGTCATCCCAGCAGTTTGGGAGGCCGAGGCAGGTGGATCACCTGAGGTCGGGAGTTCGAGACCAGCCTGACCGACATGGAGAAACCCCATCTCTACTAAAGATACAAAATTAGCCGGCATGGTGGCACATGCCTGTAGTCCCAGCTACTTGGAAGGCTGAGGCAGAAGAATCGCTTGAACCTCGAAGGCAGAGGTTGTGGTGAGCTGAGATCAAGCCATTGCACTCCAGCCTGGGCAACAAGAGTGAAACCCTGTTTCAAAAAAAAAAAAAAAAAGAACTCTGCCACCACTGTGTCAGAGAAACCACAAGAACAATACATGTCAGGCAGCAGATGCTTTCCAGACTTCAAGACGAAGAAGGTCCACGTGAATGTCTTACTGGACTTTGGGGATCTTTTTTTTTTTCTTTTTTTTGAGATGGAGTCTCACTCTGTTGCCAGGCTGGAGTGCAGTGGTGCGATCTCGGCTCACTGCAGTCTCCACCTCCTGGGTTCAAGGGATTCCTCTGCCTCAGCCTCCCAAGTAGCTAGGACTACAGGCAAGCACCACCACGCCAGCTAATTTTTTGTATTTTAGTAGAGACAGAGTTTCACCATGTTGGCCAGGATGGTCTTGATCTGACCTCATGATCTGCCCACCTAGGCCTCCCAAAGTGCTGGGATTACCGGCGTGAGCCACCAAGCCCGGCGGGGAATTTGGGGATCTTTAACGGCCTTTCAGGAATACAGGTACTGAAGGGGACCAAAGTCAGGATCCAGAGTATGGAGGATTTAAGTGAGAACCGGCAGTAGGGAAGCAGAGACGGCAATTATGGAAAACTTGTCTTTTAGAAATTTTGCTGTAAATGATGGAAACAATTAGCAAAGCATAAAGTCTTTGTATGTTTGCTCATATGAATAGGAAAAACATAGTAGGTGCTCAGTGAATTCACAAATGAATAAAGATAATAACTAACATTTATTTCGTGCTTTCTGGGTGTCAGGTATTAGCCTGAGCACTTAAAGTGATTTAACTCATTTATTATTTCCAACAATCCTATATGAAGTAGTGTTATCGCCAGCATCCCATTTATACTAAGGAAACTAAGGCACAGAAGGTTTAGGTCACGTGCCCAAGTTTGTTTTCAAGGTTCATACTACTGCCTTTAATGATAGGTTTGAAGATCAGAGACAAAACTTTTAAAGGGTTTTATTTTTTAAAATAAATCTATAGTAAATTACATTAATCTTCATTAATGATTTCATCTATTTTCCAAGGAATGGTTATGACAATGAAAACAGGAATAAACCCATGCAGATTTATGAGATTAAAGAGTATCTTTTTTTTTTTAATTTTTTGAGACAGGGTCTCTCTTTGTCACCCAGGCTGGAGTGCAGTGAAGTGATCTTGGCTCACTGCAGTCTCCACCTCTGGGTTCAAGTGATTCTCCTGCCTCAGCTTCCCATGTAGCTGGGATTGCAGGCATGCGCCACTGTGCCTGGCTACTTTTTGTATTTTTTTTTTGAGGCAGGGTCTCACTGTGTTGCCCAGGGTGGAGTGCAGTGTCATAATCTCGGCTCACTGAAACCTCTGCTTCCCGGTTTCAAGTGATTCTTGTGCCTCAACCGCCCAAGTAACTGAGATTACAGGCTCATGCCACCACACCCAGCTAATTTTTGTATTTTTAGTAAAGATGGGGTTTTGCCATCTTGGCCAAACTGGTCCTGACTTTGAGTGATCTGCCTGCCTCGGCCTCCCAAAGTGCTGGGATTACAGGCATGAACCACTGTGCCCAGCTAAAGAGCATTATTAAAACAACTCTCTTCCTCCCCTGTGTATCCACAGCACCCAGCCCCATGTACTATGTGCATAATGGGATCATAAATATTTGTTGAAGAATAAATCAATAACTCCAAGCCATAAATTATTATTATCAGATTGGTAATATTTATTAATGTGAACATAATTTTTAATGATGATAAAAAGACACAGTGAAAGAAAAAGTAGCTATTTTAGAAAAGTGTATTCCATATCCTCTTTAGTTTTTCATATAAAGATTGCTTCTTTTATAAAACTTTCAAGCCCCAATTAAGTTTCTTTCCTTTTCCTCTCCTTGAGAGTTCTTAGAAAAAAAAAAATAGAGTTCTTAGGGGTTTTGTTGTTGTTGGTTTGGTTTTCTGTGGTAGTTTTTTGTTTTAATGATCTATGTTGCTGAAACAGCAGAGGGAGCTAAAATGAATGAGCTGAGGTTGCTGCCGTCATCATCAATGCTTCCAACGCACAAGGATTTGAAAACCAGACACATCACCTTTCCATTCCACCTGAAACATGATTTGAACAGAGAGTAGGGGGGCACCCCTCACCTAGAAGGTAAGAGGGTCATAGTACTTAAGATTAGGGGATAGACCTGAAACACTGCGTTCACGTGTTGAGAAAGCCTAACTCATCCAAGAACACATTCCAGAGGAGGCCGGAGGGATCAGCGACTCTGGCTACTAGGCCTGCAAATCCACATACTAAGTCTCAGCCCTCTGGAAGAGAAGTCAGGCCCAGAGGCCTCTGTAGAGTGACATGTCACCTCCAGCAGATGCAGGCCTTTTTGGAAATGGTCAAGTTGGGAAGAGAGTTCTTTGACTACAGCAGATCTCTTTTAACTGCCACACATAATCCATTTCCATGTCATGTAAATTTGGGAGTAAATTTACCTATTTGTCCCATCTGTTTTATTATTATTATTATTATTATTATTATTGTTATTTTTTGAGACAGAGTCTTGCTTTGTCGCCCAGGCTGGAGTGCAGTGGCATGATCTCAGCTCACTGCAATCTCCACCTCCCGGGTTCAAGCAATTCTCCTGCCTCAGCCTGCCAAGTTGCCACCATGCCCAGCTAATTTTTTGTATTTTCAGTAGAAATGGGGTTTTGCTGTGTTGGCCAGGCTGGTTTTGAACTCCTGACGTCAGGTGATCCACCCACCTCAGCCTCCCAAAGTGCTAGGATTACAGACGTGAGCCACCGCGCCCCGCCTATTATATATTTTTGTGTTGGTTAAAGAGGAGGTTGAAATTATGTTTTATGTCATTCACTTTAAGAAACAATATGACTGTATGATATGTTTTAGAGGGATTTCCTTCAAAATTGATAAAAATTAACATGTCAGAGCTTAAAATAAGCTTCAGCTATTTGGAGAATTATGGTGTGTGCACCATCTCATCTCTGATGATGATGCTGAATCAATGAGATGTGGCTCTCTGCTTACTAGTCTTACTTCTCTACTTACTAGTTCATATCCCTGTCTCCTAAAAGGAACATGACCAAAGTCACACAGTGAGTCTCTGGTGGAGTAGGTGCTAGATCTTCAGTGTTTTGATTTTCCATTGACTGCTCCAGACACTAAACAATCCAGGAGTGTACCTGAGCCTTTTCGTCTGCTCCATCTGAGAGTTATCAGCATTCTGTGTCAGTGCATGGCTGCAATGCAGAAGGTGGCAGTGCATTCACTCTTATTAATATGCTGAAAATATTTGCTTCCTGACATCTGTCATTTTGCATAACTGTGAACACAAACCATAGACACCATCTGGGATGTCAGGGCAAAGGGAAGTGTGGCTGTTTGAAATTCCTTTCCAATTTAATTTCACAGTTTTAAAGAGCCCTGTTTTTCTTCCATGATAATTATAGGGAAAATAATTAACTATTATCCTCTGAGTGATAAAATTACTACAAATTAAGAAACAGTTATGAATATAATTTACAAATAATTATGTGATAGCAGTATGAAAGTGCAAGACTAATGGAACAAAATTAATTAAAGCTATTGAGAGATAATCTTTTCTATTTATTTGTTTTGGTTCCTCGAGGGCAGACTGTCCCAAAATGACTTACAACAGCTACAATTATAATTCAGAGGGATATCTGAAGAATGTGCTCACAAGTGTGTATGGTAAATATGTTGGGTTTCATTGCCAGTGGCACACAGCTAGAAGTCTCAGCAGGACCTCCAGAGAAACAGAGCTGTCTTAATACAAAGTGTTAAAACAATTGAAATGAACATGAAGCATAGGTGTGAATATGATGATATTCATTCACTAGACCAGTAGTTCCTTGTTGGGAGTTTTTGATTTTTGAGACAGAGTCGCACTCTGTTGCCCAGGCTGGAGTGCAGTGGTGCAATCTTAGCTCACTGCAATCTCTGCCTCCCAGGTTCAAGTGATTCTCCTGCCTCAGCCTCCAAAGTAGCTAGCACTATAGGCACGAACCACCATGCCCAGCTAATCTTTTGTATTTTAGTAGAGGCAGGGTTTCACCATGTTGGCCAGGCTGATCTTGAATTCCTGACCTCAAGTGATCCACCCGCCTCAGCCTCCCAAGGGGTTGGGATTATAGTCATGAGCTACCATACCCAGCCACCTTACTGGGAGTTGATGTCAGCAAAAATAGCGAAGTGAGGACCTCTGAAAATTCTTTCTTCCATAGAAAGCAATGAGAAAATGGCAAAAATGGTCAGAATCAACTTTTCTCAGAACTCTGAAAATTAAAGTCTTGTCACAATCCAGGGAGAATTTACTCAAGAAAAATGGCTGAATCTTGGTAAGAACAACTAGCTTTATGGCATTTTCACTCGCCCCATCTCCATTCCCTTTTCTCTGACTTTATGTTAGCCTTGAAAACAGCCTCCCAATCACAGTGAAAACCAGCAGCTTGGCAGCCACCAGAGGGGGCAAAATGGGCTAGGGTTCTTCAAGGCCTTATTCCTTGAGAATTGTCATTATTTCACCTGTTGCGTAGTTCCCTGAGAGACCCTACTAACAAGACTGTCTTTGTTTGACCTGACTCTGAGCTCACCTGGTACCAAAGCCTTTCCTTGGGGACATTTGTCAAAAACACTTAAAAGACATTGTTTAACTTTGCAGCCTCCCAAAGCAGTGGATAACAGTTGGGGCAAATAATAGACTAGCCAAAAAATTTAAAAGGAAAAGCTGGAGAGTGGGATGTCCATGGGGCTTTGAAAAGCTCCTGCATATTCCTGGGAATCTACAAGGCCACATTGGGCTGTGTGCATGCCCAGCATTGTCTGCATGCTCAAGAAAGACCTGAGAAGGCCCTGAGCTCTGACCTCTGCTGACCTTGAACCTCTGCACAGTGAGGAAGTGAAAGCTAAGATAGAGTTGTCAGCTGCCTGGCTGAGTCCTAAAGGTGTGCCCAATGTACACAGATGGCCCACTGGCAAAGACCAAGAGGCTTATTGGTTCCAGGTGTTTAAGGAAATCTCTCTGTAATCATTAGCTGACTACTAAGCTGACTACTAAGCAGGAATTTCAGTGGCTACACACAACAAAGAACACAAAGAATTCATTCAGAGAAGTCACTGAACAAACAAAAATACACACAAAAGCAGTAATAGCAAACTCTGGGGAATGGGGAGAATCTGATTTTGAGAATTGCCATACTGTATTATTTGAAATGTAGTTTTCAACAAACATTGTGAGACATGCTATCTTAGTCCATGTTGTCATTGTTTGCTGCTATAACAGAATATTTGAGACTAGGTGACTAATAATGAACAGAAATGTATTTGGCTAATGGTTTTAGAGGCTGGGAGGTCCAAGAGCATGGTGCTAGCATCTGGTAAGGGACTTTATACTGTGTCATCCTGTGGTGGAAGGCAGAAGGGCAAGAGAGAGTGAGAATAAGAGAGCAAGAGGGGGCCAAACTCACTTTTATAACAAACCCACTTTCATAATAACTGACCCATTCCTGTTACAATGATGTTAATCCATTCATGAGGGCAAAGTCATATGACCTAATCACTTCTTAAAGTTCCCACCTCTCAACACTGTTGCATGGGAGATTAAGTTTCCAACACATAAATTTTGGGGGACACATTCAAACCATAGCACATGCCAAGAAACAAGAAATTATGACCCATGTGCAGGAAGGAAGCAATCAATGAAACTGTCCCACAGTAAGCCCAGATGTTTAAATTACTAAAAACACTTTAAGTCAGCTATTTAAAATATGCCTTCAAAAACTAAAGGAAACTATGTCTAAAGAACTAAAGGAAAGTATAAGAGTGATGTCTCACTAAATAGAGAATATCAATAGATATAAATTACTTTTTTAAAAGAAGCAAATAGAAATTCTGGAGGTAAAATTTACAATAACTAAAATGAAAAAGCCATTAGATTGTTTCAACAGCAAATTTGAGACAGAAGGAAGAATCACCAAACTGAAGATTGGTTAGTTGAGATTATCCAGTCTAAGAAACAGAAAAAAGAATGAAGAAAAATGAAAAGAACTTCAGTGATATGTAGAACACCATCAAGCATACCAACATATACATAATAGGAATCCCAGAAGGTAAGGAGAGAGAGAAAGGGGAGTAATAATTATTTGAAGACATATGGCTGAAAACTTCCCAAATCTGGTGAAAAACATTTATTTATGTATGTATTTAAGAAGCTTAATGAACCCTAAGTAGAATAAACTCAAAGGGATGCACACTTAGACACATGATAAACATCAAAACTAAAGATAGAGAATCTTAAAAATAAGAAAGAAGCAACTTATGACATCCAAGAATTTCTCAATAAAATTAAGAGCTGATTTATCATCAAAATCTATGGATAGTAGAGAGAGTAGGATGTTATATTCAAAGCACTGAAAGAAAAAGACTCATCTAAGAATTTTATATCTAACAAAACTCCTTCAGAAGCCAGGAATTCAGCAAAACTGTCCTTCAAAAATGAAGGAGAAATAAAATATTCCCAGATTTTAGAAACAGAGAGAATGCATTGCTAGCAATCTACCCTACTGGAAATACTAAAGGGAGTTCTTCAGGCTTAGATTAAAGCACCCTAGACAGTAATTCAAATCTATATGAAGAAGAAAGGTGCACCAGTAGAGGTGACTACACAGGTAAATGTAAATAACAGTATAATTATGTTTTCACATGTAACTCTTTTCTATATGATTTTTTGTTTCACCTTTCTTCCTTTTTTTTCTTTTATTTATTTATTTATTTTTTTGAGACAGAGTCTTGCTCTGTTGCCCAGGAGGCTGGAGTGCAGTGGTGTGAACTGGGCTCACTGCAATCTCGGCTCACTGCCACCTCTGCCTCTGGGTTCAATGGATTCTCCTGCTTCAGCCTCCTGAGTGGCTAGGATTACAGGTGCACACCATCACACCCAGCTATTTTTTTTGTATTTTTAGAAGTGACAGGGTTTCGCCATGTTGACCAGGCTGGCCTCTAACTACTGACCTCAAGTGATCCACTGGCCTCAGCCTCCCAAAGTGCTGCAATTACAGGTATGAGCCACCACGCCCAGCCGGTCCTATATGATTTAAAAGACAACTGCACGTGACAATAATTGTAAATTTATGTTGATGGATATAACCTATATAAGACGTTACCTGTACGACAATGATAGCACAAAAAAGAGGAGTGAATGGAGTTATACAGAGCAACAGTTTTGTATATAATTTCAATTAAGCTGATATAATTCAAACTAGATTTTTATAAACTAAGATGTTCATTGCAATCCTCAGGGTAACAAGTAAGAAAATAACTAAAAAAATACAGGAAAGAAATCAGTAAAATGATACACTAGAAAATCTCTAACACAGAAGAAAGCAATAATGGAGGCATAGAACAACAAAAAGACATAGAAAACAAATAGCAAATTGTAGATATAAATATAATTACTTTATCAATAATTACACTAAATGTAAATGCATTAAGCCCTTCAACTAAAACTCAGAGTTTGGCAGATTGGCTAAAGCAGTCTTTCCCAGTACTCATCAAGTAAGCTGTAATGCCCTCTAATACAGCGGTTTTCAACCCTGATGGCACATTAGAGTCACTTGGAAGCCTTAAACTAAACTTAAATTTCCAGAACCAATTAAATCAGAACCTCTGGGGGCGAGACCCAAATGTTAGTATTTTTAAAGTCTCCCAGGTATTTCCAACATGCAGGCAAATTTGAAAACCACATATATAATATGTGTTTCCCTGGGTCACACTAATTGTAGGGCACAGTGGAGTCAGTGTCAGAATCAGAACAGTAGCCCCTGATTTGCTGTATGTATCATTGTACTGTTGGACATTTCTGGGTTCAGGAAGGCTGTGGAGTGTATTTTCACATGGGTGTTTTATGAAGGCATTCTTTATCCTCTCTCACTAGCACTGCTGGAATACATCTTCCCCAGACTATACCATCTCCTCTCTCTCCACCTCTAGTGTTTTACTCTGGTGAGGTTCTAAAGCTGTCTTGCCTTTACTGGCAGTTTTGTGTAGAAATTTTTGTATAAAAATGCAAATCCTTATGTAACTAACTCCTTTTTGTACTTGTTACAAGTAAATATTTTGGAGTCAGAATGCCTATGTTTGAATTCCTTTTCTACAATTTAATGACTGGGCATCCCTCTTCTGGCAGCCTATTTAATCTCTCTGTGTCTCCACTTTTTTATTTGTACAGGGGAGATAAGGAAAATTACTGCATTTTATGATTGTTATGAGAATGAAATGAGATAAAACACATAAAAGCTTAGCGCAATGCCAAGCCCATATTAAGCACACACTGTAAATGAAGGCAGTGGTGGTAGTGATTACAGCCTCATTTTCCTAAGACTCCAAGACATCTGAAGGAAGCTGAACAGAAACTAATCTGTTCTCAGACCCATTCATCTTTAACCTGGCACCTTGGATCTTGCCTAAGCTTATGCACAAATCTCTTCCTCCTCTGTTTGGGCTCCTTTTGCATCTACACCAGTCCCTGTTAGAAGGAATGACCCTCATCAGTAGCGAGCTTAGGGATCTTAGTACTAGATCCCCTAGTCTCAAAGACTCTCACAGGCTTTGGTCACTGGGCCATGAGTCACCTGAGTCTCTTATAAAAATAGGTGGGAAGTGTGGCCTGCTCTGCCATTTCTCAGTCATGCTCATTCTGGTGTAAACTCACTCTGAGACTGCAGTTTAGGCACTCACTCTGGGGGTCTTGTCACAACCCTCTACTTTCTCCATTTGATCTTAGAGGCCATACAAATGTGCAAGAATCAACATCCTTCCTAAAATATCATATGTTTTTGGATTACAGTCATTAAAATTTATTTATTTTCAAACATTTGGGAGTTTTAGGATGCTCTTTGTGGGAATACAACAATACAGCTTCAAATCCTTAAAAAGAATTCAAAATGATTTCATGCATCAGGTCTTAAAAAAAAACAAAAATTTTCTTTATAGTTTTTTCCAGGATGGTCTTAGTTATTATACCTTTCTGAAGTAAAATATGAAATGTTTGCAGTTATGATTTATTATTTTCTTCTTTAAAACTTTTTACTTGTTATGTTTTTGGAAATATAGACTTTTTAAAAATTAGATTTATTGATCTAAAATCTACATACAGAAAATTTCACCTTTGTGAAAACCTGATATTCCATGGTATGGGTGTGCTACAGTTTATTTATCCACTCACCTACTAAAGGACATTTTGGTTGCTTTCCAGCTTGGGCAGTTATGAATAAAGTTGTTATAAACATCTATGTGTAGATTTTATTTTTTGTGTGTGATGGAGTCTTGCTCTGTCGCCCTGGCTGGAGTGCAGTGCTGTGATCTCCACTCACTGCAACCTCCGCCTCCCTGGTTCAAGCAATTCTCATGCCTCAGCCTCCTGAGTAACTGGGATTACAGGCTCCCGTCACCATGCCAGGCTAATTTTTGTATTTTTAGTAGAAGAGACAGGGTTTCACTATGTTGGCCAGGCTGGTCTTGAACTCCTGACCTCAGGTGATCCACCCACCTCAGCCTCCCAGAGTGCTGGGATTACAGGCATGAGCCACCGTGCCTGGCCTCTATGTGTAGATTTTTGTGTGGACATAAGCTTCAACTCATTTAGGTAAATACCAAGGAGCATGATTGCTGAATCATATGGTAAAAGTGTGTTTCATTTTGCAAGAAACTGCCAAACTGTCTTCCAACGTGGCTGTACCATTTTGCATTCCCACCAGCAATGAATGAGAGTTCCTGTTGCTCCACATCCTTGTCAGCATTTGGTATTGTCAGTGTTTTAGATTTTTGCCTCACACTCCAGGTGTGTAGTGGCATCTCGTTGTTTTAATTTGCAGTTCTCCAGTGACATACGATGTTGATCATCCTTTGATATGCTTATTTTGCCATCTGTGTATCTTTTTTTTTTTTTTTGTCATGTGTCTGTTTAGGTCTTTTGCTTATTTTTGCCCCCTTTTAATTAGGCTAATTTTTTAGAGCAGTTTTAGGTTTACAGTATGTATGTGTCTCTTCAGATTGCCTTTTTTTCACTTGGTAACATGGATTTAAGCTTCCTCCACATCATTTCATGCCTTGATAGCTCATTTCTTTTTAATCCTGAATAATATTCCATTGTCTGTCATAACTTTATGTATTAATAATATGATAAATAATAATACTTTAACTTTTGTTTCTTTTTTTGAGACAAGGTCTCGCTCTGTCTCCCAGGCTAGAGTGCAGTGGTGTGATCTCAGCTCACTGCAACCTCCATCTCCTGTGTTCAAGCTGTTCTCCTGCCTCAGCCTCCCAAGTAGCTGGGATTATAGGCATGTACCACCATGCTTGGCTAATTTTTGAGTAATACTTTAACTTTTATTTTGAGAAGGACAAAACTTTCTGGGGCTAAGAATATTTATGAGCTGTGACAGCTTTGGGAAAAATTTCTGGCAAATTATTTTGAAATCCACATTTTAGCACATCTAGAGATGATTTTCACAGAATGATTTTTCTAAAAAAGATTAACCTCTTCATACAAATCAGTTTTGTTTAAATCTGAATGTGATTTTAAATGTAAATGTAGGGGCTAGACTCGGTGGCTCACGCCTGTAATCCCAGCATTTTTGGAGGCCAAGGCAGGTGGATCACAAGGTCAAGAGATAGATACCATCCTGGCTAACATGGTGAAACCCTGTCTCTACTAAAAATACAAAAATTAGCAGGGTGTGGTGGCAGGTGCCTGTAGTCCCAGCTACTCAGGAGGCTGAGGCAGGAGAATCACTTGAACCCGGGAGGCGGAGGTTGCAGTGAGCCGAGATCACGCCACTGCACTCCAGCCTGGCGACAGAGCAAGACTCTGTCTCAAAAAAAAAAAAAAAAAAAAAAAAAAATTAATTTTGACTAGGCACGTTGGCTCACGTCTGTAATCCCAGTGCTTTGGGAGGCTGAGGCAGGAAGATTACTTTAGGCCAGGAGTTCAAGACCAGCCTGGGCAACACAGGGAGACCCCATCTCTATAATAGATTTAAAAAATTAGCTGAGCGTGGTGATGCACTCCTGTGGTCCCAGATACTTGGGAGGCTGAGGCAGATGGATCACTTGAGCCTAGGAGGTAGAGGCTGCAATGATCCATGACTGTGCCACTACACTCCAGTCTGGGCGTCACAGCAAGATCCCATCTCAAAAACACAAAGCAAACAAATGTAAATTTACACACTGGCATTTTAAGGTTTTTCTCTGACATTTCCTCTAACTTGTAGAGGTCATTTGAAATTGTATTCATAATTTTCATATAATTTAAACACTTGTTTATGCATTCTGTAATTGTATTTTTACATGGAAAATTTAATTTTAAAATTGTCTTTCTCATTAATCATTGGTTCATTTGAAGCTTCTTATGAAAATAATTGAATCCAATGACTTTTAAATTTAATTTCTAAGCCTGTGGATGTTTGCTTTGTAGTGTTCCAGTATTTTAAAAAACTATAGAGTCCACACTCTGAAAATTCTAATAGCTTCCTGGTATGCTGTATTGCAATGCCCATATGTATTATTTTCTTTTGTAATAATTTACTGGCCATCCTGGCTAACATGTTGAAACCCCGTGTCTATGAAAAATACAAAAAATTAGCCAGGCGTGGTGGCGGGCGCCTGTAGTCCCAGCTATTCGGGAGGCTGAGGCAGGAGAATGGCGTGAACCCGGGAGGCGGAGCTTGCAGTGAGCCGAGATCGCGCCACTGCACTCCAGCCTGGGCGACAGAGCGAGACTCCGTCTCAAAAAAATAAAAATAAAAATAAATAATAATAATAATTTACTGACAAAGTTGACTGCCCGATCACCTGCAGTTCCTGTCCCAGGGCTCAGGCCAGAGTTAGCATTTGTGCGGATGCTGCAGGGATGGGCTCCGGAGACAGAAAGGCAAGCTGCTCCCCACCTCCTGGTCGTGTTGCTGCCCCCATGAGAAGCCTCTCCTTTTTCTCATGGCTGCCACCACTGCCACCACCACCACTGCTGCTACAGCCCCTGTTGTCACCACTGATTAAGGCCCAGGTCCTGACCTGGCTACCTAAGGACTCCACAGTGTCCCTGGCTGCCCGGCCATTGCTCAGTGTCTGGACACTTGGCATATCTCCACTGCGAACACGCAAGTTCCATTGCCCCGGTAGACTTTCCTTCCAAAACACATGTGCAAAGATAAAATTAAACATTTTGGCTGGGTGCAGTGGCTCGCACCTATAATCCCAGCACTTTGGGAGGCCGAGGCAGGCGATCACTTGAGGTCAAGCATTCAAGGCCAGCTTGGCCAACATGGTGAAACCCCGTCTCTACTAAAAAAATACAAAAATTAGCCGGGCGTGGTGCGTGCGCCTGTAGTCCCAGCTACTTGGGAGGCTGAGGCAGGAGAATTGCTTGAACCTGGGAGGGTGAGGTTGCAGTGAGCTAAGATGGCACCACTGCACTCCAGCCTGGGTGACAGAGTGAAACTCTGTCTCAAAACAAAAAAAAATTAATTAATTGAATTGAATTAAAAATTTTAAGATGATGACAATAGAGCATTAAACCAAACATTATGCCAAGGAAAAGAAGCCAGTCACAAAAGACCACATATAATGTGACTCCATTTACATGAACCCAAAGTCACACACTCATGAAGCCAGCCCAGGCTTTTGCTCACATTTCCCAACTGTGGGGCCACCTCCCATCAATAGCCCCTGAGGGCCACTGGGGGTGGTGGCAGGGGTCTTTTACCCTGTGCACCCTCAACTGCTGTCACCAGGGCAGTCACTCCACCTCCTCCATAGACTCCTGCACGTGTCAGGAAGTCCTCGAGAGGCGCCCTGACTGTCTCCTCCATGGAGGAGCTTTTGAGACTATTGCTCTACCATGCCAATGCCAATGGGCCCTTCCAATCCAACAGACCCTTCCAATTAATACCATCCCTTGCTTCCCATCACTGAGCTGCCTGTTCTGCCAGATAAAAGACTGATATTCTTGCAGGAATGGAACCACTCTTCTCTCTCCACACAGGACCCCTCACCTGTCCTCCCTGCTGGTGGTGGTGTCTGGAAAGTCGAGTTACAGATAGTATCAAAGAGATCACATTCTAGCAATGCTGGGGTTATAGTCTAAGGAGTACATATTTGGATGATGTGTTCTTCCAGGTTTAAGTGGTAATATTCCAAACAGAAGAGTGAAACTGATTATAAAACAAATCATTGTTCAAATTCTTCTACATATTCTGGGTAAGACTTGCATTTGTGGTCATCATTAATGAAGCCCAGTAACAACCTTGGAGGGAGTCACTGGAAGCCCAGTGGGCGATGAGTAATGATGTAATCAGATGAGTGGTATTAGAGAACCGCAGAGACAAGACGATCCATAACCTTTCGGTCCACTCAGTTTCTGAAGAGCCACAGCATTTGAGTAACAGCCCTGCTAACTTTTTCTCATGAAGGGGCATGTGGAAGCAGTTAGAGGGCATCTGATGATAAAGAACATAAAGAGATGATTCCTGAACCTCAACAAAAAGCAATAGTGCTTGGACACTAAAAAGAATTTTTACATGCACTGGTTGGACAACAGAAAAATACTTTAATCTCTATTTTCTTGCCACTTTTCAAAATCTTCATCAATAAATCACCATATCTCATATGGGTGTATGAACTTTGAAATACGTTGTAAAAATTCAGTTATATAGACAAGGGACATGCAAAAAAATATTTATCCAGATCTCACAGGTGGTAGGGGTAAGTGTAACCTTCTCCATGAGATTATCAACTTGTAGAGAACAGGAATTGTGTCTGTACTGTACTATATATCCCTAGTACCAGATTAAGTTGAATGTCCTGTTCTACACAAAACAATAGTGAAATCCGTGGGTCTCTCTAAATGATTGTGTTGTGTAAAAATTGTTTGAAAGTTATTGCAATAATTGGGATTGGGAAATTATTTTGCAAAATAGAGATTTCTATATTGGTATTTGACATAAGCAGCATTGGAATCATTTAGCTCTTGTCGGGTTCACTGAATAATTTACAGAACACCTATCATGTTTTAGGCACTTTTTCATACATTATTTCAGTTCACCATTCTGACAATCAATACAACCATCTGCATTCACAGTGGAGTAAATAGACATGATATCTTGGTGTTGAATTAGCAGAACAAGCATGAACACACGGCACTTGGGTTTCTAGGCCATTCATTGCCTGTGTCTGACAGCCGCCGGTTCCCTCCACCCACGCCCCACTTGCCTCTATATTTTATGCTACAATGTTTTGTTTTTGTTTTTGTTTTGTTTTTTGAGATGGAGTTTCGATCTTGTTGCCCAGGCTGGAGTGCAATGGTGTGATCTCGGTTCACTGCAACCTCCGCCTTCTGAGTACAAGCAATTCTCCTGCCTCAGCCTCCTTAGTAGCTGGGATTACAGGCACCCACTACCACACCCAGCTAATTTTTTTGTATATTTAGTAGAGAAGGGGTTTCACTATGTTGGCCAGGCTGGTCTTGAACTCCTGACCTCAGGCAATCCACCCACCCCAGCCTCCCAAATTGCTGGGGTTACAGGTGTGAACCACCACACCTGGCTCGCTACAACATTTTATTCTAAATCCTTCCCTTATTCCAATCAGCCTGTAACTGCTTTGAGGCTGCCATTCCTTTCACACAACAGTTGGTGCTGTTCACCTGCGGGTTATAATGGTGGCGATTCAACGGCTTCTATTGCTGCTACAGCCAGTGTTATAAATTTTAATCTTCAGGCAATGAAATAGCATCTCTCATGAAAATGATTATCGGCAAATAAGCTATACATCTCTGCAAAAATTGATTGAGGTTATGTTTGCAGCTGAGTCCCAGATGTCCTTTAAAGGCAGTGAGTCATCACTTCTGGAAGGACTCCTTTTAGACCCTTCATCTCTCTGCAGCCTGAGACTCCTTGCAAATACCTCCTCACCGTGGTTGGAGCTGGGCAGTCATTGCAAAGCCTGGAATCTAGAGAGTGGATTGTGTTTTTGATGATCTGGAAGTTCCTGGCTATTTTAGACATCCCTTGTTGAAACATCACAGGATAAATATTGCACCGACATAGCTAAAGCATCACTGACAGGCTTTTAAGAACATGCTGTGTTAGAACCAGGAGTCTGTTGGAAGTGTGATATATGCGAATGTCAGAGAAAAGTCTCTACTAATCCAGAAAACCCTGAATAAAACACTGCACAATCTATAATTCATGTTCTGTATCATAATTCATACCCAGACTTTCAGGCAAATTATACTTTAGCAAGGGTTTAAACATTATTGCAGCGCATATGTAACAGACAGCCAAGATATTTCATGATTATATATGAGCCACTATTTTTTCTTGTAGAACATTTTTGTGTTGTCTGTCAGCTGATGAATGGATAAGCAAATTGTGATATATGCATTCAATGGAATATTATTTGTCAATGAAAAGAAATGAAGTACTGACACAGGCTACAGTATAGAGGAACCTTGAAAACATCATGATAGGTGAAATAAGCCAGTCACAAAAAACTACATATTGTGTGATCCACTTCTATGAAATGTCCAGAACAGGTAAATCTATACAGATAGAAAATGATTGCTGGTTCACAATCTGGTGAATATATGAAAAAAAAATCGAACTGTACACTTTATTTTTACTTATTTATTTTCATTTAATTTTTTTAGAGACAAGGTATTGCTCTGTAACCCAGGCTGGAGTGCAGTGGCGTGATCATAGCTCACTGCAGCTTCAACCTCCTGGGCTCAAGCCATCCTCCCACCTCAGCCTCCTGAGTAGCTGGGACTACAGGCATGTGCCACCCACCTGATTAATTTTTGATTTTATTTTATGTTATGTATTTATTTATTTATTTTATATAGACAGAGTCTTGCTATGTTCCCCAGGCTGGTCCCAAACTCCTGGCCTTAAGCAGTCTTCCCACCTTGGCCTCCCAATGGGTGGGGCTTATAGGCCTGAGGCACCTCGCTCAGTCGAATTGTACGCTTTCAATAAGTGATTGTATGATGTGTGAATTACATCTCAATACAACTATTAACAATTTGAGGGTTTTAAAGTATTAAAGGATTACTACAAATTATAATTTAACTCTAAAAATGGAAAAGTCTCAGTTCAGAACTAGGTCATTTAGATCAATAACTGTAGGTTAAGGCCACATAGTACTGAACGTGACTAGTAAAAGGGCAGAGTTATAAATAGTCTGGTTCGCATGTTTCTCTAGCTCTGTAACATGATTACCATTCATCTTGGACACCTTGTCAAATTCTGAAGTGAAATCTCAAGAAAGCTGTTACAACACTAAGGAGGCGAGACTGCAGTGGGACGTGCTCCCAGAAACGAAAGCTTATAAATTAAGCTGAGAGTTGGTGAATCTGCAAGATTTATGGCTCATGTAAAAATATGCTAACACTGTAAATTGATACGCCACCAAATTGTACTCTGTCTTCTTACACAACACTGTTGAAGCTGTCAGGCACAGTCTTTTGCGAGAATTAATTGCCACGTGTTAAATTGAAATGGAGTCTCCCGTGACTTGACGGAGCTCTTTCAGAGCCAGTACAAAATGTTCTTTGACCAGCTTGCAGGAGACACAGGACAGGCTCTCCAAACAAACAGCGATTTGAAAAATTAATTCATGGAGTCCATAATAAGGCCTTAGGGATTTGGAGGCATTAAATTTAACTTCATTTAATCCTTTAGAACAAGTACAAAGGAACTATATGCCTTTACTTATCAAAGCACAACCTGGCTTTAAAATCTTTTGAGCAGGATCTTAAAAGGTCACAGACTGAGAATATTGCCTCAGGAAGGTCTTTCTCTATCATTCTGTTTGTTTGTTTTTTGTGTGTCTCTGTTGGAAGCTGCAGCGGTTGAAATTGTTTCTTGAAATACCTGGAGGTCCAACCATCTTTCAGGAACCTCCATTTTCTGGGCAAATTTTGCCTCATGGTTACAGGTCAATAGAGCATGAGCTCTCTATGTGATAAACCATCAAGATTGGTTAAAGGGCCGGGCACAGTGGTTCATGCCTGTAATCCCAGCACTTTGGGAGGCTGAGGCGGGCGGATCACTTGAGTCCAGGAGTTCAAGACCAGCCTGGCCAACATGGTAAAACTCTGTCTCTACTAAAAATACGAAAATTAGCCAGGTGTGGTGGTGCACACCTGTAGTCTCAGCTACTCAGGGGGCTAAGGCAGGAGAATTGCTTGAACCCAGGAGGTGGAGGTTGCAGTGAGCCGAGATGGCACCATTGCACTCCAGCCTGGGCAACAGAGTGAAACTCTGTCAAAACAAACAAACAAAAAACAAACTTGGTTGAAAGCCATCCTCCTCTGTTGTTGTTGTTGCTCTTGGCTGATTTGGGTGTCTTCTATCCTCTCTCTAGAGCAGTGGTCGCCAACTTTTTTGGCACCAGGCACTGGTTTCGTGGAAGACAATTTCTCCATGAATGGGGTTGGGGGTTGGGGGGATGGTTTCGGGATGATTCAAGTACATTACATTTATTGTGTACTTTATTTCTATTATAATACATAATGAAATAATTATACACTCACCATAATGTAGAATCAGTGGGAATCCTGAGCTTGTTTTCCTGCAACTAGACGGTCCCATGTGGGGGTGATGGGAGACGGTGACAGATCATCAGGCATTAGATTCTCATTAAAGAGCACACAACCCAGATCCCTCACATGCGCAGTTCACAAAAGGTTCTCGCTTCCTTGAGAATCTAATGCTGCTGCTGATCTGAGGAGGTGGAACTCAGGCGGTCATGCGAGTGATGGGAGCAGCTGTAAATACAGAGGAAGCTTCGGTGTGGCCCGGCGGTTGGGGACCCCTGCTCTAGAGTGGCTTTGAATCTTATGGTCCTGGCCTCCCTGGATGACAGGCAAGAGTCACATGTCTACCAGCTCTGCCTGAATCAGAAAGGGCCTCCGTAGAAATTTCTGCCTATTTATTTTTCCCTCTGAACCTTCTGGAATTTTCAATAATGACCTCAGGAATACTTTTACTAATGCAATCCTTCTGCATTTTGAATTCACGACATAGTATTTGATATTCTGCGTTTCAAACTCTCACTGTCCGTAGTTTAAAACACTTGTGGTCATATGCTATCAGTCACTAGTTCTTTAGTAGACAGTCTGCTTTCTTCATATATTATCTCTGACTAGGAATTCCAGAGAGATGCTTTTCACAGTTTCATGTTCCTTCCACTCTGAAGGATTCTATCTTAAGGAGTGTTTTCCTGTCCGATTTATACCGGAGCCACCAATTCTAACAACATTAGCTTTCCTTCTGTCTGCCTGTCTCTTTATGTCCACAGGCCCAACAGCTCTCATTCTCATCCGTCTCTGTTTTAAAACTGTCATAAAATTAAAATGATAGCTCACTGTTCTCTATAGGCTTTAGGATATTTTATATTCCCTATTCTTAATTCAGGAAATGGGTTTATGCAACACCATTTATTCCAAATCTTTATTCATTAAACAAATGAATTAACAAATTAGATTCATTCTAATCTAACTTTATCTTTCTAGTGGATTTATTCATACCAGTTACATTGGTAGAGTTGTCTTTCATTGTTACTTAATAAATGGGTAGTCTTGTTAATTTAAATTAAAATTTTAAAAATGGAGAAAGAGGATGAAAAAGCCAATAAGGAGATAAAGACCAGATGACTGCGAAATCAATTCTAACTTTGTAAATCTCTAATCTTGAGATGCTACATGGCAGATGAGTGAAACATTTCAGGTCTTTAAGGCGATATTTATTCAAAAGGCTGCTTTTTATTTTATAACAGCTTTATTAAGATGTATTTTACATACCATACAATGCATACATTTAAACTGTATAATTTAGTGGATTTAATATATGCACAGATTTGGCCAGGCTCAGTGGCTCACGCCTGTAATCCCAGCACTTTGGGAGGCCGAGGCAGGCGGATCACGAGGTCAGGAGATCGAGATCACGGTGAAACCACGTCTCTACTAAAAATACAAAAAAATTAGCTGGGCATGGTGGCGGGCACCTGTAGTCCCAGCTACTTGGGAGGCTGAGGCAGGACAATGGCGTGAACCCGGAAGGCAGAGCTTGCAGTGAGCCAAGTTCGCGCCACTGCACTCCAGCCTGGGCGACAGAGCGAGACTCCGTCTCAAAAAAATATATATATATATATATGTGTGTGTGTGTGTGTGTGTGTGTATTAACAAATTACATTCATTCTAATCTAACTTTATCTTTTTAGTGGATTTATTCATGCCAGTTACCTTGGTAGAGTTGTACGACCATCCTGAAATCATCTGAGAACATTTTAGAACGTTTTCTCATCCCCAAAGAAACTCCATACCCACTGGCAGTCATTCCCATCTCCCTCCTTCCTTGCCTCTCACGCTCTAGGAAACACAATCTACTTTGTGTCACTGAATTTGATTTTATTATTATTATTGTTATTATTTTTTGAGATGGAGTCTCTCTCTGTCCCCCAGGCTGGAGTGCAGTGGCATAATCTCGGCTCACTGCAACCTCCGCCTGCCGGATTCAAGCAATTCTCCTGCCCCAGCCTCCCAAGTAGCTGGGACTACAGGCGTGTGCCACCACTCCTGGCTAATTTTTTGTACTTTTAGTAGAGATGGGGTTTCACCATGTTGGCCAGGCTGGTCTTGAACTCCTGACCTCGTGATCCGCTTGCCTCAGCCTCCCAAAGTGCTGGGATTACAGGCGTGAGCCACCGTGCCCGGCCCTGGATTTGATTACTCTGGACATTTCCTATAAATGAAATTATACAATATGTAGTCCTTTGTGACTGGCTGCTTTCACTGAGCATCATGTTTTCAAGGTTTATCCACGTTGTAGCATGAATCAACACTGCATTTCTTTTTATTGCTGAATAACATTCCATTGTATGGATAGACCACATTTTATTTACCCATTCTTCAGTTCCTGGACATTTGGGCTGTTAAAGCTTTTTAGCTATTGTGGTTAACGCTGCTATGAACATTTGTGTGCAGGTTTTGTGTGAACATAGGCTTGAAGTTCTCTTAAGTATAGAACTAAGCATGGAATTGCTTGGTCACATGGAGACTCTGTATCTCCCTTTAAGGAACTGCCAGACTGTTTTCCGTGGTGCTTGCACCATTTTATGTCCCCACCCACAGCCTGTGAAGGTTTCACTTTTTCCACCCTCACCAACACTTGTTACTATTATCTCTTTTTCATCATAGCTATCCTCGTGGGTGTTAAGTGGTACTTCATTGTGGCTATTTATTTTTAATGTGGTATTGAGTGATAGTGAACCTTTTTTTTTTTTTTTTTTTTGAGATGGAATCTCGCTCTGTCGCCAGGCTGGACTGCAGTGGCGTGATGTCATCTCACTGCAAGCTCCGCCTCCCGGGTTCGCGCCATTCTCCTTCCTCAGCCTCCCGAGTAGCTGGGACTACAGGCACCCGCCACCACGCCCGGCTAATTTTTTGTATTTTTAGTAGAGACGGGGTTTCACCGTGTTAGTCAGGATGGTCTCCATCTCTTGACCTCGTGATCCACCCACCTCGGCCTCCCAAAGTGCTGGGGTTACAGGCGTGAGCCACCACATCTGGCTGGTAGTGGACCTTTATGGATTTAAAAAAAAAAAAAAAAAAAAAGGCCGGGCGCGGTGGCTCACGCCTGTAATCCCAGCACTTTGGGAGGCCGAGGCGGGTGGATCACGAGGTCAGGAGATCGAGACCATCCTGGCTAACACAGTGAAACACTGTCTCTACTAAAAATACAAAAAATTAGCCGGGCATGGTGGCGGGCGCCTGTAGTCCCAGCTACTCGGGAGGCTGAGGCAGGAGAATGGTGTGAACCCGGGAGGCGGAGCTTGCAGTGAGCTGAGATCACGCCACTGCATTCCAGGAGACTCCATCTCAAAAAAAAAAAAAAAAAAAAAAGACGTTGCCAGTTATAGTTACCTTTATCATCTGATAGATTGATGTTCATCATGCTAATTCCATTGTCTTTTAGAGCAGCGTTTCCCAATCTTTTTTCTTTCCTAAGCTATGTCCTCTTGGAAAAATATTAAAAGTGCATGCTACCCGGAGATTCTCATATACTTCCTAGATTGAGGATTATCTTAACCTGTTATCTGAAACTTTTTTATTTCACAGATCAGTAAAATAAAATGGCCAACTTTATATTTGGCCATTTACGAACTACATTAACATGACTTCATCAAAGAAAGGACATTTAACCCTCAAAAAAATAGAGTAACTATTTCATGCCAAAGAGTCTTTTTCAAGGCTATTTTATCAGACCCTCCCCCCCAACTGTCTTTAATTTCTAGTATGAAAATTCTAGTTTCTCATGTGGCTTCCCACAAAACCTCTGGTGAGGACTTACAATGGAATAATGTTACGGATACCGTAGCAGGCCACTGGCCCTCTCTGACAAGTGCACAGCCCAACAGGCAGGCAAATGGGTGAATGACCAGAGAAGCCATGGAGACAGGGATGCTGCCTAAGCGTGAGCCAAGAGTGTTCCCATAGCCACCTCTTAAGCAGATGTGTGCCTAAAAATACTGGCCCTGCCTATCTTCATAATCTGAGTATAACATTTTTCTTTGGCCAGGCGCAGTGGCTCAAGCCTGTAATACTAGCACTTTGGGAGGCCGAGACGGGCAGATCACCTGAGGTCAGGAGTTCGAGACCAGCCTGATCAACATGGAGAAACCCTGTCTCTACTAAAAATACAAAAATTAGCCGGCTGTGGTGGCGTGCACCTGTAATCCCAGCTACTTGGGAAGCTGAGGCAGGAGAATAGTTTGAACCCGGGAGGCAGAAGTTGTGGTGAGCCGAGATTGCCCTATTGCACTCCAGCCTGGGCAATAAGAGCAAAACTCCATCTCAAAAAAATAAATGAATAAATAGAATAAATAAAAATAAAAATAAAATAAAGTTTTTCTTCCCTGATGCAAGCCAAAAACATGAGATGAGATGTTGTAGGAGTTCCCAGTGGAGGCATCAGTGGGGCACATCCAGCACATACTGATCAATCTCGGCCTTTCTAAAAATGGGACAATGCGCCATAATGTACCACATGATGTGATGCCACAAAATTGCGCAGCATTCATATGGAGGGTTCTTGCCTGTAAAATTCAGCCTGAGCCTACCACTTAGACCTCTAGGCCCAACTATCAATTTCCAGGGGATACAAGGGTTTGCAGCACAAGTCAAATGATACCACAAGGAAACAATCAGCCAATGTGGATTGTGGGATCTGCAGACAAACGACCCATTTTCTTTAACATGCTATAGCATATTGAAAAGAGACTTATAGAATAAAAGAGACTTAGAGATATAGCAGCCAATTTGTGATTCTCATTGTATCCTGAGTCAAACAAATCATCTGTAAAAAGGCATTTTTAAGATGAAGTAGAGCAATTCACATACGATCTGAATGTTAGATTATATTCAGGAATGGTTATTAGTTTTCTTAAGTGATAAATAGCAAAGGGATGATGTTTTTTAAAGTCTTTACCATTCTTTTTTGGTTCATAAGTGTGATGATTTCGTTTTCATGTTAAAGTGTGAGATCAGCCTCCCTCAAACCTTGTTACTACATCAACACCACATTATCCATCCAATGTGAAAAAAAAATCTTTACTAATTATCACTTAGACATGCACACTGAAATATTTACGAGACACATGTTGTCGGAGATTTCTTTCAAAATATTCAAGAAGGCTCAGCATGGTCGCTCACACCTACAATCCCAGCACTTTGGGAGGCTGTGGTGGGAGGATCAGTTGAGCCCAGGAGTTTGAGACCAGCCCTGACAACATAGCAAGACCTCATTCTACAAAAAATTTAAGAATTAGCTGGGCATGGTGATGTGTGCCTGTAGTCCCAGCTACTTGAGAGGCTGAGGTGGGAGAATTGCCTGAGCCCGGGACGTTGAGGCTGCAGTGAGCCGTGATCATGCTATTGCACTCCAGCCTGGGCAACAGGGAAAAAAAAAAAAAAAGAAAGAAAAAAATGCTCAAGAAAAAAGAGTTATATTGGGGAAATGGATGAAAATTAATTGGCAGAAAAATTAACATAAACAGACCCAGAAATGAGACAATAGAATAAGTGGAGGAGGACTTTAAGATAGTAACTATACCTATATCCTGAAAGTTTAAGATGGTAGACAAAAGTATGCCCATGTTAAAAAGAGACATGAGAAATATTTTTAGAGACCCAATTAAAACTTTTAGAAATAAAACTAAATGTCCAAAATAAAAAATATATCGGATAAAATTAATAACAGATTAGAAAGTGCTGAAGATTAGTAAATGTGAATATATAGCAGTACAAACTGTCCAAACTAAAACACACAGAGAGAAAAAAAGACTGAAAAAAAGAATAAAATATAAGTGAACTATGGGACAACTTCAGTTAGTCTAATATATGTGTAATTGTGTAACGGGAGTCTGGTGGGAAGAGGAAGCAGAGGATCATAAAAAATATTTGAAGAAAGAATAGCCAAAACATTTCCAAATTTAATGCAAACTATTAATCCACAGGTTTAAGAAATTTAACAAATCCCAACACAAGACATGTAAAGAAGACTATGATAAAAACATATCAAAATCAAGTTGTTAAATCTACTACTAAAAAGGAAAAAAAAAAAAAAGCAACCAGGAAGAAGATACAGGTATGGAGGAATAAAGATAAGAATGAGAGCAAACTTCTTGTTAGAAATAATATAAACCAGAAGATAGTGGCAAAGCAACCTTATAGTGCTAAAAGACAAAACAAAACAAAAAACACTGTCAACTTAGATTTTTATATCCAGTAACAATGTCTTCAAAAGCAAAATCAAAATAAAGACTTTTTCAGACATACAAAACCAAAAGAATTAATCACCAGTAGACCTACACTATAAGAAATGTTAAGAGAAGTCCCTTAGGCCAAAGTATAATGCCAGGTAGAAATCTGGTTTTATACAAAGGAATAAAGAACACCAGAAATGGTCATTGTGTAGGGGGTTGGGAGGGAGCAGGGGAGGTTAATATAAAAGACTCTTTTTTCGTATTTAAAAAAATCTCTTTGAAACATAATTTTATAAAGCAAAAATAACCACAATGCATTGTGGGCCTTATAAATAGAAGTAAAATTTTTGACAAGAGCACAAAGGCCAATCCAGGATTTGAATTTATTGTTGCAAGTATATGTGAAACAGCATGACATTTCTTGATGGTAGATTATGATAAGTTAAAGTGCTTATCAGGGGTTGGCAAACATTTTCTGTAAAGGGTCAGATAGTAAGTATTTCCATCTTTGCAGGCCTTATGGTCTCTGTCACAACTACTCAATTCTACTGTTTTCGTGTTCTATTTTATTGTTATTTTTACTTTTTTTTTTTTTTTTTTGAGACAGGGCTTCACTCTGTTATTCAGGCTGTAGTGCAGTGGCGAATTCACAGCTGCTGCAGCCTTAAACTCCTGAGCTCAGGCTGTCCTCCCATCTCAGCCTCCCAAGTAGCCGAGGCTACAGGTGCATGCCACTACACCCAGCTAATTTTTTTTTTTTTTTTGGTAGAGATGGGGTCTCCCTGTGTGGCCCAGGCTGGTCTTGAACTCCTTCTGTGATCCTCCCACCTCAGCCTCCCAAAGTGCTGGGATTACAGACGTGAGCTGCTGCACCCACCCTCAATACTGTTGTTGTTCTGCAAAAGCAGCCACAGGCAATAAATACACTAATGAGCGTGGGTGTATTTCAATAAAACTTTATTTACAATAACAGGTGGCAAGCAGATTTGGCTTAGGGGCTATAGTTTGCCATCCCCTGATATATACTATAAACCCTAAATCAGTCATTAAAAAAAGAGAGGTATAGCTAACAAACCAACAAACAGATAAATGAAATTGTAGAAAATATTCAACAAATCCATAAGAAGGCAAAATGGGGAATGCAATACATAGAAAACAAACAGTAAAATGGTAGGTTAAACGTAACCATATTAATAATCACATTAAAAGTAAATGGACTACCAGTCATTAAATGACATAAATCAGAATTGAACAGAAGAAAGACCCAAGTATAGGCTCCTTACAATAAATGCACTTTAAATATGAAAATAATAAAAGGTTATAAAAGATGGAAAAGGATACGCCATGATAAAAGTAATCAAAAGAAAGCTGAAGTACTACATAAATATCGAAGTTGATTTCATACCATGGAATGTTATCAGAGATAAACAGAGTCATTTCACATTGATAAAGGGCTCAAGTCATCAAAAAAATATAGTAATCTTAAATGTTTTTGCACATAATAACAGAGCTTTAAAATGCATAAAGGAAAACTGGTAGAATTGAAAGGAGAAATAGATAATTCCACAATTATACTGAAATATTTCAATTTTGTTTTTGTTTTTTTGAGACAGTTTTATTTTTTATTGTTTTATTTTTTAATTTTTTTGCTTTTGTTGCCCAGGCTGGAGTGAAATGACCCAATCTCAGCTCACTGCAACCTCCGCCTGCCGGGTTCAAGCGATTTTCCTGCCTCAGCCTCCCTAGTAGCTGGGACTACCAGCGCCTGCCACCATGCCCGGCTAATTTATGTATTTTTAGTAGAGACGGGTTTCACCATGTTGGCCAGGCTGACCTCAGGTGATCTGTGCACCTTAGCCTCCCAAAGTGCTGGGATTACAAGTGTGAGCCACCGCGCCCGGCCTATACTGAAATATTTCAACACTCTCTCTTAGTTATTGATAGAATAAACAGACATAAAATAAGTAAGCTTATACAAGATTTCAACAAAATGATCAACCAACTTGACGTAATTGAAATTCCACCCAACAACAGCAAAGTATACATTGTTTTTCAGTGCACAGACAAAACATTCAAGACTAGCTCTGAAACTTTAACAGGATGGTAGGTAAATAGTTCTATCACAGCCACTTATCTTTTTATCATTTGAGGACACTATCTCTCTATCACATGCCTTCATGACAGACAGAACAAGAGGAAATAAAAATGACAGAGTACAGGTAACAGAGAGCACAGTCAAGGAATGCATCAAACCTCCAGGCAAAACTGATCTGCCACAACCAGGAACAGGGCCTAATTAAAATGCAAATGACAAGTACTAAATCTTTATTGGGAAATCACAGAGGGAGAAATTAGAAATAGAAATAAAGCTACCTTATTTGGTAGACTGTAATTTAAATACACAGGGTTCATTAGGAGAAAAAATGACTTGGGGGAAAAATAAACACACAGTCCAAACACGAAATTTCCCTCTACAATCACACATCAGCTAATGGTGGGGGTACATTCTGAGAAACGTGTCATTAGGTGATTTTGTTGTTGTGAAAACATCAAAGAGCGTACTTAACTCTAAATGGTATAGCCCACTGTATACCTAGGCTGTATGGTATAGACTATTGGCTGCAAATCTGTACAGCAGGTTACTATACTGAATATTGTAGGCAATTGTAACACAATGGTAAGTATTTGTGTATCTAAACATAGAAAAGGCACATTAAAAGTACAGCATAAAATATTTAAAATGGTACACATATATGGGGCACTTACTATGAATAAAGCTTGCAGAACTGGAAGTTGCACTGGGTAAGTCAGTGAGTGAATGGTGAGTGAATGTGAAGGCCTAGGACGTTGCTGCACACCACTATAGACTTTATAAACACTGTACACTTAGGCTACACTAATTTTTTTTTTTCTTGAGACAGAGTCTCATTCTGTTGCTCAGGCTGGAGTGCAGTGGCGTGATCTTGACTCACTGCAACCTCCGCCTCCTGGGTTCAAGCAATTCTACTGCCTCAGCCTTCCAAGTAGCTGGGACTACACGTGCGTGCCACCACACCCAGCTAATTTTTGTATTTTTAGTAGAGACGGGGTTTTGCCATGTTGGCCAGGCTGGTCTCGAACTCCTGACCTCAGGTGATCCACCCGCCTTGGCCTCCCAAAGAGCTGGGATTACAGGCATGAGCCACTGCACCCAGCCACTAAATTTATTTTTAAAATGTCTTTCTTCAACAATAAATTAACCTTAGCTTACTGTAATGTTTTTACTTCATAAACTTTTTTAAAAAAATATTTTGACTCTTTTGTAATAACACAGCTTAAAACACAAACACATTGTACGGCTACATATATATACATATTTTCTTTCTTTATATCCTTAGTCTCTAAGTTCTTTTCTGTTTTTAACTTTTATTTATTTATCTTTTACTTTTTAAACATTTTTTGGTGAAAAACGAAGACACAAACACACACATTAGCCTAGGCCTACACAGGGTAGGATCATGAGTATCACTGTCTTCCATCTTCACATCTTGTGCCACTGGAAGGTCTTCAGGGGAAGTAACAGGCATGGAGCTGTCGTCTCCTGTGATAACAATGCTTTCGTCCGGATACCTCCTGAAGGACCTGCCTGAGTTTTACTTAACTTTTTTTAATAAGTAGATGGAGTATGCTCTAAAATAATGATAAAAAGTATAGTTTAGTAAATACATAAACCAGTAAAATAGTCACTTATTATCATCAAGTATTACGTACTGTACATACTTGTATGTGCGATGCTTTTATATGACTGGCAGCCCAGTATTCACAACAACATGTGAGCAATGCATGGCACTACCATGTGACAATGAATCTGGTAGCTATGATGTCACTAGGCAATAGGAATTTTTCAGCCCCTTTATAATCTTATAGACCCACCATCGTTCATGCAGTTTGTCATTGACTGAAATATCATTGTACGGCACATGCCTGTACATTATTTTTTGCATTGCTTTGAAGAGATAATACTAATCCATTAATTTGATTATGACAGGAACTCACGACTCTACAAGTCACCAAATGATTAAAGTGAAACAAAATCCCCTCTAACTAAATGGAAGGCAAAGTATGTAAAAACTTTCAGAGTCAAGCCACAAGAGACTTGTCATGTGTGGGCCGAGGAAATACCAGCTATGTAGACAAATGGTGATGGGGAAATAGAATTTTAACCCTGGAATCTTAACATTAAAAAGTTTGTAGTTGATGTTTTTCACTGTTGATCCCCTAATCTTATTTCTTCTGACAATGACATTTTCTGCTCAAGGTTAGAGCTATAATTTCAGTGGAGTGGAATGAACGTCCTTGGCCTTCTGCAGGCACAGGCCCTGGAGTTTAATTCCGTTCCCCTAGTGAGAAGCTGCAGGACTTGTAGCATGTCCGGTAACCCCTTCTGCAGCCACCTTCCCACACCAGGGTAGGCTGTGATCAGGAGCCAGTCATCAGCCCTAATCCTACAGACACACGGTTGCTCACTTGGACAACATTTCAGCAAGATTGTGAAGCTACACGGAGGAACCCACGTGGTGTGGATGTGATCAAGTGTTCTCACCGAAATACCTGGGCAAGGAATTGGTGCTAAAAGACCCTAGGCCAGCTTCCAGTCCACGCTGTCGAACAGGAATATGTGAGCCGCACACGAAATGGTAAACCTTTTCGCCGCCGTGTTTGGAAAAGCAAAAAGAAATTAAGTAAAATTAATTTTAGAGTTTTATTTCATCCATTATATCCAAATAGTATCGTTTCTCTACATACAGTTAATATAAACATTATTAATGAACTATTTTACTTTCTTTATTCTAAGTCTTCACAATCTGGAGCGTATTTTATACTTTCAGCACATGTGAACTTGGACTGGTCACATTACAGGTACTCAACAGTCATATGTGGCTCCTGGCTACTGTATAGGACAGTGCAGTACTAAATGATTGATGGTAGAATAGTGGACAAGAAAACCTTCAGCAATATACAAGTATAAAGTCAATATTTTTATTATCGGGGAAAATATGCAGTGCTAATATCTTACATGTTCAGTTCTGCCTTGCGGAGGGTGCGGTGGAGTGGGGAACTCTGGTCAGCATTAGCTCCCAATGTGAGCTAAGCCTTCTGCTCACATGAATGATGAAACTTGTTCATACAGGCTTAGAAATGTGGGTCATGGTGGATATGTAATTTATAAGTCTAAGGGGAAAAAAGAATTATTAGTAGTTAGGGAATTATTAAGAGAACCAGACCAAAGCTATTCTGCAAGTTTTGCCATTTAATAACATTTTCAGAGTCTAAACTCTGGGTGAGAACCAAGCTCTGCCTGAGAAATGACAGTGCCTAGATATCCTCTCTCACGGGTCAGCTCATTCTTCTTCCTTTTTTTTTTTTTTTTTTTTTTTTTTTTTGAGGCGGAGTCTGGCTCTGTCGCCCAGGCTGGAGTGCTGTGGCGCGATCCTGTCTCACTGCAAGCTCCGCCTCCCGGGTTCACGCCATTCTCCTGCCTCAGCCTCCGGAGTAGCTGGGACTACAGGCGCCCACCACCATGCCCGGCTAATTTTTTTGTATTTTTAGTAGAGACGGGGTTTCACCGTGTTAGCCACGATGGAAGTCAGCTCATTCTTGCTCTTTTAGTTACGTTAAATTCATAACCCCCACCTTCCACTGCCCCCCCACCACATCAGCACCACTGTGCGTACACCACTATTCTCCTACAAGTATGTTTTATAGAATGTACTCACATGACTGGAAATTTGCTCACTGTGATTCAGGAAGAGACATCTACCTCTCTTGCAGGAACTCTCACTAGACCATTGCCTGACAGTATGAAAAGACCCTGCAGTTCCAAGTTGAGGTTAAGAAAGTATGTGTGCCAATTAAGTTAAACCTAAAATTATATAAGAATAAACCCTTTTTAAAATTGCCAACATGGTGAAACCCCGTCTCTACTAAAAATACAAAAATTAGCTGGGCGTGGTGGTGTGCGCCTGCAATCCCAGCTACTCAGGAGGCTGAGGCAGGAGAATCGCTTGAACCTGGGAGGCAGAGGCTGCAGTGAGCCAAGATTGTGCCACTGCACTCCAACCTGGGTGACAGAGTGAGACTCCATTTTAAAATAAAATAAAATAAAATAGCTTGCACTTGTATTTGTTATCCATTTCTGCATAACAAACTACTCCGAAACTTAGTGGCTTAAAACAACAGACATTTATTATCTCACAGCTTCTGGGGTCAAAAATTTGGGAGTGGTTTGGTTGGATGGTTGTGACTCAGGTTTTTTCATGAGGTTACAAACAAAATGTCATCTGAAGGCTTGACTGGGGCTAGAAGATTCACTTCCAAGAGGGCTCACTGACATGGCTGTTGGCAGGAGGCCTTAGTTCTTTACCATATGGGCCTCTCCACAGGGCTGCTTGAGTGTCCTCACTGCATAGCAGCTGGCTTCCCCCACAGTAGGTGATCCAAAAGAGAGAGCAGAGAGAAAGCCACACCACCTTTCTTAACCTGGTCTTGGAAGCCACACATGCCCACTTTCACCACACTCTATTCATTGGAAGTGAGTTACCAAGTCCAGTCCCCACTCAAGGGGAGGGAAATTAGGCTCCACCTTTTGAAGACAGGAGCGTATTTTAAACTCATATTTTCAACTCAAAGAGTTCAGGGGCATATTTTAAAACTGCCACAACCTTTGTTGGATACACTTTTCTACAGCAGTTCCTCCTGACCTCCCTCACACCCAGACTCTACTGCTAAGTTCTGCAGCATCAATTGGGAAGGCTCCTGGCCCACAAGGTATCTTCCCACCAGCCACATCAGGGCCCCCTGACATGGGTCTTAATACCTAAGCCAGTGCTTATTAAACTGCAGGTTTTGACCCATTAGTAGATCTTGGCCAGCTTTTTTTTTTTTAATAGATGAGATGAGAAAATATGTGTATGTATTCCACGTAGTAAGCATAGATTTCATGAAACATTTATTTCAATTCACTGATTCATTTGTACAACAAATAGTCTTTGGGGGCCTATGATGTGCCAGGAACTGTTTGGGGAACTTGACACATGAATGAAGAAAACAAAGACCCCTGTTCTCCGGAGCTAACAGTCTAGCGGAGGGATCCAGACCATAAAAATAAACGTAGTAAAATCAAGAATTTAGTATACTCAAAGGTTCAATGGGAAAAGGAAAAACAGGGCAATATAAGGAGGTTCAAGAGTGGTAGGGGTGAGTTGCAACTGTAAATAAGGTAAATAGGTAAGCGTACTTGAGACAATAGTAAACAAATGATGTGTGCATACATATGTATTGATATGGTTTGGATCTGTGTCTCCACCCAAATCTTATGTCGAATTGTAATCCCCAGTGTTGTAGGTGGGGCCAGGTGGGAAGTGATGAGATCATGGGGGTGGCTTCTCCTGGCTTAACACCATCCCCCTTGGTGCTGTCATGGCAACAGTGAGTGAGTGAGTTATCGTGAGATCTGGTTGTTTAAAAGTGTGTAGTACCTCCTCCCTCTCCCTCTTCCTCCTTCTCCAGCCATGTAAGATGTTCCTGCTCCCCCATTTGCCTTCCACTATGATTGTAAGTTTCCTGAGGCCTCCCCAAAAGCTGAAGCTGCTATGCTTCCTGTACAGCCTGTAGAACGGTGAGCCAATTAAACCTCTTTCCTTTATAAATTACCCAGTATCAGGTATCTCTTTATGGCAATGTGAGAACACACTAATACATGTGTAACGTATGTGTGTGTATATGTATGTGTGTGTGTGCGCACCTGCATGTGTATATGTCTATGTGTGTACTGAGTCTGTTATAAAATTCATTTCTTACCATGAATCATACCAGCAAATCCAAAAAACTCTGCCACTAGACCACGATCTGGCCTAGATACCATGGGAAGAAAGAAGACAGGGAGAAGGAGAGGAACACCCCATTCTGCTCATTTCCCAGAACCAGAGCTGGTATCTCCTTGGTAAGGAAAGAGACACAAGCTCTGGGCTGTGTGGCATGCCATCTCAAATCAGGAAATTCTTCACCTTTTTAACCTCGCTAAACCCAGGCCATTTAATTTAAAAAGCCATCCCAACCTTTAGCAAGCTCAATACTAAATTTACAATTGCAATAGACTATAATGTGTATTGCATAAAGAATAAAGCCTGCTGTGTTGGAGAAACATGGTGGGGTCTTCATCCTAATGAGGTAGGAGGTAGAGGAAGAATTCCAGGGAATTTCCTAAAAATAAGAGTCAGGGGGAAAGACTGTGTGGGGAGAAAGGATTTCTATAGTCTGTGCAAAGTCTTGGATGGGAGAAAACGTATGACCTAGAAAGAATGCAAGTACTAGAGTTTTAAACTGTGGGCTGGTAAAGTGGTGAGATCAGAGTCAGACTGATTTTCAACCCACAGGAAGTCCATGTTAAAGAGTCTAAACTTTATCCTGAGAGCAATGAGGTGCCACTGAAGAGTTATAAGCAGGGAGAGATCTGTATTTTAGAACTATTTTAGAACATTGAGCCTTGTGAAAGTAAATAGCAAAGATCCTCAAAGTGCAATGTGAGCAACCCATGAGGTGTGCAAAGCAGTCTGTTGAAGGTGGGAAGAATATAGGAGATGTACTAATTTACCAGAAAAGAAAGGAAAGTATTGGCTGGGTGCATGCCTGTAATCTCAGCAATTTGGGAGGCCGAGGTGGCCAGAACACTTGAGTCCTAGAGCTCAAGATCAGCCTGGGCAACATGGTGAAACCCCGTTACTGCAAAAAATACAAAAATTAGCCCGGGGTGGTGATGGGCGCCTGCAGTTCCAGCTACTTGGGAGACTGAGGCAGAAGGATCACTTGAGCATGGGAGGTCGAGGCTGCAGTGAGCTGTGATCCAGCCGTTGCACTCCAGCCTGGGCAACAGAATGAGATCCTGTCTCAAAAAGAAAAAAAAGAGAAAAAAGTATTAAGCTTTACAAAAATGTAGTATATAGATTTCAGCATATAATTATATATAATTTATAAGTAAATATATTGGGAGTACATACTCAAAAATTTTGTGCTGATAGGGATGTGCAGTCAAACACGTTTAGAGACCCCGGCCATAGGAGATGACCTGGAAGAACGCCCAGGAGGTGGCTTCTCCTCAGCTCATGCTTGGTAGGTTTGCTCCCGTCCCGGGGAAGCAGGGCTCCTCCCAAGACTTTGTTCACAACGGAGGCTTACAGCAGGAGCCCCCAGCACTGCATGCTCAATGATGTATAGACTAAGTGGAAGAGTTTCCCGGCTATGCATCCCAACTCTGTCCCCAGCAGCATGCTTTCCAGGAAAGGGAGGAACCCAGGTGTTCCAAGGTAGGAGGAACAGAAACAGGAAGTGCTGGCAGGACTCAGGGGAGGGAAGCTAGCAGGGCCACTTGGCCGACAGCCTCAAGGTTGAGGAGCCTCAAGTTTTGGCTGCTGTTCAATGACAAGTCTGTGCAGGGGAACACAGTGAGACTTTTTCACAAATGCAGACTTTGACCTTGAGCGACATCGTTTTCTAAGAGGCATGCACTAACCATTACAGAGGCTGTTGCCATGGTGACTCATGAGTGGCCGCTGTTTGTGAGAGTGAAGAGCTCAGGCTGTACTTCTGGAAGAGAGAGTTTTGTCATGTTGAAACTCCTCCTATACCTTTGGTGGCCTCTCTCCAGGAGAGCACTTTGAGATATGAAAAGACCATGTGTGTGTGCTCCTTGTAGAGGGTGAGCGTGTCGCTTGATGAGGAACCTTTGAATAAACAGACTTTCTCATTCGACCTGGCTTCATGAGAGGTTTTCCTCTGAAATGTTTTTTATTTAGTATTTATTTTTCTCTTAGCTTTAAATTGAATTTATGTAAAATAGGATTTTGCAATCACCTTTTGTTGTTTCATGCGTGTCCTTTTTATTTATTTATTTATCTTTGAGACGGAGTCTCACTCTGTCGCCCAGGCTGGAGTGCAGGGGCGCGATCTCGGCTCACTGCAAGCTCCACCTCCCGGGTTCACGCCATTCTCCTGCCTCAGCCTCCGGAGTAGCTGGGACTACAGGCGCCCGACACCACGCTGGGCTAGTTTTTTGTATTTTTAGTAGAGACGGGGTTTCACTGTATTAGCCAGGATGGTCTCGATCTCCTGACCTCGTGATCCGCCCGCCTCGGCCTCCCAAAGTGCTAGGATTACAGGCGTGAGCCACTGCGCCTGGCCCGTGCATGCCCTTTTAAAATATCTGCTCTGTGTACTATTTTCAGGCTATTTTAATCTTTTACGATCCTCATCACTTGCCGTTAAATAATTAATTGTTGTCAATTGCACACCGAATTTTTTTTCAAATGTCAGCCTCATCCAGAATACAATTTAAGTAGAAACCAACCACAAATAATGTAAGAATTTAGATACTGTAGGTTTACAAATTTTTATTTGGCTCACAATGTATTAGGTAATCATTTTATTGTTATCCCACGGTTCATTATTAGATCCTATGGAAATCCATCACCACTGGTACTAGTTAAATATGAGGGTAGAAGGGAGGGGGACCTCAAAAAATCCAAGGGCTACCTGGTTTCACTGAAGATCCTTAGAAGTTGTTTAGACTAGAGTGTGAACGTGGAGAAAAATTTAAGACCTATTTAGGAGGTTAAAGCAGTAGAATTGTGTTGTACTGAGTGTGGAAGGTGAAGACAGGCAATAGTTGGAGACAACAGCGAGGGTCCTGCTTGTGACCTGCATGGTGGTTCCATTCCCTGAGATAGGGAACCATCGAAGTGGACCAGTTTTTAGCTAGAAGACAACAAATTCAATCCTGAACATGTTGAGCTTGAGCAACTTTGTCTTTGTATTAAATATCTATTGTAGAGATGGGGTCTTGCTATGTTGCCCAGGCTGCCCTTGAACTCTTGGACTCAAGTGATCTGCTCACCTCAGCCTCTCAAATGCTGGGATTAGAGGCATGAGCCCCTGCACCTGGCTACAAGAAACTTCTGAGACATCCAAGTGGAGAAGATGTGGAGTTGAGAATAGAAGCTTGGGCTAGCAATGTTAATTTGGAAGTTGTCATATGGATAATGATTGAATCTATCAGCAGAGCTCAGATGAATGGAGATCTAGAAATCTCAAGAAGAGTATTGGCCGGGCACAATGGCTCATGCCTGTAATCCCAGCACTTTGGGAGGCCGAGGCAGGTGGATCACCTGAGGTCAGAAGTTTGAGACCAGTCTGGCCAACATGGTGAAACTGCATCTCTACTAAAATACAAAAATTAGCCCTGCATGGTGGTGGGCGCCTGTAATCCCAACTACTCGGGAGGCTGAGGCATGAGAATCGCTTGAACCCGGGAGGCAGAGCTTGCAGTGAGCGGAGATTGCGCCACTGCACTCCAGCCTGGGTGACAGAGTGAGACTTTGTCTCAAAAAAAAAAGAAAAGTATAGAAGGAGAACAGAGCTTCGGACAAAGCATTAGGTAATTCTGATATTTAATGGTAAAAGGATGAATGTCTCAAGAAGGAAAATAAGTTGATGATGTGCTAAATGCTGTTTAGAGATTAGGTAAAGTGAGTGTGGAATGATGTTGAGAGCACTGGAGATCCCGCCGTAAACTACACTGGTGTGATGGGAGTGGATTGGGCAATGAGAAGTGAGGAGATAAAAATCATAAATCTATACACAGCTTTCACTAAATTTAGTCATAAAGGAGAGAAGAGAAAGGTGGAGGTTGCTGGAGGGAGTGCAAATCATGGCATAGTTTTTGGTTTTGTTAGGTTTAAGATGAGAGGGACATGAGGATGCCATGGAAAGAATCAGTTGAAAGGGATAGTTTGAAGCCACAGAGGAGCGAAGAGATAACTGCAAAAGCGGTCAGGAAGACCTCCCACAGGTCAGGAAGAAAGAACATCTCCTAATGTAACAGAAAGCACAGAGAGACTAGGTGCAAGTGCCAGGTTGGTGCAAAAGTAATTGAGATTTTTGCCATTAATTTAAAAGAAATCGAGAGAGTTCTTGGCTGTTGGCTTCATTTTACCCTAAGAAGCTAAGGGTGAGAAGGGAGGTAAAAGGATTAGAGGTTTGAGGAAAGCAGGAAAGTTTCAGAACTGTTGTCCAATAGAGAAAGAAAGGGAGTGAACCAGAGAAATATATTAAGACTTCCAGGCAGAGCTGGGAGTCCATTGAAGATTGGTGATTATTCATTTATAAACGCCTCTTTTCACAGGCCTAATGGAAAGACTGCCAAAAGCTTATTAAATAATTCCAGAATCTTTCTTGATGGTTACTTTTAATATGGACATCATGATAATTTTCCTACATATATTTTATCATCTATATTTTCCTTTCATCATGCTTGAACATCGAATTCAAATCCAAGAGAAAAGTTAACATAACTGAATCTAATTATTTTTTTCTTTACAATTAAAATGTACTAGACTGGCTGAAGCCAGTTAATCCATGAACCCACCCCCTCCAAAATACTAATATCTAGTACGAGTATTTGGAATGCTGATAAGGGTACACAGAAAAAACTGCAGCATTAACATAGCGGCCTTTGCAAGGTGGGCTGCTGGAAGGGTTAGCTAAAAGTGTGCAGAATTCAATAATTCATGGGGAATAAGGGAGTATTAATTGCCCAATACTTCATGGGCAATTAAGGAGATAGACAGTATTCAAAATCAGACTCATAATTTTTTTTTTTTTTTTTTTTTAGATGGAGTCTTGCTCTGTCTCCAGCCTGAAGTGCAGTAGCAGGATCTCGGCTCACTGCAACCTCTGCCTCCCAGGTTCAAGCGATTCTCCTGCCTCAGCCTCCCACATAGCTGGGACTACAGGCGCACACCACCACGCCCGGCTAATTTTTTGTATTTTAGTAGAGACGGGGTTTCACCATGTTGGCCAGGATGGTCTCGATCTCCTGACCTCGTGATCTGCCTGCCTCAGCCTCCCAAAGTGCTGGGATTACAGGCGTGAGCCACCACGCCCGGCCCAAGTTCAGAATGTTAGATAAACTCAAGAGCTTGAGTGCCCAAAAGCAAAGTATCCATGTAGTCTTGTAACGGACTGTGTGAGACCAACCGAAGGCTGCGTGACGGTTAATTTCATGTGTTGACTGGTCTAGGGTAATGGATGCCCAGGTAGCTAGTGAAATCTTGTTTCTGGGTGTGTCTGCGAGGACATTTCTCTTCTGCAAAGAGGTTGGCATTTGAATTGGTGGACTGAGTAAAGAAGATCCCGCTCGCTAACAGAGGTGGGCATCATCCCATCTGCTGGGAGCCTGAATGGAACAAAAGGCAGAGGAAGGGTGAATTCTCTCTTTCCTGGAGCTGGAACATCCATCTTCTCCTTCTCTTGGATATTGGAGCTCATCATTCCTGGGCTTTCGGACTTACACCAGTGGCCCTCTGGTTCTCACGCCTTTGGCCTCAAACTGGGAATTACACCACGGGCTTTCCTGGTCTCCAGTTTACAGACAGCAGATTATCAAACTTTTTTTTTTTTTTTTTTTTGAGACGGAGTTTTGCTCTTGTCGCCCAGGCTGGCATGCAATGGTGTGATGGCTCACTGCGACCTCCACCTCCCGGGTTCAAGCGATTCTCCTGCCTCAGCCTCCTGAGTAGCTGGGATTACAGGTGCCTGCCACCACGCCCACCTAATTTTTGTATTTTTAGTAGAGACAGGGTTTCACCATGTTGGTCAGGCTGGTCTCGAACTCCTGACCCCAGATGATCCACCCCCCCGCCGGCCTCTCAAAGTGCTGGGATTACAGACGTAAGCCACCGCGCCTGGCCTGTTTAACTTTTTGACCTCCATAATCATGTAAGTAATTTCCCATGATAGGTCTCCTCTTATATACCTGTATATCTCCTACAGGCTCTGTTTCTCTGGAGAACCCTGACTAATACAGGCTGATACAGTAAGAAATTCAATGAAATAACAAAGAAGGAAGATAATGAATTTTGAAGACAACCATTCTGGGAGGAATATGAATATAAAGAGAAACAAAGACAGAAATGAAAGAAAATATTTTAATTGCACCAATGTTTATTATTTGATCTCTTGCTATTAGGTTTCTGTCTCCTGGAGTCCTGAGGAGCTGGTGGTGGGGAAGCAGCTGGTGATCTTTCTCCAGGTGTTCCATTCGAAATAGTATAGCAGTTTCTTCACTGACGAAGTTTAGGAGAGTCCTAAAATGTGCCGGTCATTTCCATCTTCAGCTTTTCTCTTTGCTCTGTGTACTCTTGTGGGAGATGACCTTTCTCTTCATATAAGCACATCTCTCTCCTTTTTCTTTTTAAAGGGACAGGGTCTTGCTCTGTCGCCCAGGCTAGATAGAATGCAGTGGCATGATCACAGCAGCCTCTAACTCCTGGGCTCAAGCATCCACCTGCCTCAGCCTCCCAAAGTGCCGGGATTATAGGCGTGAGCCGCTGTGTCCAGCCTCTCCTTTTGTGTATGCTCAAGAAAAGTCTAAATAGAAGACCAGGATCCAAGTCAGGACGTTCCCTTTCCACCCACTCAGTGGCCTGAGGCAGCAGCCCAGAAATCTTCCTGCATTCTTCCATCTCCCTCACACCCATCCATACTTATCCATACTGATCCATCCACAAGTCCTCTCAGTTCCGCCTCTGAAACGTCTTTCAAATTCTTTCACCTCTCTCTCAATCCCTGTTTCTGCCTAGGGCCACCATCGTCGCTCACACAGATCACACCTGCCTCTCTGCCCATGCCGGCCCTCCACTCCTCCCTAATTCAGCAGCTGCACAGCCAGAGATTTGTCCCAGATGCAAATCTGATCATGCTAGTTCACGCTAAGCTGTGCAGTGGCTCTGGACTGCTCTGAGAATAGAGCCCAAACTTCTAGAACCTTGGCCGCAAGGCCCCTCGCCTGCCCTCTGTCTCACTTTCCCTAGCACTTAGGTGCCTGCCTGCCTGGACTTCTCTGGGATGCTTTCATCTCACCCTGCTCTCCTCCTTCCCTCATTTCCTCCATTCTCTTCTCTTCTTTCTACCCTATTCACTGGGCAAACTCCTAAAGCAGGTTGCTGTTTAGATACTGTTTACTCCAGAAAGCCTTCCTGAACCCAGCTGTTTCTTCTAGACCCCACCTTTTCCTTCCTTCAAACATCAAAGTCAAGAAACCCTTGTCGGCCGGGCGCGGTGGCTCCCAGCACTCTGTGAGGCCGAGGCGGGCAAATCACGAGGTCAGGAGTTTGAGACCAGCCGGGCCAACATGATGAAACCCCGTCTCTATTAAAAATACAAAAAATTAGCTGGGCGTAGTGGAGGGCACCTGTAATCCCACCTACTTGGGAGGCTGAGGCAAGAGAATGGCTTGAACCCGGGAGGCAGAGGTTGCAGTGAGCTGAGATCATGCCACTGCACTCCAGCCCAGGCAACAGAGTGAGACTCCATCTCAAAAAAAGAAAGAAAGAAAAGAAAAAAGAAAAAGAAATCCTTGTCACACTTTATTGCACCTATTTGCGTGAAAGCACAAATGAGCTTGAAGGTTCAAATATTGTGACTATCTAATAAGGACTAACAGTAGCTCTCTTTCCTGTGTATGTGTTTATTCTGCCTTCTCCCACTAAAGGGACAGCTCCTTTAGGGGAAGAATTTTGTCTGTTTCATTCATCCTTGCTGCTCAGGACCCAGGAGAGGACCCAGCAAAGATGCTGCGTTAACTTGGCCAAATGAGTGAAGGCAACAAATGCTCAGGGGAGCCAAAGAAAGACAGTTTTGGCCAGGCTTGGGCTTGAGTTCAAAGCAGAATAGCGTGTTGCTGTGCCCCAGATTGGAGGTGATAGAGGCAAGGTAACAGAGAAAGTCTCACTGGGAAAGTGAAGCCCAAGGAGGAAAGGGAAGACAGGTTAGAGCAATCGGTTGTCAGGGTCAGTCTGTTCTGCTCAGTGCTATACTCCTAAGCACAGCGGTTGGGCTGTAACAAGTTTCTGAAAATATTCAATTGAATGAATGAATGATCAAACGAATTCCTAATGCAGCCCACAGCTTTTTGGGACTTAGAAAATGAAACGCGGGCCAGGCGCGATGGCTCACACCTTGTCATTGAACCACCTTGGAAGGATGAGGTGGGCGGATCCCTTGAGCCCAGGAGTTCAAGACAAGCCTGGGCTACATGGCGAAACCCTTTCTTTAAAAAAAATACAAAAGTTACCTGGGCATGGTGGTGTGCACGTGTGGTCCCAGCTACTCAGGAAGCTAAGGTGGGAGGATTGCTTGAGCCCGGGAGGCAGAGGTTGCAGTGAGCTGAGATCATGCCACTGCACTCCAGCCTGGGTGACAGAACGAGACCTTTTCTCAAAAAAAAAAAAAAAAAGAAAATTGATCAGATTTGGGGAAAATGCTGATAAGACATTGAATTCTAGTAATGGAAATTCCAATATATTTGTTTCCATAAGAAATAAAACTGACAAGTGGGCCCAGAATTCATAAGACCTACCTTATTTTCCCTGAAGATTTGGAAAGTCAATCACATAATATTTCTTGATGAGCATAGATTCAGAGAAAGGGAAGTTATCATTTGAATGTTTAGTAACATATGGCTCTAACTGCCCAATTTCTTCATTTCTATAGTTGGTGGGTACACCTGCCAGTGAAGCCCCTGCACCCTGTCCACAAGGGCACCACCAGCCCCAGCCTTTCAGACTCTACTATTTTGGTCCTTTTTTGCCAACCAACCCCCATATTACAGTGACACATAATTTAGATAAGCCAACATCTTCTATTAGGTTATTAGGGCCTTTAACCAGCCTAAGAGTCTTTCCCCAGATTGGCACATCTCTATTGTGCCCCCTTGGAATTTCCGATTTTATGGTGGAAGCAACCACATTTCCCTCATTTCCAAGTCCTAAGGAGTCACCTGCCCCAAGCAACGTTTTCCACTTGAGCATTCTGAGACTGCGAAGGTGGGTGGAGCTGTAGACGCATTAGGTAATTTACTGGGTCAGTGACTCATTTGAAATTGAGGGCTTCTTGGCAATGACGTTTGAAAACAGAAAAATGTTGAGTCTAGGAGACAAGACAAGAATTAGAACAGCTATTGAGAGCTCCACAGCAAGGTGGCTGAGATTGCTTAGTAGAAAGAGGTTGGGGGCAAAGTGCCCACTCTGAAGCTAGAGCTTAGTCATTTTAAAATGAACAACCTGTGCTTGGTAACATGCGTAAATACCTTGTTATTTGTGTCTTCTATAATTACTTCTTATTCTCCCTTGATGTATGCAAGCTCTTGGAAACACTGAACAGTGTCTTATTGGTATTAATGACTAACAATAGCTCTTTTTCCTCTGTATGTGTTTATTCTGTCTTCTCCCACTAAAGGGACAGCTCCTTTAGGGAAAGAATTTTGTCTGCCTCATTCATCCCTGCTGCTCAGGACCCAGGAGAGGACCAAGCAAAGATGCTGCATTAACTGTCGCCAAATGAGTGAAGGCAATGAATGCTCAGGGGAGCCAAAAAAAGATAGTTTTGGCCAGGCTTGGGTTCAAGTTCAAAGCGGAATAGCGCATTCCTGTGGCCCAGACTGGACGCAGTAGAGGCAAAGCAACAGAGAGGGTCTCACTGGGAACGTGAAGCCCGAGGAGGAAAGGAAGACAAATTACAGAAACAGTTTGGCCCAGACAGGCCGTCATCTCCCAGTGCGCCCCTCAGCTGAAGCCTGGGAGAGCTTGTGTGTGTGTGTGTGTGTGTGTGTTTGTGTGTTTGTGTGTGTGTTTGAGACGGAGTCTTGCATTGTTGCCCAGGCTGGAGTGCAGTGGCACGATCTCTGCTCACTGCAACCTCCACCTCCCAGGTTCAGGTCCTGCTTCAGCCTCCCAAGTAGCTGGGATTACAGGCACCCGCCACCAGGCCTGGCTAATTTTTTGTATTTTTAGTAGAGACGGGATTTCACTGTGTTGGCCAGGCTGGTCTTGAACTCCTGACCTTGTGATCCTCCTGCCTGGGCCTCCCAAAGTGCTGGGATTCACTGAGGCAAATAGCAGTGCAGGAATAGACAACTAGCTCATATCTAGCAGCAAACACCATGGAAGAATTTAGTGTTTGAAAAATATGAACTTATTTACAGTAACAAAATGTCACATCAGTAAGTTACTTTTTAATCGACAAATAAACCAAAACAGAACAAAGGAAAAGATTAGAAAAAGTTTTAATGGCTTTGTTAACTTGACTTCCTGAAACTGTTTTGAGCCATACTTTCACTGTTTTCATCTTTAAAAAATAAAAACAATAAGCCTGGAACCTGGACTAAGAAAACAATTAAAAACGAAAAAAATAAAAACAGACTTGGCACCATGGTTTATGTCTGTAATCCCAGCACTTTGGGAGGCTGAGGTGGGGGGATCATTTGAGCCAGAGTTCAAGATCAACATGGGCAACATAGTGAGACCCCTATCTCTACAAAAAAAAAAAAAAAAAAATTAGGCAGACATCCTGGTGCATGCCTGCAGTCCCAGCTGCTCGGGACATTGAGGTGAGAGGGTTGCTTGAGCCCAGGAGGTGGAGGCTGCAGTGAGCTGAGATCGTGCCATTGCACTCTAGCCTGGGAGACAGAGCAAGACCCTGTCTCAAAAATAAAATAAAATAACCCACCTACATTTTCCTCATGACCTTTTAATATTGCTATATCAGAAAGTGATATAGATTAAGTCACTTTAGCTCCCTGTGAAAATATTTTACAGAATTCTCTTGGAACCGTATGTTCCTGTCTCTCCACAAGAGAGGCCATATGTTTTTGAAATTTCCATTGAAGACTTACCCTGCCTTAGCTTTTCAGTATCCCGGGATCAGCTTCTCTTACACTTTTATACTGGAGAACGAATTCATCTCCTAAAGAACTGGTGACTTCTTAAAATGTCAGATAACAACAGACACATAAATCATCATCCCTCTTTGACTGCCATGAAGTCACAGCGAAATGTTGGGCTCAGCTACGGATCCTGGCACAGGAATCCTTGAGTTCAAGAAGCACTCAGGCCACACACACTTGTGTGTCTGTCCCTGCCATGCTGTAAAATCACAGAAGTGTGTGAATGATGAAGATTTTATTCATGCTGCTTGGTTTTGTCCCACAATGAGCTCCAGGAAAATTCCAGACTGCCACTGTTTTTTTTTTTTCCTCAGCCTCTTCCAGATGTTCATTAACTACTGTTGCCTCCATTTATCTAAGTTGGCACACAGAAGAAGGTATGTTAAGTGATTATGTGCTTTGTACTTCTTTTTTTTTTTTTTTCCCTTGAGACGGAGTTTTGCTCTTGTCACCCAGGCTGGAGTGCAATGTCGTAATTCTCCTGCCTCAGCCTCCCAAGTAGCTGGGATTACAGGTGCCCACTACCACCCCCGGCTAATTTTTGTACCCTTAGTAGAGACACAGCTTCACCATGTCGGCCAGGCTGGTCTCGAACTCCTGACCTCAGGTGATCCGCTCGCCTTGGCCTCCCAAAGAGCTGGGATTACAGGCATGAGCCACTGCATCTGGCTTGCTTTCTTCTTGCTTATATTTCAATTAACAAACAAGCCATATAATGTATTGCTTTTTTAAGATACAAAGAACAATGGTAGAGGTTACTGAAAAACACCTTGCTTGGATGTCATTCTCATTTTGTGCATGATCATATTCATATGCAATTATTTTAAGTTCCAAAAGACAGAAAAGTTCACACTCGGAAAGGTAAACCTTCCACCCACCTGGAGACTAAACTGTACAATTATCTCCCTCCTTCATTACATGGTTCTTCTTTAACTATCCACTTTTTATATTTTTATTTTTATTTTTGAGACAGAGTCTCACCCTGCCGCCCAGGCTGGAGTGCAAACATGCAATCTCGGCTCACTGCAACCTCCGCCTTCCGGGTTCAAGCAATTCTCCTGCCTTAGCCTCCAGAGTAATTGGGATTACAGGTGCGCACCACCATGTCTGGCTAATTTTTGTATTTTTAGTAGAGACAGGGTTTCACCATATTGGCCAGGCTGGTCTCGAACTCCTGACCTCAGGTGATCCACCTGCCTCGGCCTCCCAAAGTGCTGGGATTACAGGCGTGAGCCACTGCACCCAGCCAACTACCCATATATACTTTTTTTTTTTTGACTTTTTCTTTTTGAGACAGAGTTTCGCTTTGCTCTTGTCCCCCAGGGTGGAGTACAATGGCACGATCTCTACTCACTGCAACCTCCACCTACTGGGTTCAAGCGATTCCCCTGCCTCAGCCTCCCAAGTAGCTGGGATTACAGGCACCCACCACCACGCCTGGCTAATTTGGTATTTTTAGTAAAGATGGGGTGTCACCATATTGGTCAGGCTGGTCTTGAACTCCTGACCTCAGGTGATCCACCCACTTCAGCCTCCCAAAATGCTGGTTTTACAGGTATAAGCCACCTGGCCCAGCCTACTACCCACATTTTAATCATCCTTACGTAGCTTTAATTGCAAATTCCTGGACTCTTCTTGAGTAAGCTGACTTTTGAAAAATGCATGAATTTTAAAACAAAATTAACCCTATGTATAGTATATATCAATTAAGCAAATGTTTCTTCACAGACTGAGGTGAAATCTTCGGGGGTCCACGAAGTGTTTGTAGTGGCCGGTTTCGTGGCATAGTGATCATTATAACAGTGATTCATTTCACCAAGTATTAAGCACCTACTCTTTCCCGTAGGCCTGGCTAGGCCTAGAGATGGAGGAAAACGTCAAAGTAATGGAATACAATATCCTTGTCTTTGAGGTATTAACCTGCAGTAGCTGAGGGCATATGTCCTGTTTACCTGAAAAAACAATTTTTTTCAAAGCAAAACAAAAATTAATTATAGAGATTTGAGGTTTGGTTAGTCTTAGAAGGTTTTGTGGACTTCAAATTTCATCTTAAAAGAAGTGTAGGATTTAGATGACTGGAAATAGGGAAAGAATTATTGTTCCAGGAGAGGAAAAGCATAAACCGAGTTTGCATAAAGGGAACCAGTAGTGAGCCATGGGCACAGGCAGGGTGGAAAGTTAGACGGGAAAGGTGCCTCTCCTAGAAAACTGGTTGGAAGGCTGACCAGGGACTGGGGAGTTAGGGGTTAATCTCTCAATCCGATATATGCTAAAGAACCATTGTGAACTCTTAATCAGAGCAGAGGGATAATGGAAATGATGCTTCAGAAAGAATCCACTTGTGCAGATAAGAGGCTTTGTAATTACCAGAGAGGAATAGGATATGAAGGTTTTCATCAGCATCAAGAGCTGTCTGAGCTGCAGAAAATTTCTAGCTTCTACACAAAATGAAGGTTTATATAGAACAGCAGAGAGGAGAAGAAAAGGGCATTAAAGGATAACTTTTAATTCCACAAAGAATGGTAACGAAAGACTAAAGTTTCTAGCATAGTACTAGTGACATCGTAGGGCTTAATAAGTATTATTACAGTTGTTATTTTTATTACCATTTTAAGATTATTTTGCATGATGTTTTCATAGCAATAGAAAATAAGAAAATCTTACATTTGTTATGTGACAGCTAGGTTAGAATCTGATTTCTTTTTTTCCCCTTTCAACAACCCTGAGATGTCGATTATCCCTTTTTTTTTATAGTAGAAGATACAAGGCTCAGAATGACTAAGAAACATACAGCTAGTGAGTGGTACAGGCTGGATCTGGACCCAGATGTGTCTCGCTCCAGAATCCATGCTTCTTCCACTCTGTCTCTGAATTGGGAATCAAAAGATCTGCCAGAAGCTAAAAGAGCAAATGTGTGATTGAAAAACCAATGACTGCTCTAAACTCACCTAAAGAGTCAGTGAGAAGGGAGAATGTTTAACAGTGAAGCGCAGAAAAGGGCAGGGTCTGAGGAGCAGAACTGGGAGATGATTTAGCTCCGTGCAGCAGAAAGTTTGGTGACTGACGGATACACATCAAATGGTTTCCCTGAAACACAGGCAGTGTTCCGGCTTTACAAGGCTGGGATGCTGTCTCCCTTATCTTTTATGCGAGATTTTATCATCGGCTTCCTGGATACCTTGTTAGAGAGGAATACGTGCTCTCTGTACCGCGGAGGACCCGGAAAGGAACAGTTCAGTGCTGGAAAGGAAATTGCAGTTCACAGAGTAAAACACCGATGATCCCATTGATACCCTGGCCTCTAGTGAATTCTATTAGCATGAGCCTCTTTCTCCGTGTACCTAATCAGTATGTCATACTAATGAGATGAAGTTTCTGAATGTGCACATCTAAGAGAAGAATACCATAAAGGAATCCTACTATGAGGCCCCTAGATGGCTAACCAGAGGGCCTCTTTCTGGTGACGCCGACCCTTGAGAAGTTCAACAAAGCGAGGTGCATATCACTGAGCACTTTCCATCCCTTGCTGCGTCTCCACTTCCTGGAAACCTTTTCTGCTCAAATTATCCTACTTAAAGTTTTTGTTTAGAAGTGGCATACATCAATCCTTTTTTTTTTTTTTTTTTTTTTTAGACAGAGTCTTGCTCTGTCGCCCAGGCTGTAGGAGTGCGATGGCGCGATCTCGGCTGACTGCAACCTCTGCCTCCCAGTTTCAAGCGATTCTCCTGCCTCAGCCACCCGAGTAGCTGGGATTATAGGCACCCGCCATCATGCCGGTTAATTTTTGCATTTTTGTAGATATGGGGTTTCAACATGTTGACCAGGCTGGTCTTGAACTCCCGATCTCAGGTGATCCGCCCACCTCAGCCTCCCAAAGTGCTGGGATTACAGGCCTGAGTCACCGTGTCCAGCCGCATACAGCAATTCTATTCACATTTTACTCATCAAAGCAAGTCACATGGCCAAGCCTCATGTAAATGATGTGTGCAAGTATAATTTTCCATAGTAAAGGCAACAAATAATTGGGAGTAATAGTGTAATCTACTACGTGGCATGGATTTGCTTACTAATTTGTTTAATTGAAGATTCTATTCTTTCCAGCAATCAAAAAGAATGTTGTCTCTCTTCAATAAATTCCCTGTTACTTCTATTGGAATTTGGTTTAATGGTTCATATTTAAAAGTATTTTGCTGGTTGTTTCCACTTAAGAATTTTGATTTACTTCTCTAAGTTATCAGCTTTGCTTCAGTAACAAACAGGTACAAAAATGTCAGTTGCTTACAATAAAAACCATGTGTATGTCTTGCTTGTGTTACATGTGAGTCTACCACAGTCAGCCCGGGACTGTGCTTCTGCTCCAGACCGCCGGTGGGCGGCAGGTCTGTTCTGGTGTCTTCTCAATCTGGGACCTCCACCAGAGAAGCAGCCCTGATCCGGGACAGGCTGCGATAGGGGGCAGAGCAAGGGTCCTTGCCAAAGCAGGTGTATTAATCAGGGCTCTTCAGAGAAACATAGATAGATAGATAGATAGATAGATAGATAGATAGATAGATAGATAGATCATATATATAGATAGGATATATAGAGATAGGATATATGGATATAGATATGATATATAGAGATAGATACATATATATGATTTCGTCTAGGAATTGGCTCACACCATTATGGAGGGTGAGAAATCCCATATGCCACTGTCTACAAACTGGAGAACAGGGAAAGCCAGTGGTGTAATTCAGTCCAAGTCCAAGGGTCTGAGAAGGGAGGTTGGAGGGGACTGGTGATATAAATCCCTGTCTGATTCCGAAAGCCTGAGACTCAAGAGTTCTGATATCCAAGGACAGGAGAAGATGGAGTTCCTGGCTCAAGCAGAGTGAACAAATTCACCATTTCTTCTTTTTTTGTTATTCGATTTGAGCTCTCAACAGATTGAATGATGCCCACTCACAATAATGAGGGTAGATTTTCTTTACTAAAGCTACCAATTCAAAGGCTCACCTCCTCTGGAAACACCCTGCAAGCATGTTTTACCAGCTATCTGGGCATCCCTTAGCCCAGTCAAGTTGACACCTAAAATTGGCCATCACAGCAGGCAATCACATTGAAGCTTCTGCTCATCCTGGTGTAAGTCACATCTGCTCAGATTCCATTGGCCCGGGCTGACAACAAGGTGTGGAAGCACAACCTGCCCCCGTTTATGGGGGTGATGTGAGGTCACCTGCAATGAACAGGGATGTCTAATCCTCTCTGACACAGTGGAGGAGTGAACAGCTGCAGATGATAAAACCATCTACCATCAAATCTTCCAGAGGTTTCCACTGAGTTTTGTCAGTGCAGTCAGCCCTCTGTATTCTTGAGGTCCTCATCTTCAGATTCAACTAGCCACAGATCAAAAATATTTGGAAAAAGAACAATTAAAAAAATAAAAAATAATACAAATTTAAAAACCAATATAGTATAACAACTATTTACATAGCATTTACATTGTATTAGGTATTATAAGTAATCTAGAGATGATTTCTAGAAAAGGGCCAGGCACGGTGGCTCATGCCTGTAATCCCAACACTTTGGGAGGCTAAGGTGGGTGTATCACCTGAGGTCAGGAGTTTGAGACCAGCCTGGCCAACATGGTGAAAACCATCTCTACTAAAACACAAAAATTAGCCGGGTGTTATGGCGTGCGCCTGTAGTCCCAGCTACTCGGGAGGCTGAGGTAAGAGAAGCGCTTGAGCCCGGGAGGCAGAGCTTGCAGTGAGCTGAGATCGCGACATTGCACTCCAGCCTGGGCTACAGTGGGACTTGGTCTCAAAAAATAAAAAATAAAATTTAAGAAGTATAGGAAACAATGTGCATAGGTTATATGCAAATACCACGCCATTTTATATCAGGGCATGAGCATCCAAGGATTTTGGTATTCTCGAGGGTCCTGGGACCAGTCCCCTGAGGATGCCAAGGACAGCTGTAATTTGAATGACTGTTGACACACACAATGTACTACTTCCGTCACTGCATTTTTGCATTGACCCTCATGCCTTTTCCAACGGCGGTATTATCCACAGCCTCATTTCAATAACATTGCGTTTTGGAACCAAGAGACAAACTACAAACATCAGGGCAGATTATGGTCTGGAGATAAGACTGCGTGTTACTAATATGAAATGTCATGATTTTGTTGACTGACTTGTTTATATCCTCACTTCATTCCAAAATTGATTTGATACAAGAGACGGGGATTAAATGTAATTTTGGATTTTTTTCTCTCCTATTTCTCTTTCTGTTGTTTTTCCCCTTTTTTCTTCTTCCCCTACTCCAGACACCAGGGAATAAAAGAAAAAGCTAAATGTTAATTATTTATTTGGCAGTTATTGAATGTCTATTACCAGGGCATGACAAGTGCTATGGATACAATAATAACTAAGAAAGTGTTTCTGCTCATTCGAATAAGTGTCTATTTGGTGGAGGAAACTAACACAGACAAACAAAAACATACAATCAAATATGATAAATACCCTAAGAGTGTTGTGGGGGTTTTGTTTTCTTTTTTTTTTTTTTTTTTTCTGAGATAAGATCTCACGCTATCCCTCAGGCTGGGGTGCCGTGGCATGATCATAGCTCACTGCAGCCTGCAGCCTGCAGCTTCTGGGCTCAGGCAATCCTTCCACCTCAGCCTCCCAGGTAGCTGGGGACATATAGCCTCTCACCACCACACCCAGATAATTTTAAAACTTTTTGTAGAAACGAGGTCTCGCTATGTTGCCCAGGTTGGTCTCGAACTCCTGGCCTCAAATGATCCTCCCTCCTCAGACCCTCAACGTGCTGGGATTACAGGTGTGAGCTGCCAAGCCCAGCCACCCTAAGAGAGTTTATATAAACAGAAGAGTATTTTTACTACAAAGTACTAGAGAGGTTCTTTCAGGAAAAGTCAAATTCTTTCATTCTTCCTTTCTGGGGAAGTTTCACAGAGTTGATATTAAATACAGAAGAAAGAGTGGGCCACCAGAGACCTCTGAACAGAATGGTTCAATCAGATTTGTTTTACAATGATAACTCTGGTGACAGCATAAGGTGGACAAGGTGAGAGAGGCAAGGAGACCAGCTGGTGATTGCAAACAGCCAACTGACAGGGTGCGGGCGGGTACTGTGGTGTGGCAATGAGCAGAGGAAGAGGGAGGGCTCAAGAGACACTTAAGAAACAGAAATGGACAAGAGTTGGCAATTGCTTATATGTGAGTGATGAAGACAAAATAGTGCAAAATGTGTTCCCTGTAATATACTTCTGGGCGAGGTAGAAAGGGTTGACTTTGGCTACATGTGTAAACACAATACGGTAAATCCTCACTTAACACCATCAATAGGTTCTTGGAAACTGCAACTTTAAGCAAAACGACAGATAACAAAACCTATTTTCCCATAGGTTAATTGATATAAACCAGAGTTAAGTTCCTAGGGCATAATTTCCCATCACAAAAATATCATCAAAGTTCTAAATAAAGGCCAAAACACTTCTCATGTTACACATTGTAATAAATGTGAGCCATACAAATATTTAAGAAGAACTAATCAAAACAAGTAAGAAGTATCCCCTTATTTCAGGTCCGGGTGGTGGGAAAAGGAAGTGGGGGGAAATAGGGGCATCCCAGCAGTTCAGGATGCCAGGTGGGACCCGCTCCGGTCAGGATGCCCTCCCATCGCAGGGTGACCCACATTCACCCACACTTACCCTCACCTGCACTCACTCACACTCACCCACACTCACCCCCCCACACACACACCCACTCACGCTCACCCTCCCCATCCACACTTACCCTCACTCACCTGCACTCACTCACACTCACCCACCCACACACACACCCACTCACGCTTACCCTCCCCCATCCACACACCCTCACCTGCACTCACACTCACCCACACTCACCCACACCCACTCACGCTCACCCTCCCCCATCCACACTTACCCTAACCTGTACTCACACTCACCCACACCCACTCACACACCCTCCCCATCCACACTTACCCTCACTCACCCGCACTCACACCCTTACCCTCACACCCTCACAACCCTCACCCACACCTCACCCACTCTCACTCACCCTCACCCACACTCATCCTCACACTCACCCTCACCCACTCACACCCACACCCACATTCAGACTCACCCACACCCACACTCACATTCACCCACACCCACATCCTCACTCACCCTCACCCACACTCACCCCCACACTCACCCTAACACCCTCACCCATACACCCACACCCTCACTCACCCACACTCACCCTCACCCACACCCTCACCCTCACACTCACCCTCACTCTCACCCACACTCACCCACACACTCACCCACACCCACACTCATGCACACTCACCCACACACCCAGATCCTCGCCCTCACCCACCCACACACCCTCACCCATGCTTACCCTCATACCCACACCCACCCTCACCCAGTCACCCACACTTACCCTCACTCATACTGTCACCCACTCACCCTCACCTACACTCACCCACACTTTCTCATGCTCACCCACACTCACACTCGCTTTCACCCACGCTCACCCACTTTCTCACACTCATCCTCACACCCACACTCACACTCATCCTCACACTCACCCACACTCACACTCATCCTCACACTCACCCACACTCACACTCATCCTCACACTCACCCCCACTCTCACACTCATCCTCACACTCACCCACACACACTCATCCTCTCACCCACTCATCCTCACACCACACACACTCACACTCATCCTCACACCACACTCACACTCATCCTCACACCCACACTCACACTCATCCTCACACTCACCCACACTCACACTCATCCTCACACTCACCCCCACTCTCACACTCATCCTCACACTCACCCACACACACTCATCCTCTCACCCACACTCATCCTCACACCACACACACTCACACTCATCCTCACACCACACTCACACTCATCCTCACACCCACACTCACACTCATCCTCACACTCACCCCCACTCTCACACTCATCCTCGCACTCACCCACACACACTCATCCTCTCACCCACACTCATCCTCACACCACACACACTCACACTCATCCTCACACCCACACTCACACTCATCCTCACACTCACCCACACTCACACTCATCCTCACACTCACCCACACTCACACTCATCCTCACTCTCACTCATCCTCACACTCATCCACACTCACACTCATCCTCTCACCCACTCTCACAGTCATCCTCACACCCACACTCACACTCATCCTCACACTCACACTCATCCTCACACTCACACTCATCCTCACACTCACACTCATCCTCACACTCTCACACTCATCCTCACACTCTCACACTCACCCACACTCACACTCATCCTCACTCACCCACACTCACACTCATCCTCGCACTCACCCACACTCTCTCACACTCATTCTCACACTCGCCAACACTCACTTTCACCCACGCTCACCCACATTCAACCACACACCCTCACCCATGCTGAGACCATGGAGACATGCCAGTTAAACGAATGGGCCCAGCTTTGGGACACGGGAGGAACCCAGAACCCTGGGAGAAAAGCCCCGCGGCAGTGAGAACAGGCAGCCCCCACCGACGGGGCCTGAGGGAAGCGTTTTCCTCTCTTCAGCATGACGTCCTTATTGGAGGGCCTGCCGCAGCTGCTGTTCTCCTGCCTGGTGTGTGGGCTCCTCTTATTTCTGGGAGTGGAGATGAATGGAACGACCCCCTCTGACCTTACTAGTGACGTTGAACAACTCAGACTCTGGTGAGCTCTGAGTGACCCGGCCGACCCTCCGCTGCAGGGCAGACTCAGCCCAGGAGTGGCCAAGCACAGGGCGGCCCCCCAGCTACACTGAGTGGTCCAAGGAGGGGTCACCTGACCAAGAGTGAGGTCAGGGCTCTTCCCTGGGATGCCTTCAGACTAAGAGAAGGAGAAACCCTTTCTTTTCCAGTTTCTGGTGGCAGGACCCAGGGCTGCCAGGGATCCTGGTTCCCAATCAAGGGGAAACCATTCTGAGAGAATTCAGGGAGGCGCGGGGCGTTGCTGCCCTTCAAGCATTCGGTTCCAGTGAGCCCTGAGGTCTGCCACACCCTTGCGCTTTCTGAGGTCTGGTCAGTGTGCCAAGAAACGGCCTTTCCCTTCCCAAGTGAGTCTGTATTACTCGTACCCAGAGTCCTATGCCTGCTCAGAGGGTTACTATTATTATAGTTAATTTTTTTAGAGACAGGGTCTCACTCTGTTGCCCAGGCTGGAGAGCAGTGGCACAGTTATGGCTCAGTGCAGCCTCAAATTCCTGGGCTCAAGCCATTCTCCTGCCTCAGCCTCCTGAGTTGCTGAGACCACAGGTGTTCACCATCACACCTGGCTAATTCAGAGGGTTACTGTGAGGATTCGTGTTCATGTATGATGGCACTATGGCGGATCCCTCCTCAGGTCTCTTGGCCTCTCTTGATCTGGGGCCTCAGGCCAGACCATCACTGTAGCCATCAGCTCTGCATGGACTCCTACCAACTTCACACAGGCACAAACTCCAGAGATCAATTCTTCCCCCTTCCTCCCCTAAATGGTGTCCCAAAAAGTGATTGTCTTAGAAGATGGTTCCTATGATCAAGTTTGACCCCAAGGTAGTGGCCAGATTGGTAACTCACCTTCCTCATGGTTGCCCTACCTTCCCCGCTGCGCTCCCTGAGCTCTCTCCTGCCCCCTGGGCTTGTGCTACCTAATACAGCAGCACAGGTATAAGCTGAGGCGAGAATTTAGGCTACAGAGAGCATTCAGTGGACGGGAGCTGGCGTCATGATGTCTTCTGTATCTGACGACCTTCACCCCCATCAATTGCTTTAGGACTTCAGAGTCCCTCCTGCACTGAAAAAGCCAAGGCTTCTTGTATTCATTTACCTTCTCTCTCCCTTCCTTCCTTCCTTCCTTTTTCTTTCTTTTCTTTTCTTTCCTTCCTTCTGTCTTTCTTTCTTTCTTTTCCCTCCTTCCTTCCTTCCTTTCTCTCTCTTTCTTTCTTTCCTTTTTTTTTTTTTTTTTGGTCTCACTCTGTCACCCAGGCTGGAGTGCAATGGCATGATCTTGGCTCACTGTAACCTCTGCCTCCCAAGTTCAAGCAGTTCTCATGCCTCAGCTTCCCGAGTAGCTGGGATTACAGTTGTGTGCCAGCACGCCTCGCTAATTTTTTGTGTGTTTTCAGTAGAGATAAGGTTTCACCATGTTGGCCAGGCTGGTCTCAAACTCCTGACCTCAGGAGATCCACCCACCTAGCCCTTCCAAAGTGCTGGGATTACAGGCATGAGCCACCACGCCTGGCTGTTTTCCCCTCTTTCTTTACTTCTCTTCCCCAGCTCCACCCTTTCTTTCTCTTGTTTTCCATCTTTTTGTTACTGTATTGCCTAATGTTTCAAAGAAAGTCTGCATATTTTGCAATGTTTAATAAAATATTTTCTCATTTACAGAAATCATTTCCTTTGGTTAAACCTTGTGTGTCAAACAGAGACCCAACAGGAGAAAAGAGGGCATGCTCAGATAAGGATATGTTGATGTGAGTTAATAAAGAGGCTATTTACAGAAGTGTGGCTAAGGTATAGAGAAACTGCAAGAGATACCGCAGCCCCACCTCTGGGTGAACCAGACAAGGAGAAGAGCATTTGCCAGAACAGAAAGGAGCCAGTGGTGAGGGAGAACCACCCTGAGAGGAGCTCTGACCTGGGGTTAGGGATCAGACAGCCAGGGGTAGAGTGCAGAGAGGCAGTACTTTTGCTTTCCAATCATCAACACCAAAGCATTATACTTCTTATATATTGAAGTGTTCCTTCAATATATAATAACATTTAAATTGCCTTTTTTTTTTTCTTTTCAGAGACGAGGTCTTGCTATGTTGCCCAGGCTGGTCTCAAACCCTGAGCTCAAGTGATTCCCCTGCCTCAGCCTCCCAAGTGCTGGAATTACAGGCATGAGCCACCATGCCCGGCCCTGAAAATCATAAAGATTGTCTTTCTTTATGATTTTCAGAAATTACCAGTTTATAGTTCTATGAAAAGAAATATGTGTGGTCTTTATGATACACCCACCCAGAGCATAAATATAATGTGCATATTAGAAGCTTGTCTATCAGAAAATAGGAAGATATTTTAACTCTTAATACTCAAATCAAGAAGGTTAAGGAGGGTAAAATTTCTTACAAAAGGGAATCCTCTCTTCACTGCTCCCTGCGTACACATTTTGATGAGAATTTCCAGTTCCAGACTCTCTAGTTCTAATAAACCTACCTACTCGGGGAGACAAATATGAAATAGTACAAATAAGCAAATTGAAGAAGTCATACTTCACTTGAGTCCCTTTCAAGGCCTTCTGTAAATGAGCCATTATAATAAACTCATGAAAATGCATAAAAATAACATTCAGAATGAACAACATGACTCATAGTTTTGAGTAAAATTGATGTGAACTTTTTACAGGAAGTTTACACATAAATTCTCACTTAAATGTGGAAACGATATAACTCGATTTTGGTATGATTATAGTTTCATTTAATTATGATTTAGGATAATAATTTGAGAAAATACATCATTGAATCATAGTTCAAGGGAAATTTATTTTTAATTTAAAATGAATGTAACTGAAGAAACTAAGCTGTCACATTTTAGAACAAGTAAACGAGCAAGGAAACCCCGGAAGCCACACTCAAGGAGTCCGCTTTTCCTTCCAGTGAGCTGGCCAGAGTTCTGCTAGAAAATACAGTGACTGGGCCGGCCGACTGAGGCAGAGCTACCTGTCACATAGGGATGTTCACAAATATTGCTGAAAGCAAGACTGACACCCATTTTAAGGATTCCATCTGACTAAAAACCTCTGCACAATCAACAAAATGAAAAAGCATGTGGAGTGGGAGAAAATATTTTCAAACCATGCATCTGATAAGTTCCCCAAAATATATGGGAAACTCAACTCGATAGCAAAAAAAAAAAAAACAAAAAAAAAAACCCAAGTAACCTCATTTTAAAGATAGGCAAAGGACCCAAATAGACATTTCTCCAAAAAGACATAGAAATAGCTAACAGGTGTATGGAAAGATGGTCAGCATCATTAATTGTTACCAAAACACCAGGGGTTTGGACTGGGCCCTGCTGCTCACTGCACAGAAAGCCAATCACTGAGACAATGAGTATTGCTGAGGAAGAAGCTTTAATCTGGTGCTGCAGTCAAGGAGATGGGAGCTCAGTCTCATATCCTTCTCCCTGACCGGCTAAAACTAGAGGTTTATATAGCAGGGAAGAAATGTAACAATGTGTAAGAAAACAGAAACTAGAGAGGGGCGAGGGAGTAATCATGATGAATGAGGGTCCCACATCTCATTGTCTGGATGTGGTGATCTGGTGTTCTTCGCTATTTTTTTTCGACAGGTCTGAAAGTGGTTTTCAGAGGAAGGAACTCAGATAAAACAAATGTAAGGTTCTGATTTTAAGACCAGAATGGTCAATTTCTATGTTTATCCATAAAATTATCTATGGGACTATTGGGTTGGTTTCATAATCATCAGGGAAATGCCAATTAAAACCACTATGAGATATGATCTCACACATTTAGGATGGAAAAAAGATGAAAGATAAGTGTTGGCAAGAGTGTGGAGAAAGGGGAAGCCTTCTACACCGTAGGTGGGAATGCAAATTAGTATAGCCATATGGAAAACAGTATGGAGGTTCCTCAAAAAACTAAAAATAGAACTACGATATGATCTAGCAATCCCACTACTGTGTATATATCCAAAGGAAATGAAATCAGAAATCTACATTCTCACGTACATTGCAGCATTTTCACAATGGCTAAGATATTGAATCAACCTATGTGTCCATTGACAGATGAATGGATAAAGAAAATTTGGTGTATATGCACAATGGAATACTATTCAGCCAAAAAAGAAGGATATCCTGTCATTTGTGACAATATGAATGAACATGGAGAACATTATGCTAAGTGAAATAAGCCAGGCACAGGAACACAAATACTGCATGATCTCACTTACATGTGGAATCTAAAGAAATTGAACTCATAGAAGTAGAGAGTAGAACAGTGGTTACCAGGGGCTGGAGGTAAGGGGAGGAGATGGAGAGATGTTGGTGACAGGGTACAAAATATCAGTTAGGATGAATAAGTTCTGGACATCTATTGAACAACGTGGTGACTGTGATTACTCATAATGTATTTCATACTTGAAAATTGCTAAGAGAATAGATCTTAAATGTTCTCACTGCAAGAAAAGAATAAGCATGTCTGGTGATGGATATGCAAACTAGCTTGATTTAATCATTTCACAATGTATGTGGATAGCAAAATGTGACTTGTGTACCATAAATATATATAATATTTATTTGTCTTTTATAAATAAATTGCTTAACTTTTTAAAAAGAAAAAAAAAAAGACTGATGACCACTTTAGAGATTAGGAAAGTGAAAGACAATTAACTGAAAACTTTGTTCAAAAGCTTTCCTCCAGAGGCTGGACGCAGTGGCTCATGACTGTAATCCAAGCACTCTGAGAGGCTGAGGTGGGCAGATCGCTTGGCCCAGGCGTTCCGCTTGAGCTTAGGAGTTTGAGATCAGCCTGGACAACATGGTGAAACCCTGTCTCTACAAAAAATAGCTGGGTGTGGTGGCATGTGCCTGTAGTTCCAGTTACTTGGAAGGCTGAGGTGGAAGGACTGCTTGAGCCTGGGAGGTCAAGGCTACAGTGAGCCAAGATTGCGCCACTGCCCTCCAGCCTGGGTGACAGAGCAAGACCCTCTCTCTCAAAAAAAAGCTTTCCTCCACCTAGCAATATGGTCGGCAATAGAATAGACCTCAGTGCAGAAACTCTGGTGGAATCATGACTATTAGTCCACTATCCATTCATTCAGCAAAATATTTATTGAGCACCTACCATATGCCAGACTCTGCTCTGAGTTTTGAGGATACACCTGTGAACAAAACAAAATTCCTGAACTCAAAAAGTTAGATTCTAGTTGGGAGGGAGAGGTAGCAAACAATACATATATCAGACATAACATATATCCTGCATGACAAATGCTATATTTAAAAATTACAGCAAAAAATAGACATGTGCACTCATGTTCATGGAGCATTGTTCACAATAGCCAAAAGGTGGAAGCAAACCAAGCATCCATCAACAGGTGAATGAATAAACAATATGTGCTCTGTACACACAATGGAATAGTATTCATCCTTAAAAAGAAGGAAATTCTGCCACATGCTGCAACACGGATCAACCTTCAGGACATTATGCCAGTGAAATAAGCTAGTTACAAAAAGCGACACACTGTGCAAGTCCACTTATATGAAGTACATAGAGTAGTCAAATTCACAGAGAGGAAAGGAGATTCGTGGTTGCTAGGGGCTGGAGGATGAGAGAATGGGGAGTTATTGTTTAGTGTGTACAAAGGTCTAGTTTTGTAAGATGACAAGAGCTCTGGAGATGAATGGTGGTGATGGTTACACAGCAATATGAATGTAGTGAATACCATTGAACTGTACGCTTAAAAACAGGTAAGGTAGCTGGGCGCAGTGGCTCACACCTGTAACCCGAGCACTTTGGGAGGCCAAGGCAGGAGGATGTCTTGAGGCCAGGAGTTCAAGATCACCCTGGGCAACAGAGTTAGATCTAATCTCTACAAAAAATTTAAAAATTGGCCGAGCATGGTGGCGCATGCCTGTGGGCCCAGTTACTTGGGAGGCTGAGGTGGGAGGATTGCTGGAGCCCTGGAAGCGGAGGTTGAAGTGAGCCATGATCTCACCACTGTACTCTAGCCTGAGTGACAGAGTGAGACCCAGTTTCACACACACATACAAAGATAGTAATTTTTATGTTATGTGTATTTTATCACAATTGAAAATATTTTTTAGAAAAAGCATAGACAGACCAGGAACTGTGGCTCACGTCTGTAATCCCAGCACTTTGGAAGGCCAAGGCGGGTGGATTGCCTGAAGTCAGGAGTTCGAGACCAGTCTGGCCAACATGGTGAAACCCCATCTCTACTCAAAATACAAAAAATTAGCCAGGCGTGATGGTGGCAGGCACCTGTAATCCCAGCTACTCGGGAGGCTGAGGCAGGAGAGCCACTTGAACCCGGGAGGCGGAGGTTGCAGTGAGCTGAGATCACACTATTGCACTCCAGCCTGGGCAACAAGAGTGAAACTCCACCTCAAAAAAAAAAAAAAAAAGAAAAAGGATAGTATGTTGGGATGGGGTTAGCATTGTTAGATAAGGGTTCTCTCAACAGACTAAGAACACCCTTACAGTTTGTCCAAAAGGATACCCAAGAAACTAGAATCAATGCCTGCCTCTAGGGAAACGAACCCAGGGACAAGAGGTCAAGAGTTGGAACGGGGGCCAGCCGCAGTGGCTCACACCTGTAATCCCAGCACTTTGGGAGGCCAGATCACTTGAGGTCAAGAGTTCAAAACCAGCCTGGTCAACATGGGGAAACCCTGTCTCTACGAAAAAAAAAAAAACAACCATTAGCCAGGAGTGGTGGCATGTGCCTGTAATCCCAGTTACTCAGTAGGCTGAAGCAGGAGAATCACTTGAACCCAGGAGGCAGAGGTTGCAGTGAGCTGAGATGGCGCCACTGCACTCCAGCCTGAGTGACAGAGTGAGACTCCATCTTAAGAAAAAAAAAAAAAAAAGAGTTGGAAGGGGATTTATTTTTATTGCATATTATTTTATTATTTATTTACTTATTTATTTATTTTTAGACAGAGTCTCGCTCTGTTGCCCTGGCTGGAGTGCAGTGACACAATCTCGGCTCACTGCAACTCTGCCTCCCAGGTTCAAGCGATTCTCACATCTCAGCGTCCCAAGCAGCTGGGATTACAGGCGTCCACCACCACGCCCGGCTAATTTTTGTATTTTTAGCAGAGACGGGGTTTCACCATGTTGGCCAGGCTGATCTCAAACTCTTGACCTTAAGCAATCTGCCTGCCTTGGCCTCCCAAAGTGCTGGGATTACAGGCGTGAGCAACCAAGCCCAGCTCCTTTTATGTGTATTGAATATTTTATTGTGCTTTTGTACTACCTACTCATAAAAAACTGGCCGGGCACAGTGGGAGGCTGAGGCACTTGGGAGGCTGAGGCGGGAAGATCACTTGAGGCCAGGAGTTTGAGACCAACCTGGGCAACATAGGGAGACTCCCTTTCTACAAAAAGTTAAAAAATTAGCTGGGTGGGGTGGCTGGAGACCCATTTGACAATCCATTTACTACAAGCTTGTCAGTATTTAGAACTGGGGCAAGATAAGTTAAATGATGTAGATGTTTTATTTCTTTTTAGTTGAGGGCAGGCAGGAGATGGTATTTGCTAGTAGACATTCTGAATGATGTAGCCGAGGCATCTCAAATAACATATCTGTTTAAGAACATAAATGCCTACCTTAACAAAATAAAGCCTCATCTTTTAATGCTGGCGATGGGGGGAGAATCTCTACAAGAGAGCCTTTGTCCCAAATTCATATGTGCTGCAGAGATCTCCCCTAATTGTTATTATTTCTCACTGGCTTGAAGGAAGGAAGAATTATACTATTCATTTTATGTTCTCGAAGACATAATAGCACAGTTAACAGTAGGACTAGAGTATTTTTATAATTCTCTGCTCAAGACTAAGAAAAACAAAAAAAGCACATGATACAATATAACTACATTATTTGGCTTATAAAATATGTCCTCCTCTGAGTCTTACAGGCTGCAATCTACCTGCAGTCTGATGTGCAGCTATCTGGTGAGTGCTTCTTGAAACCCGGATTCAAGAGAGAGCTAGGTGTTTCCTCTTGCTGAAGTCCACATTTTGAATTACAGCTTCCACGTGGACAAATGTCTTCCTTCCAAAATGGCTGCCCCATGCGACTCATGTCCTAGCCTGACCTCATCAGGGAAATCTCTCTTCCCTCCCCACAAAGTGGGGAATTCCCCTGCAGTCTGAACGAGAACAGCATATCCCAAGTCAGCACAAACAGAGAGGACGCTGCTTTTGCAAAAGAGGTTTTCATTGCAGTCAAAACTGAAAACTTCTTTTCCCCATCACACCAGTCCTGCTGCTTATTCTGGGTTCTTGATTAATTTACTCTAGAAACTAGAAATTATTCTGGACTCCTGTCTTCCTACCTCCCACTTCCCCACGTCCGACTAGCCACTTGGTCTTCCAATGACTCTACTTTCTGAATAGCTCTCAAATTAGTCCACTTCCCTCCATCCCCCATCCCACGGCCTCTAATCCAAGGTGCCACGATCACCCTGAGGTGGACGACTCCAGTTTCTCCCATTCCAGTCTCCTCACTACGCTGTCCACAGTGATTTCTCCAAATCCAAATCTATTCACATCAATTCCCTGCTAAAAACTTTCACAGCTCCCCATTGTCTCAAGTGTCAATCCTAAAACCCTTGCAAACATGCCCCAACTTACTTGTCTTATTTCATCCACCTGCCTCAAAACACCTTGTTAGCCTTCGGGACAGCTGTAGGGTTCCCAGAAAATGCAGCCTTTCACAGCTGTCTGACCTGGCCCCAGCGGTTCCCTCTGCCTAGAATGTCTTCACATTTTCCAGCTGGCAAATGCTTAGTCTTCCTTCAAAATCCATCCAATGTTTTTGTGCCTGTGTTTTTAAACATGAAGTTTCTCTGACTCCCCTAAATGGTCAGCAGCTTCCTCCTCTGAATCCAAAGCACTTTGAATGGAATTCAGACAGCATTTTTCTTATTTTATTTTATTATTATTTTTTTTTTGAGATGGAGTTTTGCTCTTGTTGCGCAGACTGGAGTGCAATGGCGCAATCTCAGCTCACTGTAACCTCCACCTCCCAGGTTCAAGCGATTCTCCTGCCTCAGCCCTTCAAGTAGCTGGGACTACAGGTGCCCGCCACCACACCTGGCTAATTTTTCTACTTTTAGCAGAGACAGGGTTTCACCATGTTGACCAGGCTGGTCTCAAACTCCTGACCTCAGGGGATCCGCCTGCCTCGGCCTCCCAAAGTGCTGGGATTACGGGCATGTGCCACTGCACCCAGAGTTGCATCTTTCATATTTTATAGCAATTGTTTTCAATTCTGCCTTTCTTCTTCTTCCCCAGACTGAAAGCTTCTGAAGAGAGAAGACTATCTTTGTATCTTCACTTAGCGCAAGACCTAGACATAACAGAAGCTCAAGAAATGTATTCATTAACTCATTCATTAAAAATAATTGTTAGTGTTTGTTGCTTGTGAAACTGTGGGCTGAGTGCTGGGGATGTAACACTGCAAGAGACAGACGTGATCCCTGTTCTCTGGGAACTTGAATGATGAACAAATTAACTAAACATCCTGCAGTTTTGTTTTTTTTCTTCTTAAAACTATTTCAGTTTTGCTCAGCCTTCACCCAAAGAATTCAGATTAGTTGATACTTACACTATCATCTCTTCCCTAAAACACCAACCTTGCCAGTGACAGTATTAGGACCAATAAATATTGCCATGTTTTGAGTTCAAAGAACTTCAAGTCCCCGTCTCTGCCTTCCGGAGGTGTGTAGTCTGGCTGAAGAGTGAAAACCAACATATGGAAAAATTAGGAAACAATATAGGGAAATAATTCAGTGCTAATTGTTTGGGACAGACTGCATATTTTCAGAAGGGAGATAATGAAGTCAGTCATATAATTAGTGTATAATTGATAGCTCATGCTGTGCACACCATCAGTGAATTCAGCACAGCAGCAAGATAACTTTCAATACACAAGACAAGGCTTTGCTCCCTACCCTAGCATAAGAATCAGATCTGTGGGAAAATGGACCTGTGCCTCAGCCTGGGAGGTGAAAGGGACTTCCACGATGACATGTAAAAAGAAACAGAAAAGTGCCGTCCCAAAACTCATATTTCTGGAGTCCCTTTCACAGAGCATGGAGGCGCCTGGGTTGGAAAGAGCTGCTGTTTTACTTATCAATTTGTTTTTCACAAGAAGAGGAATTGGAGAACAGTGGGGGGAGAGGGTCATTCAGGACCCCAAACTCTTCATGGCCCCCAACGGGTTCTTGCCAAGGGCGACAGGAAAGCACCTGCCATACTCTGAGTGTTTGTATTCTTTAAAAAAATTTTTTTTTATTATACTTTAAGTTTTAGGGTACATGTGCACAACGTGTGGGTTTTTGTATGAATAGATTTTTCCTCTTGAATATTCCTTTCTCAAACACCCTTGTTCTGGCTGCCCCCAATCCCTTATAAGCCAGCAAGCCAGGTCTGTGGCTTTGACAGGAGCAAACACAGCCCTGAGCTGCTCTCTGCATGGCCACCCTCCCTGAGGAGCCAGTGGATTCTCCTTCTGGCGCTCGGGGGCTGTGCAAGGGGAATGCAGAAGGCTGAATTCCACATTCTTGAAGCTGTCTGCAACAAATCCGGCCTCTTGAAGAGCCCCTTAATTGAGGTATTCTGAGCTTTATCCCAATTAGCCTCATCAGTGCTAGAGTAAATCCTCTTCACTCTTTTCCTTCATACCTAAGAGTCTAGATCAGGACAAACCAGCCCCACACAGCAAAAGGGAAAGGAACATAGGAACCAGCATTGCCTAACTATATGGACTACATTTGTTAGACTGTTAGACTTCGGGCAACAAGAGACAGAAATATTAGATATGGTTTGATAGGCATAATATTTCTAAATGTAAATGCCTTCAAAGGCCTCTGGAAAGACCCTCCCTTAAGGAGACTCCCTCACGTCCATTGCACATCAGTTAAGCAGTTAAGGACTTCAGAGAGAAAAGAAAGGCAGCCCGCAGTTACCATGAGAACGTGCCCTCCTGGTCTCAGAGACTTTGTGTTTACATTTTTAACTAGATATGGCCTTAGCAGCGTTGGCCCAGGTTCCACACTTGAAATTAATGCACTGGAAGGCTCGTAAGGGTCAGAGGTGAAGAACCCAGGCTTGTGTTTCAGCCCAGCAGACTCGGCAGGGATGAAACAACACGTGGGTCCCATGGACACTGATGTTCTTGGGTTTGTTTCAAGGAGATAGCACGCTCTGTTTGTTAAAGCTAACAATTGTAGCGTTGACGGAAAAAGCTTGACTTGGTTTTCATTCTTCCCTGAAGTAAACACTATTTTTTTCTTTACAGTACAATGACGCGATGCACATTTGGAAATATGACTTTTTTTCTTTTGGTAGCACAGTACCTAGAATCTCCTTTAAAAATCTGTTTCTAAAGGGAAAAAAGTTCCATTTGAAGGAAGCATTAATATTTTCCGTATGTGTTGGCTCCCGAGGGTGGAATTAATATTCAGATTCAGATTCAACCCATGTGGGTTGGCAAGTGGAGGCGTGTAGATCACAAGCAAGCGGCAGCCGTGCGAGTCTCAACTGATCAAGAAATCCACCAACCTCGCAGGTGTGAAAAGCTGGTGGGGCTCAGTGGGCTCAGCTCTGAAATCAAGCCCTCAGCCAGGCTTTGAGATGAAATTTCATGAGCAACACCGATTGAAGCAGCTCCTCTCATAGGTCAAAAGATACTTTTCCACTTTGTGAAACGCATGGGCGAAGACATTCATGGAGTATCTGAGCTGCAGGGGGCCACAGAGATCACCCCGTGTGGTCCCATGTTTGACAGCTGAGAGCAGTAGAATGCACGGTAGCAGCAGGACCTGCCCAGGTCTGGATAGCTCCAAGGTCAGGCATCACTGCCCTCAGTCCCAGGCTCCCAGTGCTATGCCCAGGGCCACGCACATAATTCTACAATCTGCAAACCATTTTCCCATTTTGGAAAAAAAAAAAAATATATATATATATATATATATATTTTTTTTTTTTTTTTGAGACAGAGTCTTGCTCTGTTGACTAGGCTGGAGTGCAGTGGCATGAGCTCGACTCACTGCAACCTCCGCCTCCTGGGTTCAAGTGACTCTCCTGCCTCAGCCTCCCGAGTAGCTGGGGAAAATTTTTTAAATGTGCATATGTGATTCCAGAAAACATAAACAAATAAGATTTGATGTTTCCGGCCTTCTTAAGCTGTCATTTTATAAAAATTAGTTTCTTTTTGCTTTGTAGAGATAAGGTCTCACTCTGTCACACCCAGGCTGGAATGCAGTGGCATGAGCTCGACTCACTGCAACCTCTGCCTCCCGGGTTCAAGTGATTCTCCTGCCTCAGCCTCCCAAATAGCTGGGAAAAATTTTTTAAATGTACATATGTAATTCCAGAAAACATAAACAAATAAGATTTGTTTCTGGCCTTCTTAAGCTGTCATTTTATAAAAATTAATCTCTTTTTCTTTTTAGAGATAAGGTCTCACTCTGTCACGCCCAGGCTGGAGTGCAGTGGCACACTCATAGCTTACTGCAACCTCAAACTCCTGCTCAAGTGATCCACCCACCTCGGCCTCCGGAGTAGCTGGGACCACAGGCAGGCGAGCGTCATCACGCCTATCTAATTTTTTTTTAAATTTTTTGTAGAGACAGGGTCTCACTATGTGCCCAGGCTGGTTCCAAACTCCTGGCTTCAAACCATCCTCCCACCTCAGCCTCCCAAGTGCCTCAGCCTCCCACCACACCCAGTCAATTTTTTTTATAAGTAGGTAGTACAAAAGCACAATATAAAATTCAAAATACATGAAAAGATATACAGTAAAAGTAAATCCTCTTCCTACTCTTGACCTCCAGTCCCTTAGTTTCCTTCCCTAGAGGCAGGCATTGATTCTGGTTTCTCGTGTATCCTTTTGGACAAACCCTAAAGGGCAATCTTTTAAAATTATTTAAGATGCATTTTTGAGCCGGGCATGGTGGCACATGCCTATATTCCCAGCTACTCAGAAGGCTGAGGCAGAAGGACAGCTTGAGCACAGGAGTTCAAGGCCAGCCTGGGCAACGTAGCAAGACCCTGTCTCAAAAGCAAAATTCATTTTTGCCATTTTTTCCTTGTGATCACAAACGCCTGTGTGGACACTGACTGAATAATACCTAGTATTGCCCAGGTAATTTCTCATGAAAGCTAAATAGCAATAACCTGAGAAGATCTACAGGCAGGTGGGAAAAAGCAGATTGCGGCCTGATTGCTGCTTTCCTTCAATATTTTGTATCCAACATCTACATTTTCTTTCTAAAATTTCTGTGTCTACAAACAAATGAAGAGCTCACAACATGGCTGTTCAGAATTTGTGGTTTTCAATAAGCAACTGCCACCATTTAGAATAATCAACAGAAAGCCAGTTCTTCAATTTTTTTTTTTTTTTTTTGAGATGGAGTCTCGCTCTGTCACCCAGGCTGGAGTGCAGTGGCATGATCTTGGCTCACTGCAACCTCCACCTCCCAGGTTCAAGTGATCCTCCCGCCTCAGCCTCCCGAGTACCTGGAACTACAGGTACACACCACCATGCTCGGCTAATTTTTGTATTTTTAGTAGAGACAGGGTTACGCCATGTTGGCCAGGCTGGTCCTGAGCTCCTGACCTCAAGTGATCCACCACCTTTGCCTCCCAAAGTGCTGGGATTACAAGTATGAGCCACTGTACCCGGCCCCCAATTCTTCATTTCTGAAAGACAACAGTCACAACCTGGTTGCTATAGTTTGGATATGGTTTGTTAGGCCCACCAAGTCTCCTGTTAAAGTGTGGTTTCAGTGTCGGAGGTGGGGCCTGGTGGGAGATGTTTGGGTCATGGGAGTGGATCCCTCATGGATGGCTTGGTGCTGTTCTCATGGTAATGAATGAGCTCTCCCTCTATTAGACCCCAGAAGAGCTGATTATTAAAAAGAGCCTGGCACCTCCCTCCACTCTCTCTAGCTGTCTCTCTTCCATCCTCTCTTGCCACGTGATGCCGCTCCTCTTTGCCCTCTGCCATGAGTGGAAGCTTCCTGAGGCCCTCACCAGAAGCAGATGCTGGTGCCTGCTTCTTGACAGCCTGCAGAACCACGAGCCAATAAAGCTTTTTTCTTCACAACACAACAAACCCAGACTCGGGTTTTCCTTTAAGCCTTTTCAGATAATTCGTCATTATCTGTGATTTAAAATCGAGACTCATAAAGAATAAGGTAGAAAGCCAGGAATACCTATTTGTTGTGTCTCTTTCTGAGCTTTCTCTGATATTTATGTACCCCCATTGCTCCAGGTCATGCCCCCTTTCTTTGCTGGGACTATTAAAATAGACGCCTTTGGTTATCCCTGCATAATCAAGACACTGTGGTCAAATCCTAGGGGGTGAGTGGGAGAGGGTTACAGGGAAAAGTCAGAGGTAACAGGGACCATGGTAATGAGTTTCAGCTTCATTGTACTGACACTGACAGTGAAATGCTATTGCAAGATTTGAAGCAGAGGGTTTACCTCAACACACACACACACACACACACACACACACACACACGCAAACACACACACACACACACATACAAGCAGCTGAGCCTTGAACAACAAAGGTTCAAACTATGCAGGTCCATTTATATGCAGATTTTCTCCCACCTCTGCCACTCCTGGGACAATAAGACCAACCCCTCCTCTTCATCCTCCTCCTCAGCCTACTCAACATGAAGCTGACGAGGATGAAGACCGTTATGATGATCCACTTCCACTTAATGAATAGTAAATATATTTTCTCTTCATTATGATTTTTAAAATATTTTCTTTTCTATAATTTATTATGCAAATATGGTGCATAATATATATACAAAATATGTGTTAATCAACTGTTTAAGTTATTGGTAAATCTTTTGGTCAACAGTAGGCTATTCGTAGTTAAGTTTGGGGTGTTTGGGGTTTTTTTTGAGACAGGGTCTCACTCTGTCACCCAGGCTGGAGGACAGTGGCATGATCATAGTTCATTACAGCCTCGACCACCTGGGCTCAAGCAATCCTCCCACCTCAGCCTCCCAAGTAGCCAAGACTACAGTCATGTGGCACTACATCCAGCTATTTTTTTTATTTTTTTTTTTTATTGTTTTTTTAAGCAGAGATGAGGTCTCACTATGTTGCCCAGGGTGGTCTTGAACTCCTGAACTCAAGCAATCCTCCTGCCTTGGCCTCCCAAAGTGTTGGGATTACAGGTGTGAGCCACCACGTCAGGCCTAGTAGTTAAATTTTTGAGGATTCAAAAGTTATATGTGGATTTTCAACTGTGTGGGGGCTGGCATCCCTAGCCCTGTGTTGTTCGAGGGTCCACTGTATGTATATGTATATTAAAAATATTTATATTGGTCGGGCTTGGATATGGCTCACTCCTGTAATCCCAGCACTTTGGGAGGCCAAGGCGGGTGGATCACAAGGTCAGGAGCTCGAGACCAGCCTGGTTAACACGGTGAAACCCCATCTCTACTAAAAATACAAAAAATTAGCCAGGCCTGGAGGCGGGCACCTGTAGTCCCAGCTACTCGAGATGCTGAGGCAGGAGAATGACGTGAACCCGGGAGGCAGAGCTTACAGTAAGCCAATATCGCGCCACTGCACTCCAGCCTGGGCGACAGAGCGAGACTCCGTCTCGAAAAAAAAAAATAATGTATATCATATATGTGTGTATATATGCACAAACACATACATATAACATATTTAAATGGTTCAGACTGCCATGTTGAGAATGACTGTAAGGGAATCAGAGGCTTTGTAGGAGCTGAGCTGAAAGATGATGAGGGCTGAGCTGTGGTAGTAGTGGTGGAGATGAAGAGAACTGGATGAATTCAGAGCATGTCTTGAAAGGAGAGGAGACCGAAGTTGCTATTGGATTGAACACAGACAAGAGTGATGGAAAGAGAATTAAAAATAATTCCTGTCTCTCTGGTCTTTGTTCCTGGACAGATGCAGTTCTATCCCGAATTGAGATAGTATAGGGGGGGAAGCAGAATTTGAGAGGGGGCGTGTGGAGAAGTCAGGAGTTGTAGGTACCAATTGCTGCTTCCCTCAGGATCTCTGTCAGAGTAGACATACTGATTTCTCTCCTACTATACTAGCTCCTTCTCCTCCCTCTTCTCTGCTGCTCCTTCCTCATCCTCTCAATCTCTTCACATTGGAGGGCCCCAGCTCCTTTCCTGGGCCAGTCATCTATCCATTCTCACTCCTTTGGGGATTTCTTCTAATCTCATAGCTTTATAGGCTACCTAAATATTATTATTCTCTCCCAAATTTTAATCTCCAGGCCAGACTTATACCTTGATATCCAGTCCTATATATCCAACTGCCTTCTCAACATCTCTAACACACAACTCAAACTTTCCTCTCAAATTAGGATTGCCAGATAAAATAAAGGATGCCCAGTAAATTTAGAATAACAGCACATAATAAGTATAAGCAATAGTGCATGGGATGTACTTATACTAAAGTGTCTGTTGTTTTGCTGAAATTCAAATTTAACTGGACTTCCTGATTTTTTGTTGTTAAACCCAGCAACCTTACTCAAAACCATGTTCAACCCACTGTCTTCTTTGTCCTAACTGGTAGCAACTTCATCTTTCCAATTGCTCAGGCCAGAGATACTTGTGTCCTCCTTCACTCTTTTTTTCACATCCCATATCCATTCTGTCAGCAAATATTATTGGCTCTACCTTCAAAACATATCCACGATCTGAAGCTTTTTGTTATATATCTTCACTGCTACTACGTGGGGCCAAGACACTATCATCATTGAAACGGCTAAAATAGCCTCCCAGCTCTTCTTCCTTTGTCCCTTAGAGGCTATTCTCAACAAAGCAGGCAAAGAGAGCTTTTACAAAGTTAGACAAATTATGTCACTCCTCTGCTTAAAACTGTTGGCAGATCTCCATCTCAGTTGGTATAAAAACCAAAGTCCTTCCTATGGCTGACCATGCTCCATGGGATCCGCACCTGTACCCTCCGTTTCTTCTCTGATCCTCTGTCCTGCGACTCTTCCCTCACTCTACTCACTTCCTTGCTGTTTCTTGAACACACAAAGCCATACCTGCCACAGCGACTTGAAACTTACTGTACCTTCTGCCTCCACTGTTATTTCCTTAAATGAGCCACACGGGCCACTCCTTCACCTCCTCCAAGTCTTTGCTGAAGTGTCACCTTCTCAGTAGGACAGTCTGTCTCCATCCTCTTTAAAACTGTAGTACCCTCTCCTCCTGGCACTCACTATCTGTCTCCCCTGCTTAATTTTTCTCTATGTACTTACCAGCCTCTAACATAGTGTCTGATTTACTTATTTATGATGTTCATTATTTCCAGGGTAGTGATTGCTATCTGTCTTTAACTGATGTAAGTATCCTCCAAACCTAGAATAGTATCTGGCATTTATAGGTAATCGATAAATATTCATGGAATTAATAAATCTATCAACCAGCTGTGGCGGCTCTTGCCTGTAATCCCAGCACTTTGGGAGGCTGAGGAAGGGGGATCACTTGAGCCCAGGTGTTTGAGACCAATCTGGGCAACATGGCGAAACCCTGTCGCTACAAAAAACACAAAAAACTAGCCAGGCGTGGTGGTGCAGCCACGCAGGAGGCTGAGGTGGAAGGATCCCTTGAGCCTGGGAAGTTGAGGCTGCAGTGAGCCATGATCATGCCACTGCACTCCAGCCTGGGCGAGAGAGCGAGACCCTGTCTCAAAAAATAATAAATGTTTTAATTAAATAAATCTATCAGTTGATTAATCAAGTAGGTGGTTGGTTCTATAAATCTGGAATTCCAGGGAGATGTCAGGGCTGGAGACACTGATTGGAAGTCATCAGGATATGGAGGTATCGAAAGCTATGGGATTGGATGAGGTCAGCCAGGAGAGTATGTAGACGGACATCAGATGGGGCCCCTGACATCTAGAAGTCAAATGGAGAAGGAAGAACAAAGGAGAGTGAGAGGCAGCATCTCTTAAGGTGGAGAGGAAACCAGAAGAGCCTGCTGTCAGGCAATATGAGAAGAAATTGTTTCAAGAAGGAGGAGAGTGGGGAACTGACTGAATCCTGCCAAGCATGAGAAATACAAAGACGCTCCCATGGAAGCCAACAACTTCAAGGTCCCTGGAAACATGGACAACAGCAGCCTCGGAGGAGGAGCGGGGATGGAAACTGCTCGGCGGTTAGATGATGACAGTCACTTTGCTGGAGGAGCAGCAGAGAACGCGACCACGGCTGGAAGGGAAAGAAGACGACTGAATCTGGGGGGTGAGGTGTACACTTATTTTTTTCTTTATCTTTTTTTTGTTTGTTTTTTTAGAGACGGGATCTCACTCCGTTGCCCAGACTGGAGTGCAGTGGCGCAATCATAGCTCATCGCAGTCTTGAACTCCCGGGCTCAAGCCGTTCTTCCCCCACAACCCCCACAGCCCTCCCCCTGCCCCGGCCTCGGAGTAGCTGAGACTGCAGGAACGTGTTGGAATTGCAGGCGTGAGCCGCCGCACCCGGCCTGTTACTTTTAAAGACGAGATGTCATTAGACCCCGGTGGCTACTGAGAATGGTGCCGCAGAGATAAGAGATGAGGCAGGGGCCGGGTGCGGTTGCTCACGCCTGTAACCCCAGCACTTTGGGAGGCCGAGGTGGGCGGATTGCCTAAACTCGGGAGTTCGAGACCAGACTGGGCAACACGGTGAAACCCCGTCTCTGCTAAAATACAAAAGAAATTAGCCGGGCTTCGCGGCGGGCGCCTGTAGTCCCAGCTACTCGGGAGGCTGAGGCAGGAGAGTCGCTTGAACCCGGGAGGCGGAGGTTGCAGTGAGTCAGGATTGAGCCACTGCACTCCAGCCTGGGCGACACAGCGAGACTCTGTCTCCCCCAGCCACCCCCACCCCCCGCAAAAAAAAGAGAAATGAGGCAGGGAGGAGAGAAGGACACCTGAAGAAGCAAGTCTTTAACAAGGCCAGGGTGGGGTCAGGACGCAAGGGAAATGGTTGGCTTCAGAAAGGGGTGGACAGGAAGGAAGACAGAGCGTGGGACTAAAGGCACAGGCAATTTGAAGATGAGGGCGTCCCTGATGGCTTCTCTGCAGATGTGTGTGCGTCCATCTCCCCTGTGAGGTAATAAGCTCTGAAAGGACATTTTCCTCTGCAGCCCCTCTCCCTGCTGCCCTTCAGTACCGACTTTGGAAGCAGTACCGAAGTTTTTTTTGTCTGAAGCAAACAAATAGCAGTTTCACAAGGCAAGGGTTTCCTTAACGCATGTATTCCATGTACTCAGAGAAAAGTGTCACAGAGAGTGATGCAGCTAACTCTTAGCAGGATTGGGCCGTCTGGCTTTTTTCCAGCTGAGTAATAGCTAGGTTTCCTTATTAACCAGAATTCTTTTACCACAGTAAAACATTCCTGGTTTCTGGATAGGCTTAGGGTCAGCATCTGGGCAACCCATAAAGAGTCAAACTGAATGAGTTTTCTGGGCCCAGCTAAGGAAAATGCCAGGTGTCCAAAAGCAGATTCCACACCCTGAATTGAAAGGGTAAGCCCTAGACCTGGCTGAGGGGATCATCTGCCAGTTTCAAGTATCTGCCAACTTTGAGTCTCTTCCATGGGTCTCCACAAACCAAGAGGTTTCCAGGCCAGAAAGCTGAAACAAAGATATGCCATAGTAGGCTGGAAAGCAGAATGGAGGTTGTTTTAGGCATTCTTTGTAATAATATCATACTATTTTCTAAAGGTTTGAAACCACATCTTGTAACAATTCCCAAATAATGAATTTAGCAGTCGTACTTTAAATATAACAACAGAGCATGCTACGCACAAATCAGAGCCATACACTAGTTCTTGTTATTCCTGCCTCTATTAGGAGAGCTCCTTTGGCTCCATAGAATGAATGTGTTTACACAATAAGGGTCTCAGAATCACTGGTGTCTGGGCAGTACTAAGCCCTTCCTATGGTCCACTATAAATAAGATCTCACGCAAAAACAAATTCACAAATGTGTGGCAAGATTTGATTAGGCTGGGAAAAGAAAGGGCTATCTTTCTGAAGTGTTACCACAGCTACCTGACTGCACTTTTTGGGTTTTGCTTTATCAACTTTTCTCCTCCAACTTTTTATTAGAAAAATTTCATATACATGAAAAAATTTTAAAGATAGTACAATGAATAACTTCTTATCCTCTACCCAGATCTAGTAATTGCCGTATTTGTATGTATGTGTATATTTTACTTGTCTTTGTTATTGCTATTGAACCATTTGAAAATATGTTGCAGACATCGTGAAATCAGCCTGCATCTCCCTAGTGTAAGGACATTCTCCTGTGAACCACAATACTAGTATCACATCTAAGAAAATTAACAATAATTTCATAATATCATCTACTATCTAGTCATAATATCATCTAATACTGACCATAATAAATGGTAAAATTTCCCCATTTATTACAAAAATGTATTTTGTAGCCTTTTTTGTTCAAGACAGGATCCAATCATGGTTCAGGCATTACACTTGGGTATGTCTCTTTTAATCCACAATACTTCTCTCCCCTCCTCCTTTCCCCCAAAAACACTGACTTTTTTTTCTTTTCTTTTTTTTTTTTTGAGACAGAGTCTCACCCTGTTGCCCAGGCTGGAGTACAGTGTCATGATCTTGGCTCACTGCAACCTCCGCCTCATGGGTTCAAGCGATTCTCCTGCCTCAGCCTCCCAAGTAACTGGGATTACAGGCACAAGGCACCATGCCAGGCTAATTTTTGTATTTTTAGTAGAGACTGGGTTTTGCCATGTTGGCCAGGCTGGTCTCGAACTCCTGACCTCAGGTGATCCACCCCCTCGGCCTCCCAAAGTGCTGGGATTATAGGCATGGGCCACTACACCCAGCCAACATTGACTTTTTAAACATCCATGCCAGTTATCTCACATTCTGGATTTTTCTGATAGTTTCTTCTTGTTGTAATTTAACTTGTCTATCCCCTCTAGATGTTACATCTAGAGAGATCTCATTTGACTTAAGAGTCAACATTTTTGGCAAAAATCTTCATAGGTGATGTTGGGTATCTCAGATCGCATCGTGGGTATACACAACAGTGACCTGTCTCACTGTTAGTAATGATTGGTTTGATTATGATGCTGACAGCCAGATAATTCCACTGACCTGGTACATTTGCCTTTGAAGTTGGTTAACAAGGTGCGAGGTTTTACTTTGGCACCAGGTAAATATCCTGTTCTTCTGGTAGTCCTTTCTATCAAGTGGGCAAACATATATCAAATTGAAATATCAAATAATCCCTGAGCAATGAGTCTCTCTCTTGATATTTCTACAAAGACCATGTAGTAACTAACCCCAAAATTGGATCCTGAGAATTTTAAATCCCTTGGGAGCTGAGAATCCAAAGAAGCAGAACTATCCTGTGTCATGGAATGAAGACAGTGAGTTGATTATTCCAAATTTAGGAAGGAAACAAAATTGGGAGTCATTTAGGAATTACAGCATTCCTCAAAGTTTAAAGACCAAGATAGAGTCACCGTCCCCTACTACTAAGTACGGCTCCACATCAAGTCAGCTCTTTGTTTTTTTTATTTTTTATTTGTTTATATTTTTTTAGATGGATTCTCACCCTGTTGCCAAGGCTGGAGTGCAGTGGCACAATCTCGGCTCACTGCAACCTCCTCTCCCGGGTTCAAGTGATTCTCCTGCCTCAGCCTCCTGAGTAGCTGAGATTAAAGGTGCCCATCACCATGCCCAGCTAATTTTTGTATTTTTAGTAGAGACAGGGTTTCACCATGTTGGCCAGGCTGATCTTGAACTCCTGACCTCGTGATCCACCAAGTCAGTTCTTTATATTGAGAGTCCTCACATGCATGTTTGATACATTTGATAGCAATTTTGAAATAAAGGTGTTAAACTCATCCTATCTATCCCTGAGTGGGCAGAAGAGATGCTAATTTAGCTTACTATATCAATACCCGTGATCTCTAATAGGTCTCGTTCTCCAAATTCTGGATTTGTATGGATAGGCCACTTTCCTCTCCCTCTCCTTAATCCCTTGTATGGCTTCAGCTTTTTGGACTTCTTGGGATAGGAAAATGGAAGAAAAAAGACAACTAGAAAGAAGACTACACCACTCCCGTCCTAATCCAGCCAGCAGATTTTACCAGCAGAGAACACCTCTGTGACCACTTCTACCCTTTCAATTGCCACCTTTCAGAACTCTGTTTTATTATGGATAAAACATGTCTAATCCACTCCTCTCTTCCAAGGAGCAACTAATAAACACCAAGAGAGATTTTAGTGATCAGTTACCGGAAATTTTCCATTTTCAATTTTAGCTCAAAAGTGGTGTAGTCTGTAGGGAAAGTTCTGCCCTAACTTCACCTCACCTGTGCTGTGCTAGACACCCTGACTTCTGGGACAAGGTTCTGTGCAAGAAATCTGGCACACAAGCTGACTGACTTGTTCCCTCTACCAGAGACCCCATACTAGCCTATCACTTGCCACTTGGCTTTTGAGTCTGCAATTCCAATGGGTCCTCTCCTGGACCAAGCCAAATAACATGGGATGGGGAGAATCTGTACAATGGAAAAGTTCTTTAATGACTCAACAACTATTTATTGAGGACCAATTATTGACTAAGTGTGGAAGTTTTAGGGAGTGAATAAATGACACCTTTGCTTTCCCACCCAAGCTTGAGATTTCAGAAGAGTGTGTGGAAAGTAACAGGAGGCCAGGGCTGGGCAACAGAAGACACTCCCAGCTAAAGAGCCAGAGAAAGAAGAGGGACTAATGCAGATACACAAAGGGGTCAGAGATGTAAAAAGCAAGTGCAGAGAGTATGGCTTCAATGGAGGCACAATCAGACAGTGTTAAAAAATGACAAAACTGTTGAGTACAACAAAGGTTAAAGAGAATGGGAGGCATTTTAGAAGGAAGTAGAAAAGACATCAGCCTACTAAGAATGTCTCAACTACACTACCACTAAGTCTTAAGAGTCCTAACTTTTTTTTTTTCTTTTTGAGATAGGGTCTTGCTCTGTCACCCAGGCTGGAGTGCATGACACAATCATGGTTTGTTGCAACCTCGAACTCCTGGGTGTAAGCGAATCTCCTGCCTCAGCCTTCTGAATAGCTGGGACTACAGGCATGCACAACCACACCCAGCTAATTTTTAAATTTTTTTTTGTAGAGATGGGTCTCACTCTGTTGCCCAGGCTGGTCTTGAACTCAAGACCTCAAGCAATCCTCCCACCCTCCCACCTCAGCCTCTTAAAGTGTTGGGATTACAGGCATGAGTCCCAACTCTTTTTTTTTTTTTTTTTTTTTGAGTCCCAACTCTTAAGGGCAAAATAATGGCTAGAGGTAAGCCATGCATACCATTCCCGTTGCAGTCTGTTGGTGGTGAGCCTGTGTTACATGCTTAACATGGGGTCTAATCCAGAAGTGCTGATCTCTGCTTTCTCAGCTCAATGCAGCCTGAAAATCTCAAGGTACTTCACTACATACTTAGAAGGGGAAAAATACCCACATTTGGAATCCAGCAAGCAAAAGGCAAATTCTCTGTGGATCCTGTTTAACCCAGTCAGTGATGAGTTGACTAACAATGACAGATTTTCATCTTTTGCAAAATTGTCAACAAAGAATGACAATCAGAAAGCAGAGTGCCTGCCTGTGAAGAATGTTGAAAGTTCCATCAGAACTGCAAAAAACAAATGGGTTTGCTCTTCAGTGTTAATGCCAATCAATTGATGGTGGCTTCCTAAAATCTATATTGAGAAGAACTTTGGAGGTCTTTGAAGTTCAGCAAGTAAAGAGTATCGTGAAAAATATGAGCTATGTCCAGCATGGGTATCTAACTGACAGCACTCTTGCCAAATATTTGCTGTTGCTCCACCTCCCTGTCCTTGAACCATACAAAACTGTGGCCAACAAGTATCATCTTGGGATGTCACATTTTGAACGTTTCTTCTAATATACCTGTGACCTTGCACATTTACTGTTTGTCTTCAGCTTCTTGAGGTGCAGAACAACACTCTGAAAAGGAAGCTTTTGTACACTGACCGAGACAGCCCTGCAAAAGGTCCTCCCTGATTAATTTTGGTGTCTGGATAACAGAAGATGGTTGTCTACAATTTGACATAGGAGAGCAAGGGTAACAAGCCGACTCTTCATCTTTCCCAATGGACAAGCAGCAAGCCCTGTGTGTGTGACTTGACCATCACAGAATCTGATGGATTTTGCTTCTGAGATCAGAGCAGAGTTCAAGTAAAACTTCAGAGAGCCCCATCTTCCTTTACTCAGACCAAGCTGCTCAATAGGAAATTAGTATTTTGTGATGGTTGACTGTACATGTAATGCTTCTATAACAGGTTTGTGCTGTGCACTATTTCTTGACGAAGTAAGCATTATTAAAATTAATTTCTTATTTCCCCTACTTAACATCAAATTTTGCTTCTTGCTTTGGAACCAAAAGCATTCTTGGGTTTTTCCCCACTTGGACAAAATGCATCAACTTTTAAATTTAGGGGAAAAAATACAATAACTAAGTGCTCCCATGATGCCCTGAGAAGTGGATTTCCTACCAGAATTATTTAATATTACTTAGTAATAGGTACAAGCACTTAATCCACTCGACATCTTTATCCTAAGAAAACAGGCCTAGTGAAGCCAAGCACAGTGGCTCACATCTGTAATCCTAGTACTTTGGGAGGCCAAAATGGGAGGATCACTTGAGCCTGGTAGTTTGAGACCAATCTGGGCAACAGAGCGAGACCCCATCTCTATTTTTTTTCTTTTTTTTTTCCTTTTTCCCCTTCTCTCTCTCTCTTTCTCTCTCTCTTTCTCTCTCTCTTTCTCTCTCTCTTTCTCTCTCTCTCTTTCTCTTTCTCTCTCTCTCTTTTTCTTTCTTCTTTCTTTCTTTCCTTCTCTCGTTCTTTCTTACCTTGTTCCTTTTCTTTCTCCTTCCTTCCTTCCTTCCTCTCTCTCTTTCTTCTTCTTTCTTTCTATCCAAACTCCTGGGCTCAAGTGATCACCTGCCTTGGCCTCTCAAAGTGCTGTCATTACAGGCATGAGCCACCACACCCAGCCTCTATTAAAAAAAAAAAATTGGGAGGCCAAGGTAGGCAGATCACGAGGTCAGGAGATCGAGACCATCCTGGCTAACACGGTGAAACCCCATCTCTACTAAAAAAATACAAAAAAATTAGCCAGGCATGGTGGCGGGCGCCTGTAGTCCCAGCTACTCGGGAGGCTGAGGCAGGAGAATGGCGTCAACCAGGGAGGCGGAGCTTGCTGTGAGCCGAGATGGTGCCACTGCACTCCAGCCTGGGCAACAGGCAACAGACTCCATCTCAAAAAGAAAGAAAGAAAGAAAGAAAACAGGCCTAGTGAGAAGGGATGATAGGTTTAAAAACCAAAGACACTGGATTGGATCAACAAAAGTTTCATGACATCCATTCAAAATGTATTTATTAAGGACATAACATATTGGGTGTCAGCACTGTTCTAGGCACTAAAAATACAGCTGTGAAGAAAACACACACAGTTCCTGCTCTCAAGGAGCTTACATTTTAGTGAAAGAAGACAGTCCAATAACCAGATGCTACGAAGAAAATAAAAGGTGGGCCAGAAGCAGTGGCTCATGCCTGTAATCCCAGTATTTTGCGAGGCCAAGGCAGGTGGATCACCTGAGATCAGGAGTTCAAGACCAGCCTGGCCAACAGGATGAAACCCCATCTCTACTAAAGATACAAAATTAGCCGGGCGTGGTGGTGCGTGCCTGTAACCTACTCGGGAGGCTGAGGCTGGAGAATCCCTTAAACCTGGGAGGCAGAAGTTGCAGTGAGCCAAGATCGCACCACTGCACTGCAGCCTGGGTGACAAGAGTGAGACTCTGTCTCAAAAAAAAAAAAATTAAAAAAAAAGAAAAGAAAAAGAAAAGGTGATGGGCACGGTGGCTGATGCCTGTAATCCCAGCACTTTGGGAGGCCTAGCTGGGCGGATCACCTGAGCTCGGGAGTCTGAGACGAGCCTGACCAACATGGAGAAACCCCGTCTCTACTAAAAATACAAAATTAGCCGGGCGTGGTGGCGCATGCCTGTAATCCCAGCTACTTGGGAGGCTGAGGCAGGAGAATCGCTTGAACCCAGGAGGTGGAGGTTGCAGTGAGCCGAGATCACACCATTGCACTCCAGCCTGGGCAACAAGAGCAAAACTCCGTCTCAAAAAAAAAAAAAAAAGTGATGGGATTGATAACATGTTATTAGAACACTTTCTCTTTTCATAGGGGTTATTTCTTTTCTATTTGAATTTTGTCTTTGTATACTGCCTGAGATTTACACAAAGTCAAGATTTCTTTGGATTAATATCACTTTAGCTGGACTAGCAGTATTAAAATTCTCTGAAAAGGTTAAGTTCAGAAAACCTTCCTTTAGTTAGAGTTTCCTAGGTTATGATCTTCATTTTAACTTCGATGATGTTGGAGAAGGGTTTTGATGGGTCAGAGGAACAAACAGCATTCTAGATTATAAAACAGGCATTGCAGGATTAGCTACACGATAAAAGGAGCAACTGAAATGGAAATCTGAGACAAGGGACAAGCATTTAGGCAGAGGGAAGAGTAAGTGCAAAGGCCCGTGGCTAGACAGTGTCGGGTGTGTCCAGGGAAGAGCAAGGTGGCCCATGTGTCTGGAATGGAGTAAGCAAAAAGAGAGTGCTAGGAGAAGTCAGAGCTCAGAGCCAGATTACACGGGGCCTTTTAGGCCAACATAAAGACTTTGGATTTTACTGTAAGACGGGAAGCCATTGGAGGATTTTAGGCATAGGAGAGATGGATGTGGCTGAATCTCTTTATCTGCTTTACGGACAATAAACATAAAGGCAGAGGTGGAAGCAGGAAGACTGATGAGGAGGTTGTTCCAGCAGCCCTGGTAGAGGCGACCGTGGTCTAGGGGAGGCAAGGGGCAGCAGAGCAGCAGGCTCCTGAGTATATCTCGAAGGCCAAACTGACAGAATTTTCAGACAAATTGGTTTTGGAGTATAAGGGAAAAAAAGAGACGGGTGTGGTGGCTCACACCTGTAATCCCCGCACTTTGGGAGGCTGAAACAGGCAGATCACTTGAGCCCAGGACTTCAAGACCAGCCTGGCCAACACGGCAAAAACTCATCTCTACAAAAAATACAAAAATTAATTGGGCATAGTGGTGCACACCTGTGGTCCCAGCTACTGGGGAGGCTGAGGTGGGAGGTTCACTTGAGCCCAGGAAATTGAGGCTGCGGTGACCTGTGATCATGCCACTGCACTCCAGCCTGGGCAACAGAGTGAGACCCTGTCTCAAAAAAAAAAAAAGAAAAAAAAAGAAAGAAAGAAAGAAAAAGAAAAAGAGAGAGACGGTGAGGGGGGCGGTGGATGGGGAGAAAGAAAGGAGTCAACGATGATTCCAAGATTTTTGGCCTGAACAAGTAAAAGATGGAATTTTCATTTTCATTTACCATGAAAGGAAGAAGAGAAGGCTCGTGCTGGGAGGGAGGTTGAAAACTAGGAACTACCCCGTGAAGTTTGAGATGTTCACTTGACATACCAACAGAAATGCTGGGGGCAACTGAGTATGTCCGTCTAGATCGGAGTCCTGGATTGGTGACAGAAACTGGGAGTCATCACAGTATAAAAGGTGTTTAAAGCCAGTGCACAGGATGACAGCCCCTAGGGAATGGTTATATGAGGAGGACTTCTGAAGCCTTCACCTAGGACACTCCAGTATTTGGAGGACAGCAAGAAGGGGCAGATTCCGCAAAGCAGATAGAAAAGAAACAGTCCCTGAGGTTGGAGGAGATTCTAGAGCAGGTGTACTTTGTACCCTGGAGACGAAGTAGAAAAAGCATTTTAAAAGTGATCATTTGTGTCAAATGAGAGCAGGAAAAGATAATGACAGAGAATTGACAATTGAATTTACTAATGTTAAGGCAGTTGTATTGGAGTGTTTGAGACGAAGCCATTCTGGAAAGAATGGAAGGAAAGAAAGCAGAGACAAGAATAGACAACTCTTGGGCTCTGCGTGGCGGCTCATGCCTGTAATCCCAGCACTTTAGGAGGCTGAGGTGGGAGGACTGCTTGAGCCCAGGATTTCGAGACCACTCTGGGCAACATTGGCAAGAGCCCGATCTCTACAAAATAAAAAAATTAGCGAGGCATGGTGGCATATGCCTGTTGTCTTAGCTACTCAGGAGGCTGAAGTGGGAGGATCACTTGAGCCCAGGAGGTTGAAGCTGCAGTGAGCCGAGATTGTGCCACTGCACTCCGGCCTGGGCAACAGAGCGAGATCCTGTCTTAAAAAAAAAAAGCAACATCTCATATTCAGGTACATTAAATTTTTATATGGTTGCTTAATTGTTCTGTGATTGAGGACCATAGAAAAATAAGTCTTAATAAATGTTGGTATGAAAAACAGCAACAACAAAATGGAATAGACAACTCTTGAGGAGTTTCTCCACAAAGGGGAACACACAAAAAATGGGACATTAGTTAGCTGTTCATTGTTGTTTTTTAAGATTGGCACTGTAACAACATTACATACCGATAGAAAGGTCCACTGGAAGGGGAAACATGGATGATTGAGAGAGGGAATAATTGCGAGAGTGAAGTTCCTGCACATAGGAAGAGGTTGAAGGGTTGGCCCTAAGAATAGACAATCATCCACTGTAAAGAGATGGAAGGCAGGTGGGCTGGCAGTTGTGGTAGAAACAGGGGGAGGGCTCCGATGACCTTTGTTTTGTTGTTTTTAACAAAATAAGAATTGAGTTAATCACCCTGTGAAGGCAGAGGGAGAGGGATATTGGGTACTGAAGGTTTGAAGAAAGAAGAAAAAGTAGAATCATGGTCTCGGAGGTGAAAGAGTAACTTGACTAAGAAAATGTAGGGGGGCCAGGCATGGTGGCTCATGTCTGTAATCCCAACACTTTGGGAGGCCAAGGCAGGTAGATTACCTGAGGTCAGGAGTTCGAGACCAGCCTGGTCAACATGGTGAAACCCTGTCTCTACTAAACATACAAAAATCAGCTGGGTATGGTAGCGTGTGCCTGTAATCCCAGCTACTTGGGAGGCTAAGGCAGGAGAATCGCTTGAACCTGGGAGGCAGAGGTTGCAGTGAGCTGAGATTGCGCCACAGCACTCCAGCCTGGGTGACAGAGCAAGACTCCATGTCAAAAAAAAGAAAAGGAAAAAAGAAAATGTAGGAGGATTGTCAGGCAGCTTGAAGGGCCTGCTTGAACTCTGTCGCTAATTGAACAAATGAGCCATCAGCATAGTCGTGTGTTACTCTGGCCACTTACTAGCTGCCTGACTGCAGCGGCTGAGGAGGCTGACAGCTGGGTTTAGACAGGGTTAGACAGGGCCAAGGCAAGGGAGGGGGTTGAAAATGTGTACCAGCGGGTGATTAACATGACAGCCACACAATCTGAGTCAGGCAGAGGCCAAGGCCAACCTGGGAAGGTGGAAGGGTAGGAAGGAGGGTTTGGAGGAAATATTTTGGAGGTCATGGTGGTGCTGAACAACTGTTCAGTGAGAGTAGAGGAGGGAGTGAACAACAATGTTGGCCAGAGGGTGGGATGCTTCAAATTGAGAGTGTATTTTTTGGTGGTAGGTAGAGTTTGGTACTTGCAAAGTCTAAGGTAACTCCAAGGAGGTAGATGGCTGAGGCAGGATTTAAGGTGTGAGTCAAGGCCAGAATATTGAACAGATTGTTTCTGTCCATTTCTAATGTTTTTGCTTTCACATATCTTAAAATTTTTTTGAAATACTACGCACCCTCTCACATATATAAGTTGACCTCTAAAATGTTTTGCTATAAACTTCCATGATTACAACAAATGTAATTTCCGGTATATTGTCTATACTGTCTTTTTTGTTTTTCTTTTCAGACAGAGTCTTGCTTTGTCACCCAGGCTGGAGAACAGTGGCGTGATCTCGGCTCACTGCAACCTCCACCTCCCAGGTTCAAGCGATTCTCCTGCCTCAACCTCCCGAGTAGCTGGGACTACAGGCATGCATCATGAGACCTGGCTAATTTTTGTATTTTTAGTAGAAATGGAGTTTTGTCATGTTGGCCAGGCTGGTCTCAAACTCCTGACCTCAAGTGATCCACCTGCCTCGGCCTCCCAAAGTGCTGGGATTAGAGCTGTGAGCCACTGCACCTGGCCTATACTGTCATTTTTAAATAAAAAATTTAAATATTACATGGCTCAAATAAGTTCAATGGAATCTAAGTGCTATACCACATATTTTTTTAAATACCTACAATAAGAGTTTTAACATTGCTTTTCCCCTAAAATTGTATTTCCATTCCACTTCCCCCACAAAATAGTATCCTAATGATGTATTCTTATTCTCGAGTCATTTGATTACCCTATTATACTTCTTGCAACAAACAAAAGCATATATAATTCTCAAAGTTAAAAACTTTTTCTGAATTTAGTATTGCAATTATTAGTTCCCAATTGATTGAAACATGAACATTGGGAATTGTTAAAATTCATAAACTTGTATTAAACATGACAAGGATTTGGGGGGAAACTTCTTTATGGTGCTTTGAGAAAAGGTTTCCCAGTGTCAGTATTTCAAATGTTCCCTATGGTGGCCCATAAGCTTTTAAAATCTGAAGCCACTAAAGGGTATGCTCTCCAGCATAGTGTGGTGTTCAGAACCGTGACGAAACCACGAAAGTGAAAAGCTGGTTGGTGTTCATTGTTTTAGAATGTATGGCTCCAGCAGTTTGTGGAACTCAGGTAACGCATCACAGCAATATGGTGGCAGGGTCAGAGCTTCCGGCCCCCATTTTTATAGTAAGATGAGAGGATGGTTATGAAAAGGGAGAAGGGAAATTCTCCCTTTGCACATCCTCCTCCCTTGGACTTCATATTTTATTCTCTTCAGAATAAACAGTAAACTAGTCTCAAAATAGCTTTACCACAAAAATTTACACAGAGTGACAGAGAGCCTGTTACCTCTCAGTATATAGAGCATCGAACACTGCTGTAACTCAATTTTCTGGCTCCAGGAATAAATTCATCATTTAATCCTTCATAGCTACTGATTTTCCTGAAGACTTCAACTAATTAAGAGATGAAACAAACAGAAAGACAGATTTCCTACTCTCTCACTAAAACATGCTAGAAATGGCAAATTTGGAGCCCCGTCAATGACTCTGCTGGAATTATTACTCTTGGGCAATTAACTACCCCTTTTCTCTAGAGATCTTGTGCCTCATGCACAATTCAGGTTTTAATTCTATCTACAGATGGTATTTGTCCACCCTTAATAGAAAGTTTTGATGGTGGCACTGGTTAAGCAAATCTGACTTTCTGTAAATGCATTTTACAGAAACAATTACTTTAAAATGACAATGGGACTCTCCTAGGAAAACAGTTTAGTTGATCTTTACAGGTTATAAAGCCAAAGGCGCATCATGACGTTAAATTCGAATAAACTTCAGAGCCTGCTGGGAGCACGAGATCGTTGCCTAGGGCCACTTCTCACATCTACTTGACCCTCATGGTAACAATAGAATGTGGCTTGAATTCAGATCCTCTTTATCACTTGCCTTTTATAGTCCTTTCTTTCTCAGAAAGGGACATAAGACGAACAGTGGTCCTTTCTGGGAGTTCCTCTGATCAAATATGAAGGTTACTATCCATGTGTGACTATGAACGTATACGAATTCTACCAATTAAGAAGCCAAACAAGTTAATTTATTTTCAAGGTTGAGCTAGTGGGTTATATAACCCAATTGTATTTGACACACAATTCTTGAACAGTATTGTTACTTGTTGCACCAGATTTGGTTAGGGAGGCTTTAAACACTTATACTTCTCCTCCACCCAATTGAGTAGTACTGTCTAGTAGAAAGAAGATACCAGTCCTTATGCCTGACTGCTGTCTTTAAACAATGGTACAAATGGCACCAAGACCATAGTGCTGGATATGGGAAAGTAGGGAGCTGGGGTATAAGTCCCCCTACAGTAGGATTACTCAGTAGATTTGAATATGATCCATCCTTTCATGGTGTAGTGTAGGGCAACATTTTCAAACCATTTGAAAGGACCCTACTTCCTCAGAATAGTAAGGTATTATGGGGGAAAAGTGGCAGTATTTCTCAGAACCTCTAATATGTATGTGCCTTCTGAATCTCCAAGAGGAAGAATTTTATATGCAAAGTATCCCAGCTTTCTTGGGCCAGTTAGCATTCTAGGATCCACGGAACGCTTTGGGAAACCGTAGTTTGGAACACAGTCTCACCCCAAGCCGAGGGACGTCGCCTAGTTACTACAGGATTCCTCTCCACGTTCTACATGACATGCTTTTGCAAATTATCTTTCACATTCTGCTTAAGTTATCTTTGAATTGTCATATCAATGTCGAAAGTCAGGATGTGGCAGGTCTGAGAAAATGTTAAGGAAACAAGTGGCACTGTGTTTACACTTGGGGATTATTTACGAATGCTTATGTATGGGAAAATTCCTTTCATGGCATAACAGTTGCTTCTCTTGTCCCTTTGGTAGGACAGACCTCAGTGGAGCATAACAAATAAAACAAAGATGTAAGTATCTAGTAAAAACAAAACAAAACAAAATAGTAAACCCTCTACCTTAATCCTGGATGTAAAGTAGTATAAAAATCTACTTTTAGCTACTATTTGCAACTCACTGGACTAGCCACTTGTTGAAATACTTAGGGAGGTACTGCAAACTCTCACACATAAGGTACTTTTTTACAAAAGTGCTTTACAAAGAACCCAGACTCACTCTTGTTAGCTTAAATGGATAAAAGTCTTGTTTTGAGATCTTCAAGTGACATGAAAATAATATAAATTTTTAAAATCAATTCCAGATAATTAGGCATTTAGTCTACTATTAGGAGGGGAAATCTAATTTAAAATAAATTTAATACAGTGAAGACTAAAATAGAAAGAGAATACTTTAGGCCGGGTGAGGTGGCTCACGCCTATAATCCCAGCACTTTGGGAGGCCGAAGGGGGCGGATCACCTGACATCAGGAGTTGGAGACCAGCCTGGCCAACATGGTGAAACCCCATCTCTACTAAAAACACAAAAATTAGCCAGTGTGGTGGTGCATGCCTGTAATCCCAGCTACCTGGGAGGCTGAGGCAGGAGAATTGCTGGAACCCGGAGGTGGAGGTTGCAGTGAGCTGAGATTGTGCCACTGCACTCCAGCCTGGGTGACAGAGCAAGACTTTCTCTAAAAAAAAAAAAAAAAAAAAAAAAAAAATACAAGGCCAGGCACAGTGGCTCATGCCTGTAATCCCTGCACTTTGGGAGCCCGAGGCGGGTGGATCATCTGAGGTCGGGAGTTCAAGACCAGCCTGACCAACATGGAGAAACCCCGTCTCTACTAAAAATACAAAATTAGCCGGGCCTGGTGGTGCATGCCTGTAATCCCAGCTATTCGGGAGGCTGAAGCAGGAGAATCACTTGAACCTGGGAGGCAGAGTTTGCAGTGAGCCAAGATCGTGCCATTGCGCCATTGCACTCCAGCCTAGGCAACAACAGTGAAATTCTATCTCAAAAGAAAAAATAAAAAAATTAGCCAGGCGTGGTGGCACACACCTGTAATTGCAGCTACTTGGGAGGCTGAGGCAGGAGAATTGCTTGAACCTGGGAGGCAGAGGTTGCAATCAGCCAAGATTGCGCCACTGCACTCCAGCCTGCCTGGGAAAGAGTGAGGCTGTCTCAAAAAAAAAAAAAAAAAAAAAGAGAGAGAGAATACTTTAGGTAACTCTAGCTTTTCTCCCTCTCTTAACTGGGCACAGGAAAATGTCCTTATTTCTCACTGGGTAATTAGAAAAGTGCTGGGTTGTCAATTCCACCAAGTTGCACCTTAGTCAGAATTATCCTGAAGTAACAATGACATTGATGAAGAAAATAGTCTACGCAATACTCAAACACTATAAACTCAAAGCCAAAGCTACTGCAAAGTTTTTGCTGTGAAAATTGAATTTCCCAGTCATGATTTTGCTACGGTGCTTTATAATTGCTTAATCTATGAGAATTTACTTTTTTCAAGTTGATGGGAAATGAATGTAACCAAAAAGGAAAATGTGTTCTAAGATTACAGAAGAAAATTTCTGAAATTTGGAAGATGTTATCACATCTCAGGAAGGCACAGAAAAGCAATGGAAGTCTGTCAAAAAGGCTTGAAATTGCTATGTTCTACCATTTCATATAGTTGGTAAACCACATTCTTCTATTAGAATCAAAAAGATTACTTCCCACCAAGGGTATATGATTCCATATTACTAATCTAAAACCTGAACACCTGGAGAGAAAACTAGCCAGCTGGCCTAACATCTGTTTCTGTGTGGGAAGTTTCTAAGATTAGAATACTGTATAAATAAGTTAAGTCCTCTTGTCAAACAAAGCAATTAGATCTTGCTGTTCAAAGCTAGTAGATGGTGAAACACTGCTATCTGACCACAAGAACAGGGGAGAAAAAACAATCCACATATTAAAAAAACCAAAACTGGTTGGGCACGGTGGCTCACACCTGTAATCCCAGCACTTCGGGAGGCTGAGGCAGATGGATCACTTGAGGTCAGGAGTTCGAGACCAGCCTAACATGGAGAAACTCCATCTCTAATAAAAATACAAAATTAGCCGGGTGTGGTGGTGCATGCCTGTAATCCCAGCTACTCGGGAGGCTGAGGCAGGAGAATCACTTGAACCCAGGAGGCGGAGGTTGCGGTGAGCCGAGATCACACCATTGCACTCCAGCCTGGGCAACAAGAGCGAAACTCTGTCTCAAAAAAACCCAAAAAAAACCAAACAAAAAAAACCATACATTGAAGTCAAGCACTAGATACTCTCTTAGAATCTATTTATTCTGAAGCTAGACACAGATTCAACCAAATGCTTTTCCAACACACAACAAACTAAGAGGGATACAAACTACAAGGCAGACAGTTTTAGAAGCAAGGAAGCATGAAAAACATCAAAAGCAGCCAAATTTATTTTAAAAAACACTCGGAAGCAAGTACAGAGGCAAATGGTCCTCCATACTGGAGCAAGATTTAAGAATATCACTGTATAATCACATGGTGTTGAGTCAAAGGATGAATACATTAAATGTTTGTTTGTCCTACTATACGCCAAGAAGAATTTAAGGACATATTTAAGAAGGCAGGAAAATTTTTATCCAATACAATTAAAATCTGAAAGACTACTTTTAGCTCTTATAGGTACACAGCTATCCAAAATACCAAAATATGCTGCTGCAGTAAAAATCTCATTCCTCCTGTGTTTATGACATGGACATGTTGCTTTTATCCAATTTGTAAGGAAATTGGAATTTTTGTTTTGATAATAGAGACTGCTAAATCAAGAACCCACTAGCTAGTGGATAACTGAGGAAATTAGCTGGGTAATTCTAAGGATTTTTCAGGTCTGGAATGCTGGGCCCAAGAGTGATGGTATTGCAAGGCTGGCCCAGGAAACCTCTCTCAGCTCCCAAAGAGATGCACTACCGCCCGGCTCAGGCCTGTAATCCCAGCACTTTGGGAGGCCAAGTGGGGGGCAGGGGGGCGGGGCGGATCGCTTGAGGCCAGGAGTTCAAGACCAGCCTGGTCAACATGGTGAAATTCTGTCTGTACAAAAAATATAAAAATTAGCCAGGCATGGTGGTACACGCCTGTGATCCCAGCTACTTGTGAGGCTGAGGCAGGAGAATTGCTTGAACCTGGGAGGCGGAGGTTGCCATGAGCCAAGATCGCACAACTGCACTCCAGCCTGGGTGACAAAGCAAGACTCCGTGTAAAAAAAAAAAAAAAGAGAGATGCACTGAGGAGGTGCCATTTTTAATCCTCAGATGAAAAAAGAGGTAAGACTAGAAACTCCTTTGGGGTCAGGATAATGTCACTCTAGTACCGATATAGACAATGTTGGCAAATACCTTATGAGGTTTACAGAAACCTTAATTAAGAGGCAACATCCATCTGCATGCAGCTAGACAAGTGCTGTTAAACTAAGAAATGTTAATATTGTTTTATACTGATAGTCAAGGAACTGCACTGGTTAACCTTTTGTTAAAAGTGTTTTCCAGAGTAGGATGGTAAGGTAAGTACTCAAGAAAAGTCTCAAAATCCATTTGATCACATCATGCAGAAAGACTCAATTTGGTGTTTACGTGTCTTTTACCCTTACCTAACGTTACTTACTTATCACACCTTTTAATTAAAAAAAGGATAGACTTTGGGCTCTCTTCACTGGCCATACTGCATAGCTAGTGTTTAATAACACTGTTTTTATTACATTTTAAGGTAGTCTTCTAGTTGCAGAAAGTGATACTAATTTTCCATTTGCCAAAGTGATATGCTTCCTTTTTAAAATAAATTTACATCAAACAGTGAGTTGACTTTAAAAGTACTAAGCACATAGTAGTTTTAAATATAAAATTAGAATGGTGTGCAGAAATGGCAAAATCCATCAAGATCTGTCTGTGGTGTCTGAAGTTTAGAAAGCCCTGCTTTAAAGTGTACTTACAACGCACGTGAATTAAAGCTGTTATTTTATAAACTACCCAATTAGTAAGTTTGTGACCAGGAGACCTCTTTCCTCGGACTAATGTTAAGACATGAATAACAGCCACACTTTTAGGTAACCATATATTAAATCAGCCATTTTCCAGCTGAACAAACTGCAGGCCAAAGAGGACAAGTGACCTGTCCAAGATCACAGGTTGAGTCCACATCTCTGGAATCTTGGTCCAGACCACTTCCCTCGCATTGAAATAGGAGACGATGAAGGAGCTGTGGTTTCTCTGATTGATGTAGTTTAGGCAATATAGTAAAGGAAGTCCCAAAATAACTAACTTCACTTAAAATGTATTTTGAACAACATAAAACTACTAAGTACTTGATTCAGACAGCGCTGAAGAGCCGTCTAGCCGTCTAGCTTACTTACATTAACTGCTCCTTGAAAATTTGCTCCTTCCATTTCAGGAGGGGGAATGAGGACAGAACCCCAGAGGAAGCCACCTAATAGGTATATGAAAAGGACTGGGGAGATGCAATTTTTCTGGTGTACTGTAGAGATTTCGAAAATTTGTTATTTTTTGTTTATTTTTTCATGTCTGCATCCAGGCAACAAAATGAGTAGTCAGCTCATGTGAAGTTTTGACCCAAACCTGCAGCTTGGCCACAGTCCTGGCATTCCGGGGCCATTCACTCTCCTACTCTCCCAGGTGATGCTCCACACCTCTCATTCCTACAGACTTGCAACTCCCTTCCCCATCACTTCCTCAGCTGGGAAAGTGGAAGCTATCATTTTCCCAATAACAAAGTTAGCAACCTACCTGCATATACGCCCCATTCACTCCAGAATCTAAGCTCCACAAGGTTACAGATTGTCTCATTTTGGTCACTGCTTTATCCCCAGTACAAACGATGCCTTGCAAATAGGTGCACAATAAATATTTGAGTAAGTGAATAAAAGTGCTGCCCTCCCTGTGGACATGGACAAGGCACTGCCTCTTCTGCCTACTGAGACCAGCCTCTCCTGAGTCCTGCATCCCACTCCGTCTTGCCTATTCAGTTTCCCCATCAACAGCATTCACTTGCCCCTCCTAACGGGATTCCTCCAGCATATAGTCAATCATGCCATACTATTTCCCGAATAGCTTAAGTCCTCCCTTAGCTCACCTCCGCCTCAGTTATAACCCATCTCTGTTCCCCTTTGCAAGGCTTGTCTGCAGTTGCCATCTCTATTTCAGTCCCCTTCTGCTCACAATCCAGACTCCAAACGTGCAGCTTGTTAACGACAATCCCCCCAATCTAACAGTTAGTTGTGTTCATCTTCCTTCAACAGCACCTGAATGAGCCGACGACTCCCTTCTTGAAACACTTTATTTCACATCACGGAGAGCTCTCCTCAGGTTCCTTTGCTGGCTCCTCCCCATTTTAGATGTTGGAGTGACACAGGGCTGACCCTCTCTCCTCCCCATCTACTTGGTTGCTACTCAAAATGCGGGCCCCGGCCCAGCGGCATCAGCATCACTGAGAAGCTTGCTAGAAATGCAGACCCTCGGGCCCCACGTCAGATCTCCTGAAGCAGAATCTGGATCTTAACCAAACATGCTTATTAACATTTGAGAAGCTCTAATTTCCTGAGTAATTTCAGTCACATGGCTTCAAATGCCATAGAGATGACTCTCCAAAATGTTCACCTCCTATTACCCTAACGGTCATATGCCGGGTTCCATGCTGGATTCTACTGGAAATCTATTAGGCATCTCAAACCTAAGTGCAAACCATAAATTTTTATTCTTTTTCCCCCTTCAGGCCAAAAACCCGAGTCACCCTTGTCATCTCTTTGCCTTCCAATCCCTGGGCCAAAGTTATGTTGGCTGTACCTTTAGTACACAGAGTCCTACCACTAGCCACTACTGCTGCTGCTACCACCCTAGGCTAAGCCACCAACACTCGATGTGAAGACTTCTGAGTTGCTATTAAATCTTCTGAGTTGCTTCTCCTAAATCTATTTTCACCCAGGTTCCCTATAATATTGTATACACAGTATCCAGAGTGACCTTTATGTCAGACCATGGCTCAAACCCCTCAATGGCTTCCCAAGTTTCCTACCATGGCTTCCAAGAGTCCCCAGTTCCCAGCCCCTTGTACACTGTGCTCTAATGCCCTGCTTTAGTCAACCTGCCAAGCTTGTTCCCTCCTCCCTCCCTCAAATCTTTGCCTGCCTTATTTCTGCTCTTAGCTCTAAGGATTACTTCCTTAGGGACACCTTTTTAAATTACCATAAATAAAAGACTTGCCACCCCCCCTTCCATTCATTTCCAGCCCTTTACTCAGTTTTCCTTTCACTTTAGCAATTTACCTGACATTTTATGTATCTGACTCCTCCACTAGAATGTATCGTCCACAAGCAGGGATATTTCCTTTTTACACCACAACTGCTTAAAACGGTGCCTGGCACATTAATTAGCACTCAGATGTTGAGTATTCAGGCACTGGTGGTGGAGCCACTGGGGGCAGGAGATACTCTCATGTGTGTATAAGCATCTGTATCTGCTTCAGATTTGCATAAATCTGGATGTAGATAATCCACAGCAGCTTTCAATAAGTTGAAAACTGTGAAATGTGGCAGTGGTTCCAAAACATTTCCATATATTATAATGGGGATCTTTTAAAAATTCTAATGCTTAAGCCACATTCCAAATGAATTTAGATCACAATTGCTGAGGGTGGGGCACAGATATCAGTATTTGTTGAAACTCCCAGGTAATTCCAACGTTAAGTTTGGGAACCACTGGTGTATACAGTATGAGTTGGTAACCATGATATGAGATCCAGAATACTCAACAAAAGAAATTCCAGTCCTAATGCTACGCATGCTTAAGACTTCTATTTCCAAGATGTGTAGAAAACAAAACAAAAAAGTCATAAAACTGTTTCAGATATTAGGTCTTAAAGAGAGCACACCTTCCAGGATTTTCCAGGTTCGTTTTCCCGTCAAGTCTAATCCAAACTTTGGCATTTCTATTAGGAAGTCGTTTCTTTTCTCCCATCTGCCAAGGCAGATTTACGTATGAAAAAGTGGTGACTTCTATGTAAGTCGCATCTGAAGGCTTTGGGGGTTTTGTCCATACTGATATTTTTAATGGTGTCAAGTAAAAAGCTCCATTCTGGTAACAAGGTTGTAATCACTAAAACAAAATGCCATATTCTCAAAAGGATTTCCTTACAACTCAGCTAAGTTATGGTGATGAGAAAGGATTTGCTAAATTCTTAATCATGCTGTCTAACATTTCTCACTCAAAAGGTAATAGAATCAACTAGCTCTAGTCATGAATCCAAATATTCTTAGGACAGAAGCTAACAAATATTGCACATTTACCCATCTCCAAACTCACCTTTAAACTATCTTTATACCTCAGAATGAAGGACAAAATTAATGAAAAGAGAAGTCATGTCATTATTAAAATCCTCACTATAGTGCAAATAGTAGAAATTTCCAAGGAATCTCGGAGATATTTAAGCCAACTCATTTTACAGGTGAATGACCTGACACCCAGACAAGGTGAAATGACATGCCTAAAAGTCACACAGGAGAGCTAGAAGAGAAAAAAAGCATTTTTTTTTCCCAAAACAAGCAGACAGGATTTTTCATGTTAATCAAAAAGAATCAAGATCATCAGATTAGGAAGAAATGAGGAATAAAACATACGTTACACACAGATTTAAAGAACTAGTCAATCTGCTGCCCCCAAAACCAAAACCTTCTCTAAACATATGGACATATATCCATCAAGATGCTTACCCTTCAAATATCAGAATCTTGGAAAATTCAATTTACAAATACATTAATTGCATTATGATGATGAAATAAGTTAATTAAATGTGAAAACATCAAACAGCACCAATACTAGAAGTTAAGACAGTAAATACACTATTATTTAAAATAGTCACTGATTGGGACAGAAATGAACAATAACCACTAGCAAAACCATTTAAAACAACTCTCTGACATAAAGGCAATATTTAAAGACTACTATATGCCCCTTTCCACTGATAGGCCTGTGGCTACGCATCCTGGCAGCAGGTCACATGGAAAATACTATTAATTAAGATGTATTTTTAAATTGTTCAACCTTGAGCCGTGATACTATATAACCCAAAGTTTGCCAATGTAAGCCAATGTATATTTTTGGTATGCTAACTACTCTTACCTGTCCCAATTAAAAGAAAACACAAAACAACTCCCTTATTAAGCACTAGACTAAGTATATCTACAAAGCAGCAGCAAGGCATTGACAAATGGGCTACTGACAGTGGATCAAAATGCTACTAAGCAAAAGACAGCAGCACGTACTCTCATAAGAGCACATTATTCCACATGGAATCCCAAATTACTCTTATCTCCAGTTCCTTAAACTCCTAGAAGACTAGAGATGAACAAGCCAACGTATAAATAGGACTAGGGAAAAAGCAGCTCAAATGGCATAGTGTCTGTATTTTAAAGTACCCAAGATCATTTGATGCTTAAGAGAAATCCCACTACATCTAACATTTTTTTAAGCATGTATAACTAAAATGCTAGTGAAACTTTTGTGTTTACCCAAAAAATAACATTGCAGTTTTAAGTGAAAATGAAATAGGCATGGTTTGTGAAATTTTTATAATGTTTACACCACCCTCTTCCTGTTCCCTGCTCCTTTCATCAGGTGATCTGAAGACTACCTGGTTGGAAATATTTGGTAACTCAGTGCAGAAAATTAAGGTCACAGACAAAGTACAACAACTTTTAATACACCATTAATACTAATGATTAAAAATTATTGCATAGTCTTATGCATTTACCCTAAAACATTTTCTGAAAGCAAACGAATTATATAAAAGACAAATAACCCTTTAAAATGTGGATGGCCTTTACTACCTCGATCTTCTATCCTTTTTTGTCTTTTCAGTACTTTTGTCCATTGTTTTCTCATTATCTCCCCTGCACTTTGGGCAATACCATTTCCCCTTTGGTTTATAGGTAAGTGAAACACATGAAAAGTGAAACCATTCAATTGGACACTGTTCATTGTCACATCCTATCATCTCCCCATAAGACACTTGGTTGCATAAGCAGTATGTAGGTTCATTAGGATCTATTGCAAACTCAACAGGTGAAGCTTCCCTTTCCTGCTTGGCCTTGGAGCGTTTCTTTTTCTTTGCTGACTTGGATTTCTTTTCTTTAGGTGGCTGATCATCACAGTCTTCAATCCCATTTGCCATGTGACATAAATCACGGCTTTCACTGGTCCGCTGCCTGCGGGGTCTTCTTGAAGATCTTTCTGGTTGGCTGGAATCCATCTTTGCTTTATCTGAGGCTCGTTCACTTTCAGCAGGATCTTGGAAACACTGTGAGTGTAACTCCATTTGTCTTGCCCGATTTTCCACCAATTCGAGCATTTGTGTAACAATCTGTATTTTTTCATCTCCCAATTCTTGACTATTAATTAGTGCTCTCTGGAGAAGCTGCTGTAGACGTTTCTTCTGGTTTAAATCATCTTCTTTCTTATATTTTTCGTAGACATCATCAATTTCCTTTAACGTTTCTAAAAAAAGGAAAAGAAAAATGAGAACGTTATCATGTGTTAGCAGACACAACATTTCCAAGGTAGTTATTTTTTACAGAATTGAAATTAGAACTCAAACCATGAAACCATACTCCTCTTTGGTACATATACATTAAAAACTATTTCATACAAAGACCACATTATCTAATATGAAAGTATAGTTAGAAATAAAGTAATGAAAAGAAAGAACACAAAACTAATACTCATTAATCTATATTAAAAAGAGGCTGGGCGCGGTGGCTCACGCCTGTAATCCCAGCACTTTGGGAAGCCGAGGCAGGTGGATCACCTGAGGTCAGGAGTTCAAGACCAACCTGGCCAAGATAGTGAAACCCTGTCTCTACTAAAAATGCAAAAATTAGCCGGGCATGGTGGCAGGCGCCCCTCATCATTTCAGCTACTTGGGAGGCTGAGGCAGAGAACTGCTTGAACCCGGAAGGCGGAGGTTGCCGTGAGCCGAGATCGCACCGCTGCACTCCGGTCTGGGCGACAGAGCAAAACTCCATCTCAAAAAAAAAAAAAAAAAGGCCAGGCGCGGTGGCTCACGCTTGTAATCCCAGCACTTTGGGAGGCCGAGGCGGGTGGATCACGAGGTCAGGAGATCGAGACCACGGTGAAACCCCGTCTCTACTAAAAATACAAAAAAAATTAGCCGGGCGCAGTGGCGGGCGCCTGTAGTCCCAGCTACTCAGGAGGCTGAGGCAGGAGAATGGCGAGAACCCTGGAGGCGGAGCTTGCAGTGAGCCGAGATCGCGCCACTGCACTCCAGCCTGGGAGACAGAGCAAGACTCCGTCTCAAAAAAAAAAAAAAAGGATAAGAGATGTTTGGCTAATTAATGATCAAAAGTATTTCTCATGGGCAGGAACACTGAATGCCACTTTAGTCTACTAAGTACTGTAACACCTTCAAAACAACCCTATATATAAAATGTGCAGGCTGGGGTCCAGCTCTAAAACTTGAAAAGGTTACAGGACTAGGCTACAGATTACTGCCCAACTGTGTTTACAGGATTTACAGTCCAATCAATGACTTGTGACAATGACTTGTGACATGACTCCGGAGATATAGCTTCACTTTCACATCATACATTCTTAACAAAGAAGGCATAAGCAACTCTTAGCTTCCCATCATCTTACTTTTAATGGCTCTACTTTAGCCTCACATGGGAAATTCTGAAAATGAAACTATTTCCAGAGTAGGTTCTGGTTCTGGCATCAACTGACCAAACCACTAACAAAATTACAATAAAGTCAGCACTCGATCATTCTGCCTTTGTAGATAAATCAGTAGTTGGTTCTGAGCTTTCTGAACTGCTGATTTAGTTGTATGGCACGTGGAATACACTTACTTAAATCAAGTAAAAATAGCTGAGTCACTAGAAGGTATCCAAAAATCTGAAAATATAATTTCAGATGTCACCAAAAATTTACTTAAGATTAGTTTTGCTCGAATCCGTTTTATTTCTTATTCTTACAAGATGTAATGCTATCTCAAAGAGTTCTGTCCGCATGGTATTTTTCATACCACATGGCATACTAGTTTTATATTCCAATATTATAATTATTAAAAACAGAAATGTTAGGCAAGTAGATATATACATTGGGGCTGTCTGCAAGTAAGGCACACAAAAGCAAATATTCAACAGAACTCATTAATCAGCTTCTCCCTGGAAATCGCAGGTACTCGTACTTGATGTACAACTGTCTAACTTGGAATATATAACAAAGTGCCACCACACAGTTCAGAGTACTTACACCTGCATAGCATATTTTCGAACAAAGTTCATGTCTATTCCATTTGCTTAGCTCGGCATCTAAGCAGATTTCTTAAGAACCTCATTTCCCTACAGGAAAAATAAGGAAACTGGTTCCCTCAGACACATAAAAAATTGAGGATTAAAAAAAAAAGAGGCAAACCTCTTTTCAAATATTTTGTACCTAATAATCAGGTGTTAGAGGCTAAGTACAGTATATATCATACCAGCACATTGATAGATGAGATAAAAAATTTGTAAGATACCGTATTATATAGTGAAAGAAGACAAGAAATTAACATTTACTCAGCCCCTTCTATGTGGTAAAGATTTTCTCAGTTAATCTCCACAGCAACCCCATGAGGAAGCCATCACTTCTGCTTGTGAAAAAAACTGCAACTCAAGAGATAAGAACCCCAGACTTTGAACTGTGCCAGATCTGTATGTCTGACCTCGCAGTGTAAGCACTTTCTATAAACTATATGAAAGGCACTTGAAATTAAGTATCAAAGTTTAGTTTGAAGGTTGTTATTTATCTAAGAAATTATGAGTGGGAACACTAGAATAAAAATAAAGGTTCTCTAATAACCCTATCCCATAATAAGTACTTCAATTGTGAAATTGTTTTCTTCTTTATTTCTCATTTTATAAGTTTTTCAGCAGTTCTGAAAGTGTCTCAAGTAGGTTAGAAAGAAATTTGACTGCCTATATAATTTATATCACTAAATATTGCTAGAAATATTAGATCCAAAACCAGAAAATACTTAAGCACTAGTGAAGATATAAAAAACATGAAATCTGAACCCAAAATATACATAAACATAAAACTGTGAAAGTTGAGCTCAGTAACCACGTGCAGAGTGAAAACTAGATGAGTTTTTAATCACTAATCACAAACTTCATAGAGCTAAGAATTTGTATAATCTCTCAATCTTGTAAGGCCTACTATATTACTAATGTTACCAGAGCTATTAATACCTGACAATTATAGATGATCCGAAAGATTTCCCTGTCAACAAATTATAGTATCCCTCACCAACTTCAAATAGCTTAACTCTTGTGAAAGGAAACATGTGCCTTCAAAGAAATGTAAAAACCTGCAAGCTTGCTGGGCGCGGTGGCTCACGCCTGTAATCCCAGCACTTTCGGAGGCCGAGGCGGGCGGGTCCCCTGAGGTCAGGAGTTCAAGACCATCCTGGCCAACATGGTGAAACTCCGTCTCTACTAAAAATACAAAACTTAGCCCGGCGTGATGGCAGTTGCCTGTAATCCCAGCTACTCGGGAGGCTGAGGCAGGAGAATCGCTTGAACCCGGGAGGCAGAGGTTGCAGGGAGCTAAGATCGAGCCACTGCACTCCAGCCTAGGGGACAGAGCAAGGCTCTGTCTAAAACAACAACACAAACTACAAGCTTTACAAACTTTGGTGTTATCTGAAAAACTAGAAAGGTTCCATATACAATTATTAAGCACGTATCATTTTTAGGTTACCATTCATGTTTGTGCTCCATATCTGTAGAAATCCCCTTGGACAGTTTTTATTAAAACTTAAATTGTTTGAAAACAAAGATATGCATCTACAGTAGCAGGCTCTGGAGCCAAATATTCTACATCGAATTAACTGGACGAGTTACTTGAACTCTTTGTAATCTGTAAAAGAAATATTTATATAATGGTCTGGACCCAGCGCATCAGTTTTAATTCCCTCCCCACCCCCTCCCCAAACACGGATCAGTCCTATGAATCCTATGGATTCAGAAAACAGAAACAAATTTATAAACTAAAAAACATCAGACACTTATGTCACCCAAGAAGTGGATTCCTTAGAGACTTTTAAAGTATAGGATTACTGGCGTGTCTACAAAAACAGAGAATGGGTCCAGGAAATTATCTTTAAAGTTCGTATGGCTGTTTCCATACTATGTTCAAGGTCTGTTCCTCGATTCAAGGTTATTAAGCGCAACACATTTCCCCTTTTAAACTGCCCTCCTAGTAGCACCACCGATAGTAGGTGGTAACACTGTAAGGAAGGTCGATTCTGTCCCGGGTTCCCGGGTCGGCCGGCAAAGGGTGGTTTCGCCTCCACACTTAAAGTCGGAGAAGGAGGGGCTCGGGGACGCCAGGCGGTTGCCCAGTCAACCAACCCACTTCCTCCTGAAGCCCGGAAGTGACACATGTCCCGGAACCTACGCGGAGCCAGGATCCGCGACGGTCCGAGCTGCTGATCGCCGTCCTGATCCATTGACTGGGAAAGAGGTTGGAAACATCACCGCAAAACATGCTGCAAACCCCGATTCGGACTCCGCTGGGGCCGAACCAACGCCCCCGCACAGCCCCGACTCCCTCCCCAGCAGCCAGCTCGCCACCGCCCCTCTCGCGACCAGCCATTTTCCAGGCCCGCGGGAACGCGCGCCGCGCCCCTCCCACGCCCCTCGTCAAGCCCGCAGGCCCCGCCCCCGGCGCGGGGGCCCTCCCCGCCACACACGCCCCTCTCTTCCTCTCCCGCGGGGGACCCCTCCCCTCTTAACCATTTTGCCGAAAGAACTGGGCTAGGGCTACAACGCGGGGCGCCCGCGAACTTTCCCGGGGCGAGAGAGCGGAACGGACTGCTCTCCTCCGGGCCGGGGCAGGAGCGCGGAGGAAGGCCCCCTCAGTCCGCCTCCGCGGCCTCTCGCCCCCTCCCCCCGCACGTTCCAAAGCACCCGCACTCCGGGGTGGGGGCGAGTGAGGTGGGGAAGCGCGCCCCGCAGACCAGCGGGAGCCCGGCCGCTCACTCCCTCCGACCCTTGCCCGGCTGCAGTCCCGGGCCGGGGCCGCAGGGTCTGCGGCACGGGGCGGGCCAGCGCCTGAACAAATGCTTGCTGCTTAAAATGGCTGATTCCCCTCAGCGGCAGCTGCAGCCGCTGGGTCTGCAGCGGGGGCTGACAAGCGGCCCCCACCCCCACTCTGGGGACCCCAGAGAAGTACTCGCCCACCGCGGGGCCACGGAGGGCCGCCAACCCGGTCTCCAGTCCTCCCAGTCCCGCTCGGCAGACCCTCGGTGCGCTCGGGGAGACTGTCACGGGAGAAAGGGAAGGTGGCACTCCCCCGGACAGGCTCCCCGCCACCGGCTCCCGAGGCCGGCAGCCCCGCGGCTCCTACCTTGATATTTGTTGTCCAGCTCTCGCAGCACAGACACGTTCCTCTGCATGTCGTGGGGCAGCGACTCCACGCACTCAAGGTAGTCCTGCACGTAGCAGGTGAGCAGCCGGCTCCGCTCCCCGGTCAGGAGCGCGGCCGACGAGTACAGTTGCTGCTGCTGCTGCCCTAACATCCTGCCGATCCGCGCCGTCGCCGCCGCCTCCGCATCCAGCAGCCGCACATGCACCGGCCGCGGCCGCCGCGGGCCCTCAGCTCAGCAGCCCGGCGCCGCGGGGACCCCGCAGCCGCTCGAGAGGGCACGGCCGCGCTCCCCGATCTCCACTCCCCCCAGAGCAGCCCTCACTCCCCGCCCCCGCAGCACCAGCCCAGGGGCGGGGCGAAACCGGGGCTCCCTCCTTTCTCCCCTCCCGCTCCAGGACCGGAGCAGTGGGGATCCCCTCGGCGGGGCCGGCGCCGGGGTCCCGGGCGCTGACACTTCCTGTCCCCCTCGGAGTCCCCAGATGCTACGAGTGCCGTCTCGCAGCCCGGATCCCCATGACAAGCCCGTCGCCGCCCGCCTGTCCCCAGTCACCCTCCGTGCCTCACGGAGAGCCTCCCGCTAGCCTGCCCCCGCCCCTCCGCCCGCGGCCGCCTCTGCGCCTGCGCAGCGCTCCCTGCGAATAAGGCCGGGGCCCGCCCCTACCGCCTACCGGAGGGTTCGCATTCTCCCGCCTTCGCTCCGCCGCCCGGGCGATTGGTCTGCCGGCTCTGGGCTAGCGGGGGAGGGTGTGGGGGGCGGCCAAACGGCAGGCCGCGCCCCGCCCCCCTTAAAGGGGAAGCCCGGGGAGCCAGTCTCTGCGCCTCGCGTCTGAATGGGACCCGGGAGGGGAGGCGGCTCGGTCCTTCGTGCCGTCCTCCCCGCTGGGAGGGGCAGCTCCAGCTCCGCTCGGCTCGCTCCGCCCGGCCACACCGGCTTTTTCCCCATCAGGCGGTCCGAGTGCGGCTCCTCGCGAGCCTGCAAAGGAGCAGCAGGCGGTTCCTTTTCGGACGACCTGGAGCGAGGCCTGCGGGACTGCGCGCCCCGGCGGGCGGCGTGCGGCTCCCGGCATGCGCGGCGGCTGCGTTCCCGCCGCCTCCGAGCTCGCCTGGGGCTGCCGCCCGCCTCCTGCCGGGCCCTCGGGCTCGCCCGGCACCGCGGGGCTTGATCAGGGAGGTAGGCGGTGCTCCCTCCGGCCCCCGGCGTCGTGTGCCCTGCGGGTTTCGTGGCCCTTCCCCTACGCTGGAATCTTCTGTGTCATTTAGGGGGAGGGGATGCGGGACGGCATCTGTTTGACAACGCATTGGTCCCACAGACAGCCTTTAAAAACAACTGCTTTTGGGGGGTGTCAGAACATTTAAGCACAGGACGTCGGTGAGGCTTCCTGGCGGAGTGGGGCACACGCCAGCTTTACGGGACTTTTTGCTCAGTCCTGCCCCAGGACTGCAATCGGAGGGGACCTGGGGCATGGAGGAGACGCGAGTGAAAACCTAGTCAGCGGGCGGGCCCTCGGCCCCATAATCTACGTGATCTCCTAGTGGGGTTTAATTTCGGTGTAGTGTAAATGAGATGTCAGGCAGAGGAGCTGATTTTAATTACAGATGGACATTTTTGAAAGAAATGGGTGCAAATAGAATGAATGCATGGATAATTTTAATGGAATGCCTATGTAAACAAGGCCAATTGTGAGTACTACCTTTGAGTTAAAATGTGAGTGAGTGGTGACAAATTTGGATCTTCTTAGATCCAGTTTGCAGCGTTGGTACACCTGAATGGTGACCTATTTAGAGCACTTTTGAAACAGCTGTTAATAGTAACTAGCCTTTGACTTGCAAAGAGAAATCTAGATCTTTATCTAGAGGAAATTTTAAATTTCAAACCAAAATAAAGCACTCCAGGCAATTTGACATCTTGGGACGTCAACTATTTCAAAGGACTGGGAAATTGTCTTGGGTTATTATCCTAGGACACTGAGGTTTGGGCCAGTATTAAGCAACCCAGACAGTACAGTGGATAGTATTTCTGAGAACATTCTGGGATTTTACTGTTCGTGAAATCTTTCGGCCGGGTCTTGTCAAAAAACCGCCACTGTGAAGAACTGAATTTTACTGGTTTTTACTTGAACCCTGCTATTTTTGTTTTCTCACAAGTTTGAATAAGCTGGTCTTTATCAAAGGCGCAAAATAATGTGGGGTGCCTTGTTACAGGTCAGACACCGAATGTACCTATGGATTTTATTCAGTCTGATAAGTGATCTGCAAGTAGATAAGAAATGTGTTTAGAAACTAGAAGGGGAAAAAGGCAAAGATGCAGAATACCTAGAGTACTCCAGAAACAGAGCAAGATGAGAGGAGGGATGAGCATGGGATAGGAGACATTTATAGCATTATTGTCACCTTTTATAATTCTGTTGAACAGGCTGGTAAAAAAGCAAAAACAATCCAAAGAATATTTTAGCTGGTACTGATCTAAAACTGTAAAACACTGTAATATGATAATATATGTATATGTATGAATTATTTTAGGCATGCTTTTCTTGCTATATTTATTTTAAGAGATTAATCTACGGCTTATTCTTGCCACCCCCAAAAAAAATCGCCACAAACCCTAAACCCAACTCTTGACCTTGGTTATTGAGCGCTGTCCTTCCCTTCTGAGTGGTCACTTAACTGGAAATATGGGGCCTCTTCAGATTGAATTTCTTGTCTTCTAAATGCAAAATTTAAAATCTCCCGTTCTCAGCAACTAGAAATTAATTTATGGTATTTAATCCTGTGAATAAAGCAAAAAGGCATTTTATTTGCTCTACAGTGTATTATCTACCATAAAGCAACCCTAAAAAAAAGATAAGTAACTGATCTCCCCAAATTAGTCTGGGATTACCTTGAATTTCTAAGTCTGACTTTAAGAGGTCCCTGGCAGGAAATGTGTACGCCTCCGTACCTGTCTCTTGGGGAGAGCAACAACTTCAAACTGGTTGAAAACAAACTGGCAAGTAATGGTGAAAGATTCCTAAAGATGCCTGCTGAGAAAATTCAGCTTCTGTTTGAGTCAGATCAAATAAATGAAATCCTTTTCTTTTTTCTACTTTTTAATATTTTTAAACTTTTATGGAAATTTTCAAAGGCAAAAGTAATACTACAATAAATCCTTATATACCGTCTACCCAGCTTCAACATTTAGCAACATATGGCTAAGATTATTTAATCTATAGCCCTTCACATTCCCTCACTCTTGCTGGATTTTTATCATTTTATCTGTAAATACTTTAAATATGAATAATATGAATAGGTAAAATATAATAGTTGTTTTTTGTTTGTTTGTTTTTGAGACTGAGACTTGCTTTTGTCGCCCAGGCTGGAGTGCAATGGGGCGATCTTGGCTCTTTGCAACCTCCGCCTCCCAGGTTCAAGCGATTCTCCTGCTTCAGCCTCCCAAGTAGCTGAGATTACAGGTATGTGTCACCATGCCCAGCTAATTTTTGTATTTTTAGTAGAGAGGGGGTTTCACCATGTTGGTTAAAGCTGGTGTGGAACTCCTGACCTCCAGAGATCCGCCCGCCTTGGCCTGCCAAAGTGCTGGGATTACAGACGTGAGCCACCATGCCTGGCCAAGATAACAGTTTTTTAAGCATATCCGTAATACCATGTATTCTGCCTCCCCAAATTTTCTTACTATCATTTAATAACTACACAATTCAAATTTTCCTATTGTCTCAGTAAATCTTTCACATTTGGTTTAACAGGATCCAGCAAATCCCATGCATTTTATTTGGTTACTGAGGTCTTTTCCAAACCAGTAAGAGGCAGTTAATTCCCTGTTTAATTCAGTGAAGCAGAGAGCAATGTTTTTCTGAGGAAGATATTTAAGTAGTTTAAAATCACTGCTTTAAATATGGAGAAATTCAAGAAGAAATCCTCATATGAAAAGTCACCAATTGATAGCGTGTTGTAAGAAATGTAATTGTACCTGATGCAAATAAATAAATCCTTAGTAATCTAGGAGGCTGTGTTAGAGTGTAATTTGTTCTAGAAGGTCCAGTGAAGCATCTTAAATTATAGTGAAAAACCCTAAAACTTTAAATCAATTCATTAGTACAAAAAGCAACTAAAGAAAAACCTAATAGTCCTGTAATCCCAGCACTTTGGGAGGCCGAGGCGGGCGGATCACGAGGTCAGGAGATCAAGACCATCCTGGCTAACACGGTGAAACCCCGTCTCTACTAAAAATGCAAAAAATCAGCTGGGCGTAGTGGCGGGCACCTGTAGTCCCAGCTACTGGGGAGGCTGAGGCAGGAGAATGGCATGAACCCGGGAGGCGGAGGTTGCAGTGAGCGGAGATCATGCCACTGCACTCCAGCCTGGGCGACAAAGCGAGACTCCGTCTCAAAGAAAAAAAAAAAACAAAACCTAATGGTGTGCGTCTCCACTGAACTCAGTTTTAAAGCATTAAAGCATTTTTTATTACTTTATTACATAAGTAATACACATTATTGTAGAAAAAATTTAAATAGAAATAAAAAGATATATAAAAGTCACTACAAACTGGAGATAACTCTTCTCAATATCTAAATATACTCCAAGATGTAATTCCATTTTAGCAGTTCTTTTGCTTTAAGAAAACACTTTGGCTAGGATTGAAGTACAAAGTTAGGCCAGGTGTGGTGGCTCATGCCTGTAATCCCAGCACTTTGCCACGAGGTGGGCAGATCACCTGAGGCCAGGAGTTCGAGACCAGCCTGACCAATATGATGAAACCCCATCTCTACTAAAAATACAAAAATTAGCCGGGCGTGGTGGCATGTGCCTGTAATCCCAGATACTCAGAGGCTGAGACAGGAGAATCGCTTGAACCCGGAAGGCAGAGATTGCAGTGAGCCAAGATGGTGCCATTGCACTCTCCAGCCTGGGCAGCAAGAGCAAAACTCTGTCTCATTTAAAAAAAAAAAAAAAAAAAAAAAAGGACAAAGTTAAGAAAATATCAGATTCTGTAGAAGGAATATTAGAAATCTGAGCAATATCACCCTGTACTTGGAGTTTATGTGTTAGACTGCACAGATTTAACTGGTGTATACAGTCAATCCTACTGCTTTAGATTATAGTACTATTCAGCATTTAGGATGACTACTAAAAGCAAAATATGATCCTAAAACGTTTTAACGAAGGGACCGTGTGAATGACTGGGATTGTAGTGAAGAGGAAATTCGGTATAATAAGATCTCATATTTTCATAAACAAGAAAAAAGGCAAACGTAATATCCCCTTAGCTATCCCAAAGAGAAAAAATAGCACATATGGTATACTTTGCATATTGCTGACCAGAAAAACATTCAATTTTCCCTGGTTAGTTACCATAGTTACATGAGCCCTTTATAACATCAAGAGGGGGAACTAGGTCACAGTTTTGAAGGAGTTTGAATTATGCAATTATGTTTTCTAAAAGCAGGGGAAAGGGTTTTTAATTTAGAGAAGAGAGATTTATACTCTGTTCAAAATTGAAATTTTGGTCTAATTTTGCTGGCAAAGCCTAAAAATTTGTCCAAAATTTAATAGTTGATATAGTACATATAAATTATTCAACCTATACAAATAACATAATAGCTAGATCCATAAAAATGACATATTCTGTCTTTGTAGATATCCCTTTTTCTCAATGAGCTGTTATCCAAAAATGTTTTTGCAGGTAATCAGGAAACCCAACAATTGCCTAGCGTCTGAGAGTAGCCAAACCATGTGTAAACTAAAGCCTTGAACTCTTCCGGTCTTTGAAAGTGTGAGGTAAAGGTTGGCACAGTGCCTGTCAGATGCTACTCTTTGTTGTACAGCAATTTTCCTATTGATTTCATCAAATGGAAGTGAGTGGCAGGAAGGGAATGTATTGAAAGTTGTGGTGGCACAGCCTTCACCCTTTATATATATTATTATTATAATTATTTTTACTAAGAACCTTACAAAAAAGATGTTTTTATTTAAAAAAAAAAAAAAAGGCCGGCCTTGTGGCTCACCTGTAACCCCAGACTCTGGGTGGCCAAGGTAGGAGGATCACTTGAGAACAGGAACGTGAGAACAGCTTAAGTAGCAGAGAGATCCTGTCTCTGCAAAAAATTAAAAAATTAGCCGGGTGCAGTGGTGTGTACCTATAGTATCAGCTACTTGGGAGGCTGAGGCAGGAGGATCCCTTGTGCCCATGAGTTTGAGGCTGCAGTGAGCTAGGATCGTACCACTGCACTCCAGCCTGGGCAACAGAGTGAGACCCTGTCTCAAAAAGAAAATGCATCTCAAGGTTGCATGATTTCAGATAGTTGTTTTCAATCTCATGATCACTCTAGACTCGTAATTTTTTAATGCTGAAGTTATCTTAGATCAACGATTTCTCCAAAGGAAGGAAGAGCAGGCAACAGGCAGCTCAACTGGGTAGCTGGAGGAGCCAGTGTTGCTGATGGTAGTTTATCCTAACCATCATCTATGTAAGGATGGGGAAGAGGATGGAGATCACTATTACAGATCACCTACAGACCAGCTTTTTTACAGGTGATAGTATTGGGACGCAGAGAAGTTAGCTTGCCCAGTGTCATATAACAATCCATAAAATAAGTATATACCTAAAAGTTTAAGAGTTAAACAAATAATTATCTTTTTTCTGGCTGACAATTATTGAGGGGAGAAGCAGGCCCATGGGAAAAAATTAAGAACTCGGATATCATAAAATATTTTTCTGTGAAGTCTCGCAGCAAATTTAACATCTCTGAAGGAAAATTAGAATTTCCTGGAGAATAATGTTTCAAGTAACCACCCAGTCAAAAGTACTAGAAACTGTGTATCCTTTATTCTTATTTTAAAGGATCAATGCCTTATGCTTTCAGCACTAGCTAAAGAATAGTCTTTTAAAAATGAAACTAATGCTGTCGGCTAGGTGCTTTTTGCTAAATCTATTGTTTATTTGAAGTACTTGATTATTTAATGAGGTCTTATTGGAGCTATTGTTACATTAATTGCTCTTAGCATGGTTAATCCAATATTTGATAGGTATTGATTATCTTTCATGGGTAACAGATTTTTTTTTTTTTTTTGAGACGAGTCTCGCTCTGTCACCAGGGTGGAGTGCAGTAGTGTGATCTCAGCTCACTGCAACCTCTGCCTCCTGGGTTGAAGCAATACTCCTGCCTCAGCCTCCCAAGTAGCTGGGACTACAGGCGCACGCCACCACACCCAGCTAATTTTTGCATTTTTTAGTAGAGATGGGTTTTCACCATGTTGGGCAGGTTGGTCTCGATCTCTTGACCTCATGATCTGCCCGCCTCAGCCTCCCAAAGTGCTGGGATTATAGGCATGAGCCACCATGCCCAGTAAGGGTAACAGATATTTAAAAATTATTTATTTCCATAAATTGACATTCTCTGACTGTTTTATACATGAAACCAGTATATCTCACTTTACACAATACATACATTTCTGGAAAATTGTATTTAGATCTTATTTTGCTAAATCAGGTAATTTTAAATGTGCCAGTTCTATAAAATGAGACCGAAATTTTGAAAATGAAAATATTCATTTAATACAAATAATTTATCTTATTTTATTTATTTTTCTCTGTTGTTACCTTGAGAAAACATAGGTAGTGTTCATTAACTGCAGTCTAGATGTACTTTCATTTTCTTGTTCTAACTATACTGTATATTGCAGATATTTTAGTACAACATCTTTTCATCACAGAAATGATATCTTCAGGGAAAAGACTTCGAAAAAGTGCCTGAAGTGACACAACACATGTTTTCTTCTGGTATCTGGCTAAAGTAAGTACGAAAATTAGATTAAAAACAAAGATATAAAATATATGGGGGAAAATTATATGGGAAGTATTAGAAGCTAAAAAGCTATATATTAAGGGGAAATAGAAGAATCAGAGAAAGAAATGACTATTTGAGCCATTACTGATGATGGTAGAACATTAAAATTAAAATTTAGGGACTGAGATATACAAATTTTATTTATGGAGACTATTTGTGATACTTTTTTTAAATAACAAAAAATATAGTTGCTGGCCAGGTGCAGTGGCTCACACCTGTAATCCCAGCACTTTGGGAGGCCAAGGCAGGCGGATCACTTGAGGTCAGGAGTTTGAGACCAGCCTGGCCAACATGATGAAACCTCACCTCTACTAAAATACAAAAATTGGCTGGGTGCAGTGGCAGGCACCTATAATCCCAGCTACTCAGGAGGCTAAGGCAGGAGAATTGCTTGAGCCCACAAGGCAGAGCTTGCAGTGAGCTGAGATCGCGCCACTGCATTCCAGCCTGGGTGACAGAGTGAGAGACTGTCTCAAAAAAAAAAAAAAAAAAGTGTGTGTGTGTGTGTATGTGTGTGCATATATATATGTGTGTATGTGTGTGTGTGTGTATATATAGTTGTAATACAGGGTTAGAGCAATAGCATATCTAACCTAGTCTTTGACTTGATAATTGGTATGTTGATTAAAAAATAACTTCAAAAAGCCAAGTGACTTCCTTATATGATATTACATTTAGGATATCCTAAACAATGTTAACTTTGTATTCAGATTAAATATCTCTGGAAAAATAGTCCGGCAATATCTAGAGGCTTCATTTATCCTTTTGCACATTTGTTTTTCTTTTTTTGGTATATGTATTATTTTAACAAAAATCTATGCTTCATCTAAAATATAAAAGAAACAAAGAACTGGGTGGGTGCGGTGGCTCATGCCTGTAATCCCAGCACTTTGGGAGGCCAAGGCAGGTGGATCACGAGGTCAGGAGATCGAGACCATCCTGGCCAACATGGTGAAACCCCATCTCTACTAAAAAAAATACAAAAAATTGCGTGATGTGCGCGTGCCTGTAGTCCCAGCTATTTGGAAGGCTGAGGCAGGGGAATCGCTTGAACCCGGGAGGCAGAGGTTGCAGTGAGCCGAGATCGTGCCATTGCACTCCAGCCTGGTGACAGAGCGAGACTCCGTCTCAAAAAAAAAGGAAAAGAAACAAAGAACGTTATGCACTTTCTAGAATAACAAAATGCAAATGTAATATTATCTACCAGGAAAAGAGTAGATAAGTAGATACACCAAATATTTGGATTTAGTTCACTTTTATGATAATTTTTTTTACTTATTAGTCATGTCTGATCTTTGTATACCAGCATTCTAATAACACATAAATTATTACACAAATTAAAGCAAAGAAGTACCACAGTTGGTAAATTTGAAGCTTCTGAAGACTTCTCACTTTAGGAATTAATCTAGGCAGTTTTGGCTTAGAAACACATTTTTTGTGAAAAATTTTTAGCAGTTTAAGAGAAGTTGTAGGTAGCCCTCTTCTCATTCAGTATAGCCCTCAACTTGCTGCTAAGAGCTTTAACAATTTTTGCAGGATCTCACTTGAGTATTTTAGGTTCAGATGGAACAATTCTTATCACTTTTATGAATCAGATGTTTTAAAATTCAAATTTAGATTGATGTTATATGTTAACACCGTCTATAACATCTGCCTACACCCTCGGAAGGGACCTATGAAATATTAACTAGCCAAGGAATCCTTTTCTGACTGTGGGCTTTTCTGTAGGAATGAAATCTGGCAGAAATATTTAATGAAGAGGAATCTGAACATAGCAGTTGAGAAAGAAAGATTGGGAGAAGACTCCAGATGTCGTAAAGCAAAGAGAGGATGAGGCACAGGAAGCAGCTCTTATTATTTCTGTTGCACTTTGGCTCAGAGAACTCCAAGCAATTGATTCTATCCTGAGGACATATTTTTTCAATTTGAGATATAATTAATTTGTTTTCCAGTAAAATAGATATTAGTAGATCTATGACATACAGGAAACAATCGAAAATAGAGATAAGTGGTAATAATACCTCATTACTTAAGACATCTTTTTCAGAAAATTATTCTTCAGTGTGTGGTGCATTGGCTTTCTAGGAAAGAACGGGAGGGAGAACCCTGCTGACATGAATAATGGCCTGGGGGAGAGGGGGAGAGAAGCAAGAGAAAGGAGCAGTTAAGAGGAAAATGATGTCATATGGAAAGAAGGAAATAGATCAGGGCGTCTTTAAGAGCTAATATCAATTGGGTTTAGTGTCTGTATTTAGAGGATGGGAGAGAAGAGGTATCATCTAGGGTTTTGGCTTGGGCCACAGGTAGATCTTGTTAAGGCTGTACGAAATAGAAAATCCAGGAGGTAACGCAGGTGTGTGGGGGAAATGATACAAATGTAAATCATACAAGGATATGAACCCTGTAGATTTTACAACTTTGAGCTCTATCCTTCTTAGGCCTTCTCTTCTAAGCAGCATAAACTACTGCTGCCTACATGTTGCCTGTTCATAAAGGCTGAGGCAGGGGAGTCGCTTGAACTCGGGAGGCGGAGGTTGCAGTGAGCCGAGATCATGCCATTTCCCTCCAGCCTGGCGACAGAGCAAGACTCCATCTCAAAAAAAAGAAAAGAGAAGAAAAAAACAAAGAACTTTATGCACCTTCTGGAATAACAAAATGCAAATGTAATGTTATCTACCAGGATAGAAATTGGAGGCTAGAATATGTTGGGTAGGGTAGAGAGACTAGAGGGAATGATTTAGCAATAAAATAGGTTTAAATATCTTCTCACGTGCCCAGACTTAATTAGCTTTGTATTATTCCTATTAGTAAGCCAGGAATTAGTACTAGGTGATAAGCAAGGATGTGCAGGGCCTTGTGAGGAAAAGAGTTACTGTAGCAGTTCTGGATGCTTACCCCTTGCATGTCTCCAGGGGAACCATCTTTGACCTTGGCCAACCCCTGGATTGCAATCCTTGGAGTGTTCTTTATGTTAGTGATGATGATTTTGTTGTATACACCTGGAGCATTGGACCATTCCATACTGGCTCGCCAGGTTGCGTTGCACAAACACCAAGACTGATAAATAGGCACCTGGTTTTATTATTGGGCCCCTGAGTTTTGGTTGCCGTAGCCAATTCCATAGCAGAGTATGAGTACATGAACAGCCTCCCACAAAAGCCTTAAACCCTGAGACTCAAGTGGGATTCTGTGGGCAGAGACATTCCACACGTGTCTATAGTTTGCTGAGAGAGAGACAGAATTCCTGTGTAGCTGCAGACAAAGGACAACAGAATCCTATGTTGGACCTCTCTGGACTCCACTGATACATCTTTTCCTGTTGCTTTTGCCCTGTATCCTTTGCTGTCATTAATCTGAGCCACGTATTAATATATAACCTGCTATTGAGTCTTGTGAGGCCTTCTGGGATCACCAAAGGAAACAACCATATACCTAGTACTGAAGAGATTTTTTTAAAAGCCCAATTTGTCCATCTGAGTCTTGATAGGATTCACTGAAAAAGAATAATCAACATATGTGAGTATCTGCAGTGTCGAGGTTTAAATGAAATCAAGGCTTTGGTCTTTGTCCATGAGACATTTATAGTCTTTATAGGGACATGACACATGTTAGGGAAATGCTTATAAGCATAAGTATAAATAAAAGCAAATTGGCAATGATGGCAGAATTAAAGAGAGATTAAAATTGGTAAAAATCAAGCAAGGCTAATGAAAGATGGTAGGTATTTAAGAAGAGATATAGGACTGCATTATCAAATGATAGCCATAATTTTCCCCCATATGTACTTTAGCAGTATGTAAAAACTGTAAAACAAAAAACTTTTTTCTTGGATTTTATCTGATATATTCCAGGCTCAACTCAAGTTTGATGAATTATTTGTACGGAATCTAAATTTGTACTAAATCAAAATTTAAGTGTTTTATGCAACAATTTTTTATGAGCCCTCCAGTTACGGATTTCAGCTGTGGGATAATGTTCTCATGTGTTATTATCCCAGAGACTCCATGCCAAGTCCTGTTATAATTAGTCACACCTGATAATTCCTTCAGTTGTGTGGTTAAGCTGCTCGTGTCCAAAGCAGTTTACCTGAACTACACATGTGCAGGGCAGACTCTAAGCAGCCAAGATTAAGAAGGAACTTTGAAGGTTCTGCTTCCTGTAATGGCCAGATAGCTCCTGTCAGATCAGTGTTCCTGCAAATAACAGCTATACATTCTGAACAGAATTTAAAAATCTACCAAAAGGCACTGGAGAGCAAGAAAAAGAAGGCAAATTCTGGATGGGAGTCCACACTTGGAAGAAGGAAATAGCAGTTCATGAGTTTCATCATATAAGAATGTCATTTAGCCTGGGGGCAGGCCCTCATCAGTACCATGTGGAATGACTATAACTTTCAAACTTGCAGACTTACTGGCTTGAAGAGCCAGAGGTTGGAGTCCAGGACAACCACAGGTGGTGTATGGTCTAAAGTTAATACCATGTATTGCCTTGATATCTGGTAAAATCAGGAGGCCCTTGAATGGCCTAACTACAAGTTCCTGTCCACACTCCACTCCTTAGCTCAAGGATCAGGCACATTTCCTGCTTATTCCTGAGTCACAGGTTTTAGTTCCCTGACAGCTTATGGAATTATTCATCCACACCAGTCACGTCCTCCCTCAGGAACCAGGAGCGACCTCATCCTCTTGATACTACAAAGCCTGCACCCGTGGTTGTTCTCTATTTCCAAGTGCAGGCCCCACCTGGCCCCGTGTGGAGTGGGTGTTCTCTGCTAGGCTGTGAGTATATGTGACTAGTACACTGCTGTCAGTCTCATCTGTGTAGTGTCTTGTGTTGTGTTTAGCTTATTCCCATAGCCTTACAGTAGAAATCCCTCCCTCACCAAAGAGGCGAGGAGGAGGGATGCAAACGCACAGCAATGGGAAGTAGAGGAGAAATCACAGAAAAGAGAGATTCACAAAGGAGGAGCCTTAAAGACTATATAGAAAATGCCCAAATTTCTTGCCGAACCTAAACTACACATGTGCACAGCAGACTCCAAGCAGCCCATATAAGCCTTAAATAACTGAACTGAGAAGTTTGAGTTCATCCAAGTGTCCAGGTTAGAATCTAAAATTACTAGGCATACGAAAAAATAAGAAAATGTGACTCAAAGTCGATCAGTTATCCCAGGATGAACCAGATGTTGGAATTAGAGACAAAAATTTTAGAGCAGCTGTCAAAACTATGCCCAAGGATTTAGAGGAAAATATACTCATAATGAATGAAAAGATAGGAAATCACAGAAGAGAAAAACCATAAAAAAGAACCAAAGGTTAATGCTAACATTGAAAATATAATATTTAAAATGAAATTTTTGCTGGATAGCCTTAAGATCAGAATAGAGGCCAGGTGTGGTGGCTCACATCTGTAATCCCAGCACTTTGGGAGGTGGAGGCAGGTCGATCACCTGAGGTTGGGAGTTTGAGACAAGCCTTACCAACATGGAGAAACCCGGTCTCTACTAAAAATACAAAATTAGCTGGATGTGGTGGCGCATACCTATAATCCCAGCCACTCAGGAGGCTGAGGCAGGAGAATCGCTTGAGCCCAGGAGGTGGAGGTTGCAGTGAGCAGAGATCACTCCATTGCACTCAAGCCTGGGCAACAAGAGGAAACTCTGTCTCAAAAGAAAAAAAAGATCAGAATAGAAATAACGTAAGAAAGTATCTGTGAATTTGAAGGTAAAGCAATAGAAATTAATTCAATCTGAAGATCAGAGAGAAAAATAAAATAAGGAATGGTGCCTAAGAGACAGGACAATACAAAAAGATCTAACGTGTATAGGGTTCCAGAAAGGAAAGAGAAAATGGATGCCCATTATTTGCTGCTGCCATGGCACGGGGGTACCCCTGTCCCCAAATTGCGCCCAAAAGGCAACATAGAGGAGACTGAGGAGGGGGTGGAATAGGAGCCACAAGGAGCTAAATGAGACCCATCATGACAATGGCGCCAAATGGAGATGCTCCCAAAGAACTCTGGTCTGTAGCTGGATCCATTTCTGATCTCTCCCTCTTCATGGCTCAAAAGATATACGGGTTTTCCAGAACAGCCTTGTGGATTGCAACCACTTTCTTTATACTCCTGGCTGTTCTGTTGTCTTGGAGACTAAGTCACAAGTGGAACAACAGCAGCAACTAGAAGCAGCAGTGGATACTTTCTAGGGCCTACCACGGGGCCTACCACAGGCTCTCCCTTCACTCCTGGAGAGATCTAGATTGTTACTGCCATATATGAGCCATCCTGGTGGGAGAAGTTTGAAATTCAAGTCTCTAGACTGCTGATTATTTGGACTTTTTTTCTTTTTTTGAGACGGAGTCTCGCTCTGTCGCCCAGGCTGGAGTGCAGTGGCGCAATCTCGGCTCACTGCAAGCTCCGCCTCCCAGGTTCACGCCATTCTCCTGCCTCAGCCTCCCGAGTAGCTGAAACTACAGGCGCCCGCCACCACGCCCGGCTAATTTTTTTGTATTTTTAGTAGAGATGGGGTTTCACCGTGTTAGCCAGGATGGTCTCGATCTCCTGACCTCGTGATCCGCCCGCCTCGGCCTCCCAAAGTGCTGGGATTACAAGCATGAGCCACCATGCCCGGCCGGATTTTTTTTCTTTACTTTGGCACATTGATCTATCTAAAGCAGGTCAGAAGAATCCTCCTCACAGCGTTTCACAGAGAGACTCCCAACTTTCAACTGTGCCCTCCATGCTTTTCTGCCCCATTTTTTCTCTCCTCACTCAGATACCACAGTACATCAGTGCAGAGGGCTACTCCATCTCTAGCCACCCTACCCCTTTGACTAGATTTTTCCTAACTGGTTGATCTCCTCGCTATCCCATCGTAGGGCAGGAACTGATGCTAGTGGAGGGATGTATCCTTGACCATCAATCAGAATGAGGAAGGATGTGCACATGGCATGAAGCAGACAAAATGCATTACAGCTGTAGTGTAAAGTGGATGCTGTGGATTTCTATGCATGTTGTAAAGGAGGAAGGCCAGCAGCAAATTCAGCCACAGAATGGGAACCTTGGAGGACAGAGTAGGAGATCATTTCCTCTGTGCATTTTGGCTGTTAGACTTGTACGTATGTTTTATTTGTTTTTTGAGACAGAGTCTCGCTCCCTCGCCCAGGCTGGAGTACAGTGGCGCAATCTCGGCTCACTGCAACCTCCACCTCCCAGGTTCAAGCAGTTCTCCTGCCTCAGACTCCCAAGTAACTGGGATTACAGGCACCCACCACCATGCTCAGCTAATTTTTTGTATTTTTAGTAGAGATGGGGTTTTGCCATGTTGGCCAGGCTGGCCTCAAACTCCTGGCCTCAGGTGATTCACCCACCTCTGCCTCCCAAAGTGCTCGGATTACAGGTGTGAGCCACCATGCCCGGCCTGTGTGTATGTTTTTAAAAAGCCAGTGCTCACTTTTTGTATTTAAATTTCAAAAATGAGGCTGGGTACAGTGGCGTGCACCTGTAGTCCCAGCTACTCAGGAGGCTGAGGTGGGAGGATCACTTGAGCCCAGGAGTTTGAGACCAGCCTGGACAACATAGCAAGACTTCCATCTCAGAAACAAAAACAAAAAACAAACAAAAACAAAACAGAGCCAAACCATTGAAAAGGAAAAAATAAAAAGAATATCTTTAGAGTAACCAAAGGAAAATGACATTTTATGAGGGGAACAAAGATTTGAAATGCCATTGACTACTCATCAGAATCAAGTGAAATGACATATTTAAAGTTCTGAAAAAAAAAATCAACCCTTTATCTGGAAATAATCATACAGATGAAATGAAAATATCATGCAATAATGAGGGCAAATTAAATACATTTTTACTTAAAACGTAGAATCTGTCACTAGCAGACCTGTGCTACAAGAAATGCTAAATGAAGTTCTTTAGACAGAAGGGAAATAATACCAGATGGAAACCTGAATGTTCAGGAAGGAAGGAAGAGGCTCAGAAAGGTAAATATGTGGGTAAGTATAAAAGACTCCTTTTCCTCATAATTTCTTTAAAATACGGGACTGTTCAAAGCAAAAATTATAACAAACCCTGTAATGAAATTTATAACATGGAAATGTGATGCATTTGACAGCTATAGCTTAAAGTACAGGTAGAGTGCAAGGGGCTTGTATTTTTATGTCATGTGGCACAATATTAACTTTAAAAACACTATGAAAAGTTAAGGTTGGTTATTGTCATCCCTTGGGCAACCACAAAAAAGCAACTCAAAGAGGTTTTCCTAAATTCGTCCATAGCAATAATTACATTACATTTGAATAAACTAAAAACTCCAATTAAAATGCAAGGATTGTCAGAATGCATTAAAAAGTAAGGCAATTATATGCTGTCTATCGATGATATTTAAATATAAAAACAGATAGGTTGAGAGTAAATGGATGGAAAACGATAGGCACAAAATATAAGCATAAGAAGGTTGGAGTGGCTATTTATCACATAATGTAGATTTCCAGACAAAGAGAATTATCAGGGAAAAAAGGGACTTATTTTTTTTGAGATAGAGTCTCGCTCTGTCGCCAAGGCTGGAGTGCAGTGGTGTGATCTCAGCTCGCTGCAGCCTCTGCCTCCCGGGTTCTAGCAATTCTCCTGCCTCAGCCACCTGAGTAGCTGGGATTACAGGCATCTGCCACCATATCCGGCTGATTTTTGTGTTTTTAGTAGAGACAGGGTTTCGCCATGATGGCCAGGCTGGTTGTGAATTCCTGACCTCAGGTGATCTGCCCACCTCCGTCTCCCAAAGTGCTGGGATTACAGGCATGAGCCACCGTGCCCAGTCTGGACATTTCATAATAAAACAGTCACTACATTAGAAAGATAATTGTAAGTGGGTATGTACTTAACAGCACTTCAAAATACTTGAAGCAAAATTTGACAGAATTAAACATCTCTTCTTCAGGAAGTGATAGAACATGTTTAAAAAATCAGTAAGGACATAAGAGCTGAACAAAACCATCAGTCACCTTGACCTAACTCACCTAACTGCACTCAACACCTGCAGAAGAATGAACTATAATTTTTTTTTTTTGAGATGAGTCTTGCTCTGTTGTCCAGGCTGGAGTGCAGTGGCATGATCTCAGCTCACTGCAAGCTTCGCCTCCTGGATTCATGCATTCTCCTGCCTCAGCCTCCCAAGTAGCTGGTACTGCAGGTGCCTGCCACCACACCTGGCTAATTTTGTTTATTTATTTATTTATTTATTTATTTTGTATTTTTAGTAGAGACGGGGTTTCACCGTGTTAGCCAGGATGGTCTCGATCTCCTGACCTCGTGATCCGCCTGCCTCAGCCTCTCAAAGTGCTGGGATTACAGGCGTGAGCCACCGCGCCCAGCCAAAAATGTTTATGGTGAATTTGAAATAGGATGTCCTTTTTTGATAATTGAATCATTTTTATGTGCAAAGTTAGATTTCCATTTTTTTTTTTTTTGCTGGTTAAAATAATGTAACATACATTAAAAATTTTACATATTCGAGTTTCTTTGTAATGTGATAAATAACACTTGTCCTGAAACGATGAACATTTCTCTCTGAGGGAAGTACTGAGTTTATTCTAAAGAGCAAATAAAGGCTGGCTTATAGCCAACTGTCATTCCTTAGTATCTTTAAATTCCCCAGAATCTTCTAATATACACATTCCACCTCCTACGTTGTTTGAAAGTAACTGACCAAGACACATTTTTTTCTTAAATAGCACGTTTCCCTTTAAAGTTTTGTGTGAATTGAGTTTTATAAATCCATTTAAGAAAATGATTAGGAGAGCTAAAGAAGAGTTTTAATAAATCTTTAGGTTTTTGTTTATAACACTACATTTCACTGAGTATTTTTGATTTGTTCTTTACACTGACACTGAGGTAGGCGGCTTTTCACAGATGAAGAAATAGGCTTACAGAGGCCAGATTCTAACATGGAGGTCAGATAGCTACTGAATAGTGGAGCCAGGTCTTCTGGTTTCCAATAAAAGTCCTTCCATTATCCTGTACAAATTAAAAAAATCTTTTTTTTTTTTTTTTTTTTCTTTTTTTTTTTTTTTTTTTTTGAGGCAGGTTCTCACTCTGTCGCCCAGGCTGGAGTGCAGTGGTCTGATCACAGCTCACTGCAGCCTCGACCTCCCAGGCTCAAACCATCTTCCTGCCTCAGCCTCCTGGGTAGCTGGGACCACAGATGTGTGCCACCACACTAGATTAACCTCTATTTTTGATACAGATGATGTCCCCCTATGTTGCCCAGGCTGGTCTCAAACTCCTGGGTTCAAGTGATCTTCCTGCCTCGGCCTCCCAGATTGCTGGGATTACAGGCATGAACCACTGTCCGTGGCCTAAAAGGATCTTTTATTTTTATATTTTTATTTTTAATTTTTTTGAGATGGAGTTTCACTCTTGTCATCCAGGCTGGAGTGCAATGGCATGATCACGGCTCACTGCAACCTCTGCCTCCCAGGTTCAAGTGATTCTCCTGCCTCATCCTTCCAAGTAGCTGGAATTACAGGCACCCATCACCAAGCCCAGCTAACTTTTGTATTTTTAGTAGGGATGGGGTTTCACCACATTGGCCAGGCTGGTTTTGAACTCCTGACCTCAGGTGATCCACCCGTCTCGACTTCCCAAAATGCTAGAATTACAGACATGAGCCACCCCGCCCGGCCAATTTTTTTTTTTTTTTTTTAAATAAAGATGAAGTCTCACTGTGTTGCCCAAGCTGGTCTCAAACTCCTGGGCTCAAGCGATGCTTCTGCTCTGGCCTCCCACAGTGCTGGGATTACAGGTGTGAGCCACCATGCCCAGCCAAAACCAATTGTTAAACAAGAAAAATATTTTTAAAACATCAGAGTGGAAAAGATTCTTAAACAAGATCCTCAATTCATAAATGAATAAGAGTACACCAAAATTAAATAGTTTTGTTCAAAGAAAGATAGAATAGACCATGTTAACACATGGGTAACAGACTGGAAAGAAATACAACATATAAAAGCAATAAAGGGATAAATAGCTACAAAGAACTTCTGCAGGCCGAGCACAGTGGCTCACGCCTGTAATCCCAACACTTTGAGAGGCCGAGGCAGGTGGATCACCTGAGGTCAGGAGTTTGAGAGCAGCCTGGCCAACATGGTGAAACCCCATTCTACTAAAAATACAAAAATTAGCCCTGCATGGTGGCGGGCACCTGTAATCCCAGCTACTCAGGAGGCTGATGCATGAGAATCGCTTGAACCAGGGAGGCGGAGGTTGCAGTGAACCGAGATCGCGCCGCTGCACTCCAGCCTGGGCAACAGAGTGAGACTGTCTCAAAAAAAAAACTTCTGATAATCAGCAAGATAAAACAGGAAACCCTAAAGGAAAATAGTCAAAGGCTATGAGTAGGAATTTTCTTAAAGAGATTCTCAATCTCACCAGAAGATCACTTGAGGTCAGGAGTTTGAGACCAGCCTGGAACATGGTGAAACGCTGTCTACTAAAAATACAAAAATTAGCTGGGTGGGGTGGTGGGTGTCTGTAATCCTAGCTACTCCCGACGCTGATTCATGAGAATGCTTGAGCCTGGGAGGCAGAGGTTGCAGTGAGTCAAGATGGCACCATCACACTCCAGCCTGGGTGACAGAGCAAGACTCCCTCTCAAAACAAATGTAAATAAATACATATATATACTGTTTTTATCTTTCACACTTCTAACCTAATTAAGGTTTATTTTTTATAAGTTGTATATAGTAGAGACATAATTTATTTTCTCTTCCATGAAGCAAGCCATTTTTCCATTTTCACTAAATGACCATTTCCCCTAGGATTTGTCATGCCACCCCCAGGTGATTCAGCTATCGTGCATACTCCATTCTTTTTTTTTTTTTTTTCCAAACAGAGTCTTGCTCTGTCACCCAAGCTGGAGTGCAGTGGCATGATCTCGGCTCACTGCAATCTCCGCCTCCCAGGTTTAAGCAATTTTCATGCCTCAGCTTCCCAAGCAGCTGGGACTACGGGCACGTGCCACCACGCCCGGCTAATTTTTGTATTTTTAGGAGAGACAGGGTTTCACCATGTTGGCAAGGCTGGTCTCGAACTCCTGACCTCAAGTGATCCTCCTGCCTTGGCCTCCCAAAGTGCTGGGATTATAGGTGTGAGCCACTGCTCCTAGCCCACATTCCGTTCTGTACCATTCCTGGCTCTGTGCCTTGACTCTCTCCATTCCCTTGCTCTTTCTCTATGCCCACTACCCAAAATACAGAAATTTAAAATTTTGTTGGCTGGATACTGTGTCTTTATATTGATAGGCAATTCTTTTCTCTTTTCTTTTTCAATTATTTATATAATTCTTATACATATAATAATATAGATAATTCTTTTTCGATTATATTAGCTAGTGTGTAGAGGTTTATTTATTCATTTATTTGTCAAATTGTTGCAAAAAAATCTTGATAGGATCTTTATTAGTATTGCACCACATTTATAGATTAACTTTGGAGGACTGAACAATTCTACAATGACAAATTGTCCCAACCAAGAGCATGATATTAATATCCATTTATGCAGAAGTTATCTTCTCCTTATTTATATATTTTTCTCTTTAATTTATTTGAATTTTTTTGAAGTAGTACGTGCGCATAGTACATGCAAACAGTAAAAAGGGATATCAATAAAATAAATATAGTTCTGCCCCTGACCTCAGCCCCCGCAGCTTCTCTTCCCAGAGGAAGAGCCAGTTTCTTCCCAAAAGAAGCCAGAGATTTGCTGCGCATATGCAGGCGTTTATGGATGTTATAGGATGTTAGTTGGGACCCTTCCTGTCAAAATTTCAGTAGAGGCAATGAGTCTGTGTATGTTATTTCCAAATAAACCATCATGCAAAAACCTTAGCATAGGTGCATGCGTCTTTTTTTTATTTTTTATTTTGAAACAGAGTCTTGCTGTGTCACCCAGGCTGGAGTGCAGTGGTGCGATCTCGGCTCACTGCAACCTCCACCTCCTGGGTTCAAGTGATTCTCCTGCCTCAGCCTCCCACGTAGTTGGGCTTACAGGCCTGTGCCACCTTGCCCAGCTAGTTTTTGTATTTTTTTAAAAGAAGTCATAAACAGCATTTATTACCTTGGTATATCATACTGGTCTTCTTGCTGTTCCTTCACATTTAAGTGGCTTTCCATCTTTCCTGCCTCCTCCCACAGCCTGGTTACACAGTGCATGCCTGAACTGTTAGCCCTCAGCAGCAATATGCTTATTCCATCCACATCCCTAACCTCATGCATTCACAAGGTGAAAGTTCTGGTCCACAAACCCTTCCCTACAGGAAGTTCAATGGTTGCGAAAGAATCTGTAGTAAACCAGGCCTCCCAGGACGGCGAGCTCCAGTAAGATGATGATGGAAAACAGCAGCTTGTTGGTTGTCACTTTTCTGGACATTGAACGGAGAATCTTTCGACTTTTGCTCAAGTTTTCAGTTGTGTTTATCAGTCTACTCTTGGTGCGTTCTAAATGGTCTCGTTGTTCCCCCAGCTCTTCTATGGTTTCTGAGCCAATCTGGTCAGTCTCCGTGGCAATCTGATGAGAACGTTCAATACTTTGGGTGGCCCGGTTCAGGTTTTCAGGACCTTGCAGAAGCATTGCCCTTTGAGACTGTAGCCGATTCATATGCTCATTCTCTACAGCATATATGTCATATTTCATGTCTCCTCGCCCTCCTGGTGTGGCTGTCAAAGGCGTGCTTCTCACCTCCCGATGGAGTTTGGCAAGGTCCTTCCGGTAGTTTCGAAGCTTAGACGTCATGGTGTTATGGAAAGACAGGGGTGCATAACGTAGCTCCTCCTCCATCCCTGCCAGCATTTCATTTGCTTCCTGTTGCTTTTCATCAAAATCCCTGATCGACTTATTCTCTTCGGTCCCCGCCGTCCCCAGCAGCTGCTCGGGCACCCCTTGTAGGTCTTCGTGGAGGCCGCGGAAGATTTCGTGCAGCTTCTTGAAACGCTCGGAGGAGGCGGCGGAGGTGGCCATGGCGCAGGCCGCGCTCCAGCAGCGGCCACCAAGATTCGGGGCGCTGGGCCCTCTCCTAGCCCAGCGGTCAGCCGCCCAGCCCCGTGGCTATCACAGCGACCGCCGCGCCACCGCTGCCCAGGACGAGGCTCTTCTGGGGCGCTATTTTTTTGTATTTTTAGTAGAGACGGGGTTTCACCATGTTGGTCAGGCTGGTCTCGAACTCCTGACCTCAAGTTATCTGCGTACTCCGGCCTCCTAAAATGCTAGGATTACAGGCATTGAGAGGTGACAGCGTGCTGGCAAGTCCTCACAATCCTCGCTTGCTCTCGGCGCCTCCTCTGCCTGGGCTCCCACTTTGGCGGCACTTGAGGAGCCCTTCAGCCCACCACTGCACTGTGGGAGCCCCTTTCTGGGCTGGCCAAGGCCGGAGCCCGCTCCCTCAGCTTGCAGGGAGGTGTGGAGGGAGAGGCCCGAGCGGGAACCGGGGCTGCGCGCCGCGCTTGCGGGCCAGCTGGAGTTCCGGGTGGGCGTGGGCTTGGCCCTGCCGGCCCCGGGCAATGAGGGGCTTAGCACCCGGGCCAGCGGCTGCGGAGGGTGTACTGGGTCCCCCAGCAGTGCCAGCCCACCGGCGCTGCGCTCGATTTCTCACCGAGTCTTAGCTGCCTTCCTGCGGGGCAGGGCTCGGGACCTGCAGCCCGCCATGCCTGAGCCTCCCACCCCCTCCATGGGCTCCTGTGCAGCCCGAGCCTCCCTGACGAGCTCCACCCCCTGCTCCAGGGCACCCAGTCCCATCGACCACCCAAGGGCTGAGGAGTGCTGCAGGCGCACGGACCCGGGACTGACAGGCAGCTCCACCTGCAGCCCCGGTGGGGGATCCACTGGGTGAAGCCAGCTGGGCTCCTGAGTCTGGTGGGGACTGGAGAATCTTTATGTCTAGCTCAGGGATTGTAAATACACCAATCGGCACTCTGTATCTAGCTCAAGGTTTGTAAACACACCAATCGGCACCCTGTGTCTAGCTCAGGGTTTGTGAGTGCACCAAACGACACTCTGTATCTAGCTACTCTGGTGGGGCCTTGGAGAACCTTTGTGTAGACACTCTGTATCTAACTAATCTGGTGGGGACGTGGAGAACCTTTGTGTCTAGCGCAGGGATTGTAAATGCACCAATCAGTGCCCTGACAAAACAGACCACTCGGCTCTACCAATCAGCAGGACGTGGGTGGGGCCAGATAAGAGAATAAAAGCAGGCTGCCCGAACCAGCATTGGCAACCCGCTGGGGTCCGCTTCCACACTGTGTAGGCTTTGTTCTTTCGCTCTTTGCAATAACTCTTGCTACTGTGCACTCTTTGGGTCTATACTGCTTTTATGAGCTGTAACACTCACCGCGAAGGTCTGCAGCTTCACTCCTGAAGCCAGTGAGACCACGAGCCCACCGGGAGGAACTAACAACTCCAGACGCGCTGCCTTAAGAGCTGTAACACTCACTGCGAAGGTCTGCAGCTTCACTCCTGAGCCAGTGAGACCACGAACCCACCAGAAGAAAGAAACTCCGAACACATCTGAACGTCAGAAGGAACAAACTCCAGACGTGCCACCTTAAGAACTGTAACACTCACCGAGAGGATCTGCGGCTTCATTTTTGAAGGCAGTGAGACCAAGAACCCACCAATTCCGGACCCAGCATGAACCACAGAGCCTGGCCAATAGATGCGTCTTGAGCCCCTAGTCTCCATTAAGTATTTTAAAAGGTAAATAGATAGGGAAGATGACTATAGAGATGGCTGTGCGGTGGAGTCCTCCAGCGAAAGAGGGGGCAGAAAACCTCAGGTTGGGAGGGGAGGACTTAGTGGGACCTTTCAGAAAATCTAATATGTTCACCTGTAATTAAAAAGACAGTGCATTAACCGAATCTCACCTAGAAATCAAGAAAGACAAAGAAGAGATGACTAGCTCCTGAAAAGGCAGGCACGAAGAAGGGGTCGTCGATATTTTGGGATCAGCCTACATTCCTGAGTTTGTTAGGCCCAATGTTGCTTGAGTATTTCCTGCAGATCACATGAAGGCCCCAGAGTCGGGAGCCATTTAAAATCCTGACCAAGAGGCACAATGGGACTCCATGAGAAAAATGTCCATGTGGAGTGGGCCATGGAAAATCCTATTAGTGGTGGAAATGTCAGCAAGAGGAAAATACATTGTCTCAGTCATGGGAAATACACCCATAGATTCCTAGTAGAGGCCTTTGAAGGACAAAAGCATTTACTATAGAAACACTTTTAAACTCCTGCCAGGCCCAAGGAATGAGAAGTCATTTTAGTTTTCAGATTTAAATCCCTAATGATCAACCATATGAACACAGTCCTGTTTAAGAATCATTCTCTAATAGTCATATCAAAGTCTTTTTATGGTAATGTGGAGTATTAGTAACAATAGGGCCAGACGCGGTGGCTCTTGCCTGTAATCTACCACTTTAGGAGGCTGACTCAGGCAGACTGCTTGAGCCCAGGAGTTCGAGACCAGTCTGGGCAACATGGCGAAACTCTGTTTCCACAAAAAATACAATAAAATTAGCCAGGAATGGTAGCTTGCAGCTGTAGTCCCACCTACTCAGGAGGTTGAGGTGGGAAGATCACTTGAGCCCAGGAGGTTAAGGCTACAGTGAGCCATGAGCGTGCCACTGCACTCTAGTCTGGGTGACAGAGTGAGACTCTGTCCCAAAAAACAAACAATAGTCCTCAAAGTCCAAGCCATGGTTTTCTCTACCATGCTGTAAGGTATAGAATTTTTATATTTTTATTTGTTACAGGGTCTGTCTCTGATGCCCAGGCTGGAATGCAGTGGGGCAATCATAGCTCACTGCAGCCCCCAACTCCTGGGCTCAAGCAATCTTTTGCCTTAGCCTTCCAAGTAGCTAGGACTAGAGGCACAGGCCACCACACGTGCAGAATTTTTAAATTTTATGTTGAGATGGGGGCTTCACTATGTTGCCCAGGCGAGTCTCAAACTCCTGGCCTCAATCCATCCTCCCTCTTCAGCTTCCCAAAGTGCTGGGATTACAGGTGTGAGCCACCACACCTGTCAAGTACAAAATGTCGAGGCTGTAGTTGAGAACTTTTTTTGCTCAATACAATAGATCTAAACCTACTATTGAAAGTATGGCTGGGTGCGGTGGCTCACGCCTGTAATCCCAGTACTTTGGGAGGCCAAGGAAGGTGGATCCCTTGAGCCTAGGAGTTCAAGACCAGCCTGGCCAACATGGCGAAACCCCATCTCTACTAAAAATACAAGAATTAGCCAGCCATGGCGGCACATGCCTGTATTCCCAGCTACTTGGGAGGCTGAGGTATGAGAATCATTTGAACCCAGGAGACGGAGGTTGCAGTGAGCCAAGATCATGCCACTGCACTCCAGCTTGGGCAACAGAGCGACTGTCTCAAAAAAAAAAAAAAAAAAGATGTTGACTCTCTTTTGCGATCCCTCTGCAGTCTTCTTCCATGTGGAGCCATGGAGGCCTTCCACCCTATAGGAAACACAAATTTCAGGCCCTTTAATTTGCATAAAGAAATTTCCGGCCGGGTGCGGTAGCTCACACCTGTAATCCCAGCACTTTGGGAGGCCGAGGCGAGTGGATTACCTGAGGTCAGGAGTTCGAGACCATCCTGGCCAACATGGTGAAACGCTGTCTGTACTAAAAATACAAAAATTAGCGGGGCGTGGTGGTGTATGCCTGTAATCCTGGCTACTGGGGAGGCTGCGGCAGGAGAATCGCTTGAACCCAGGAGGTGGAGGTTGCAGTGAGCCAAGATCGTGCCATTGCTCTCCAGCCCGGGAGACAAGAGCGAAACTCTGTCTCAAAAAAAAAGAAAGAAATTTTCATCTTGCCACCTACAAATCTGAAACCTGAAGTGATTGGATCTTTTTTTAATCAATACAGATAATTTCCATGCATTTATTTTTTGAAAAACTTTTGTATTATGGTGATCATTTTTTTGTTGTGGGTTTTTTTTGGGGGTAGAGAGATTATAAAAATGACATTGTTAAGGGTAGAAATTTTCAAAATAGGAACTAAAATGAATATTGAAATTCCACAGTCATAATTCACCATACAAAAATTAAGTACTTATAGTACTGTTTTGTATTTCTTTCTAGTCTTTGTTCATCAGTATCCTTTTCAGAAAACATAATTGAGTTGATAATGTATATACTAAGTTGTATTATTTATAATGGCTAAATAATATCTCATGACCACCTATGTGCTTGTTTTTATGTATTTAGGATTATTTCCTTAACAGAGGCCCCTTAAAGCAGAATTATTGGGTAGAAGCTCTTGCTACATATTAAGAATCGGGCAGATTCTGCTCCTTCCCTTCCCACTTGCTGCCCTGTGAATCATTTGGCAGTATCCACAATGGTAATTGTGTCCTTCTGTGCTTTTATTTTATACTCATTGGGATCTTGTATTTTTCTCAAATTCCTCTTTCAGCTGCAAAATCTTGTGCAAAGCCTGCCAGCTAGCACAATGGGACCCCTGCATATAGCTATGACAGCCCCACCTAAAAGAAAAGAGAAAAACGCAGGACTTACATTTTATCCATCCAGCTCTCTAAATGCATCTCTTTCTAGCAATCTTAGCCACAGAGTTACATATCAGAATTCAGGGACTAAATGTTACCAGTCTTCTACTTTGTGCTAAGTATTTTACATGTTTCATTTTATTGAACCTTCAATAGCTGTTAGATTAAATAGGTCTCATCTTTGTTTTATAGATGCAGAAATTGAGGCACAGATTTAAATAACTTGCACTAACTAATAGGTTCGAGATTTCAATCCAGGTTTGTCTAACTTCAAAGTTCTTTCTCCTACGCCAGTATCCCTTCATAGTTAAAAGAAAACTGTGGTTGGGGGCAATAGCTCACGCCTGTAATCCCAGCATTTTGAGAGGCTGAGGCAGGAGGATTGTTTGAGCTCAGGAGTTTGAGACTAGCCTGAGCAACATAGTGGGACCCCCATCTCTACAAAAAATTTAAAAAAAAAAATTAGCCGGGCATGGTGACATGTATGTGTAGTCCCAGCTACTCGGGAGGCTGAGGCAGAAGGATTGCTTAAGCCAGGGAGATTGAAGCTGCAGTGAGCTCTGATTGCACTGCACTGCAGCCTGGGTGACACAGCAAGATCTTGGGAAAGAAAAGGAAAGAAAAAAGAGAAGAGAAGAGAAAAGTAGAGGAGAGGAGACGAGAGGGAAAAGAAAGGAGGGAAGGAAGGAAGGAAAGGAAGGAAGGAAGGAAAGAAGGAAAAGAGGGAGAGAAGGAAGGAGGGAGGGAGGAAGGGAGGGAACGGAACGGAAGGGAGGGAGGGAGGGAAGGCTGTGAGCAAATGCCCAGTGGATTAAGTTCCCAAATAATATTGTAGGGGAGGAAAAACTTTCCTGTGTTCTCTTAAGCTCAGTGACTGGAGCCTGTGAATTAAACTGGCAAAAGACAAAGGCATACAAACGTATTTGATGTTAATATTTTAATTGTTTTTTATGTGCTCAAAAGCGTTCATACGAAGTAAAGACCCAAAGAAGTGGTTAAACTCGGGGCACTTAAATACCATCTTAAAAAGGGCAACAAAACGTAGAGAAGTGATAAGACCAAGGAGAGGGCAGTGGAGCTTCTAGGGTGGCAAATTCTGGGAAGGTAAAATATGGGGGAAACTCATGGGAAGATAAGGTTAATTCCCGCAGCCGCATCCCGGTACACCTCCATCTCCAGAGATAAAGGCTGTTTTTCCCTTCCTGGTACAAGAGTGGGGGATACTTTCACAAAGGGAAACTTGTGCCCTGCTTTTAGGTAGAAAAGGGGAGGACAGAGAGTGTTTCCTGCACCTGCTATTTCACAGTTGCTTTCAGTTTAAAATAATGCTTTAGCAAAGTGGCATATTTTGGGGTGCCAATTCTGAGCTTCTTATATTTATGGCTTTTTTTTTTTTTTTTTTTTTGAGACAGAGTCTCTCTCTCTCGTCACCCAGGCTGGAGTGCAATGCCACGATCTCGGCTCACTGCAACCTCCGCCTCCTGGGTTCAAGCAATTCTCCTGCCTCAGCCTCCTGAGTAGCTGGGACTATAGGTGCTTGTCACCATGCCTGGCTAACTTTTGTATTTTTACATTTTGTATTTTTAGTAGAGACGGGGTTTCGCCATGTTGGCCAGGCAGGTCTGGAACTCCTGACCTTAGGTGATCCACCTGCCTCGGCCTCTGGAAGTGTTGGGACTGCAGGCGTGAGCCACCACGTCCGGCCTATGGTTGTTCTTTAATGTGCTTCGATAAATAACTCAGATCCAGTTTCCTCTTATTCTTTGCTTTCTTCTATTACATTTTCCTCATGTTCAGGCCACTTATTCCTGAGGTTTTCCCTTTAGCTTTAGCTCTATTGCTGTGAAATTGGAACTTTAGTTGGTAGCATAAAATTATTTTCTAAGAAGATTGCTGTTGATTGCTATTAGTTGCTGTTAATTAATAAAAAGCATTGCTGATTTAGGTTCTGGGTTTTTTTGTTTGTTTGTTTGCTTTTGTTTTTGTTTTTGCTTTTGTTTTGAGATGAAGTCTTGCTCTGTCAGCCAGGCTGGAGTGCAGTGGCATAATCTCAGCTCACTGCAACCTCTGCCTCCCAGGTTCAAGGGATTCTCCTGCCTCAGTCTCCTGAGCAGCTGGGATTACAGGTGCGGGCCACCACACCTGGCTAATTTTTTGTATTTTTAGTAGAGACAGGGTTTCACTGTGTTAGCCAGGTGGTCTCCATCTCCTGACCTCATGATCCGCCTGCCTTGGCCTCCCAAAGTGCTGGGATTACAGGTGAGAGCCACCGCACCTGGCCTGTTTTTAAATTAAGAAGATTCAGGCAAATTGTTTTTGTGTTCCAACAGTAAACAAGCTGATGCAAAAGAAATGACTATTACCAAAATGGATAATCTTTTCTTACATTTTTCCTCATCCTCAGTAGTATTAAATATTCACTATATTATAAATTGCTCAGGCCAATGCCATCTAATTTTAATGTTACCGTTCGTTGCTCCTGGAAACCGACAAAGAAATCAAATCAGAATTTACAAAGACCATGAAAACGAATCATACTCACAAGTGAGACAATATATGATCATGAAAGCTGTGGGAAGAGTGTGCATCATTCAAAGCAGAGAATGGAAAGAAAGGCTGTGCTGGGTTATGGTATATTTATCTGGTTGGTACATGAAAATCTTCACTGAAGAGAATACTAAAAGGCCAAATTTTAAATGGCCAAAGCCAGGGAGCAAATTACTGCCAAACTTAGCAAAAGGGTTTTCAGCCAGTGTTGCCCTTAATGGGGTCTCAGACCACCTCCATCAGAATCACCGTCGGCACTTACTAGAAGTGCATGTTTCTGGACCTCAGCCTAGACCTAACCTGAAATCTCCAAAAATGAGGCCCCGGAACCTACGTTTTAAACAAGTTCTTTCCGGGCCTGGCATGGTGGCTCATGCCTGTAATCCCAGCACTTTGGGAGGCTGAGGCAGGAAGATTGCTTAAGCCCGGGAGTTCGAGACCAGCCCAGGCAACATGGTGAAACCCCATCTCTACAAAAAAAATCCAAAGATTAGCCATGTGTGGTGTGCACCTGTAGTGCTAGCTACTCAGGAGGCTGAGGTGGGAGATTCGTTTGAGCCCAGAAAGCGGCTGCACTCCAGCCTGGGTGACAGAAGGAGACTCTGTCTCAAAAACAAACAAGCAAACTGAGTTCCCTGTGACTCTGTCTCAAAAACAAACAAGCAAACTGAGTTCCCTGTGATTCTTTCACCAAGTGGAGAGCCATGGACGTAGTCTCTGAGCCCCCACCAGTTACTGAAAGAAGTATAGTCACCTTGTAGTCCAACAATTTTTATCTTTCTTAGTGACTAATTGTTGACAAATATTTTCCTTCAAAATTTGCATTCTTGAAATAATCAGGCATGTAAAAATCCTTCTAAAATATTCAATTTGAAATTTGTATTAATGAAATGCTTTCTACCATATTATATGACAGATTTGCAGATAGGAATCTGATACCAAATTCAGCTGAAAAAATCTTCTTCATAAAATGCTAAGACATTCAAACCATTTACTAATCTGTCAGGAAGGCATTTGAAATACAGACAACATGACGTGATTTGCTTCACAGTGAGCTGATAGTTGTTAAGCTGGGTGATGATTATATGAGGATTTGATGTATTATATTATATATGTATATTTGATATACTCCATAATTTCAAAGTTAAAAAAAAAAGCTGCCCACCCAAATGCTTTTAAAGACTCTCTCATTAAGATATGTAATGTACCTGGTATTTGTTATTACTCCCTTTGTTTTGCTAGTGAGTAGGTATTTTGCATTTGTAGTAGAGACAGAGTTTCACCATGTTAGCCAGGCTGGTCTCGAACTCCTGACCTCAAATGATCCGCCCACCTCGGCCTCCCAAAGTGCTGGGATTACAGGCGTGAAAATTAAGAAATTAAGCATATACTAACTGAACGTTTATTGTAATTGTAAAACTCAGTTAAGCCAAATGGCATTTAAAAGCCCCAGGGAATGTTGACAATTGATAAGATATTTGTTATTATTATTATTTTGAAACAGGGTCTTACTCCTTCTCCCAGGCCAGAGTGCAGTGGTGTCATCATGGTTCACTGTAGCCTCCATCTCTTGGGCTCAGGCAATCCTCCCTCCTCAGTCTCCTGAGTAGTTGGGACCACAGGTACGTGCCACTGCACCCAGCTAATTTATCTATTTATTTATTTTATGTATTCTTTATTTTCTGTTTATTGTTGGTACACCCTTGTAGAACACCGGCTAATTAAAAAAAGCTTTTTTTTTTTTTTTTTTTTTTTTTTTTTTGTAGAGATAGGGTCCCACTAGGTTGCCTAGGCTGGTCTCAAACTCCTGGGCTCACACAAGCCTCCTAGGTCAGCCTCCCAAAGTGCTAATCCCAAAGTGAGATTACAGGTGTGAGCCACTGCACCTGGCCAAGATTTTTTTTTTTTTTTGAGACAAGAGTCTCGCTCTATTGCCTAGGCTGGAGTGCAGTGGCTTGATCTCAGCTCACTGCAACCTCCACCTTTCGGGTTCAAGCGATTCTCCTGCCTCAGCCTCCCGAGTAGCTGTGATTACAGGCATGTGCCACTATGCCCAGCTAATTTTTGCATTTTTAGTAGAGACAGAGGTTCACCATGTTGGCCACGCTGGTCTCGAACTCCTGATCTCAAATGATCCGCCCTCCTTGGCCTCCCAAAGTGCTGGGATTACAGGCGTGAGCCACCACACCCTGCCCCAAGATTATTCTTATTCTTATCATTATTATTATTTTTTGAGACGGAGTCTTGCACTGTCACCCGGGCTGGAGTGCAGTAGTGTGATCTCAGCTCACTGCAACCTCTGCCTTCCGGGTTCAAGCAATTCTCCTGCCTTAGCCTCCCAAGTAGCTGGGATTATAGGTGTATACTAAGAAAGTCTTACAGTGTCCATCAACAGATGAGTGGATAAACAAAATGTGGTATGTACATAAAAAGGAATATTAATCAGTCTTAAAGAGGAAGGCAGTTTGGGAGGCCGAGGCGGGCGGATCACCTGAGGTCAGGTGTTCAAGACCAACCTGGCCAACATGGTGAAACCCTGTGTCTACTAAAAATACAAAAATTAGGTGGGCATGGTGGCAGGCACCTATAATCCCAGCTACTCGGGAGGCTGAGGCAGGAGAATCGCTTAAACCCGGGAGGCGGAGGTTGCAGTGAGCTGAGATCGTGCCACTGCACTCCAGCCTGGGCGACAGAGCCAGGATCCATCTCAAAAAAAATAAATAAATAAAAGAGGAGAGAAAGTCAGTTACATGCTATAACATGGATAAACCCTGAAGATATTATGCTAAGGAAAATAAGCCAGTCACAAAAGGACACCTATTGTATGATTCCACTTATTTGGGGGACATAAAGTAGCCAAATTCATAGAGTGCAGAATGATGGTCACCAGGGTGGACAGGGAAGGATGCAATTAGAAGTTATTGTTTAATGGGCCAAGAGCCTTAGCTTGGGAAGATAAAAAGTTCCGGAGATGGATGGTGGTGATGGTTGCACAACAATTTGAATGTATGTAACGCTGCTGAATTATATACTTAAAATGGTAACTTTTGTTATGTATATTTTACCACAATTAAAAAAAATATTGAGTGCCTGTTATGTACTAGTCAGTGTTGAAAAAGACAGTCAGGTGCCTGAGCTCATGGAGCTTCCATTCTGGTGAAGGAAATAGACAATAAGTGAGATAATTATGAAGGAAATAAAGGGGTGATTTCACGACATAGTAACTAGAGAAGGGGATATTTACTCTAGATAGTGGTGTTGGAGATGAGATTTAAGGGATAGGAATGAGCCTCTAAAGGCATTGCAGTTAAAGGATGCAGCAAGGATAAAAGTCCCGAGGAAGGGAAAGACTGTCTGAGGAAGAGAAAAGAGGCCAGGAGGTTGAAGAAGCAGACACACGGCCTGGAATCTTTTGTTGTGCAAAGAAGAGAAGATGGTGGGGTAGATCAAGGGGTTGACAAACTTTTTCTGTAAAGGACCAGATGATAAGTAATTTAGGTTTTTCAGGCCAAGAGAAAAAAAAAGAAGGAAAAATGAAATTTCCATAATGACATTGGTAGGAAAAAAGTCTGACATAGTGTCTATAATTTTGAGAGAGGAGTGGCCAGTAGTGACAATTTTTTGTTCCACTTAGGAAATGATCAGAGGCTCACCTGAACTATTATCCATCCAAAAGTGGGATTCAAAGAAGGAAGAGGGCCTAGAAATGAGAAAGAAGCGAAAAATATGTTTGTTGAAAGGTCAACATGGGTGTTTGGAAGAGGTAATGCTAATGAGGTATTCGTAAAATTGGAGGTAGGCAACTTTGCTTTTGATACCCGTTATCACCATTCCATTGCCCCAGTAAATGTAAATTCCTTAAGTGTTTGGCACATACGATACGACGTCCAATAGATACTTGTTGAATAAGGTAACTTTTTCCTTCTTTTTGATTATTCCCTGAGAAATAAGTGTCCTGGTGCTGCCCCCTGGTGGCTAAAGGATCCCTTCATTGGGAGCCCAAACCCTCCTTGGCAATGCCGTGGGCTGGGAACCATGGCTCTGTTTGACTGTATAGTTCCCCTTCCTCACAAAGGATATTAAGGATGTTAAAGGGTATCAGTGGTATAGATAAGAGAAATACGTTTTTCTTTCTTTTAAATTCTATATTTGATTTTTAAAAACTTTATCCAAGTGGGCGTGAAAGTCTTAATAAAAATGCCTACGAATAAAAGGGTTACATGGACATGTGCAAGAGTAGTTCCTCCTATTTAAAACAAACAATTCCCTTTTAGCCAAACTTCCTTTTTACAAAACCGCTATATTTAGCTTTCCTTTCTTGAGATGAATCTTTCCTTTCCATAAAATTTTGAAACAAAATAAGTAACTGGCTTAAGCCAAAATTGGGATTTAATTTTTTATTTTATTTTATTTATCTATTTAGGGACGGAGTTTGGCTCTTGTTTCTCAGGCTGGAGTGCAGTGGCGCGATCTCGGCTCACTGCAACCTCCGCCTGCTGGGTTCAGGCAATTCTCCTGCCTCAGCCTCCCGAGTAGCTGGGATTACAGGCATGCGCCACTATGCCCGGCTAATTTTGTATTTTTAGCACAGACAGGGTTTCACCATGTTAGTCAGGCTAGTCTCCCACCTACAAAATTATTGTTTCTTGATCTTTTTTGTAGGCCTGTTTAGGCGTAAAATATTACTTTTGAAATTAACAATAAAGAGTAAAATTTGCCTCTTTAAGTGGATACCTGTGCTTATTTTTGGTAGCACAAATACTGGATCCTGGGATGAATTTGGACTAAGCACCTGCAGATTTCCTTTTCAATTGAAATGAGAATTTCTGTCTGTGTTCTTCATGCTTGTTATACTGGAAAAAGTTTGCTTACGTAAGTAAGAAATTGAACATTGTAACAAAATTTTCATTTTAGGCATACGAATAGCAGGATACTCTTCTTTCACAGAAATCCAGAACTCGCCTAGGGAGAGATCAGTGAATCTCATCTTGAATGTACTATCAGACTGCAGTTTACAAAGTTCTTTCTCTCCTCTCAAAGTCAAGTTCTCAAGCTGAGTAGGTTTAAAGGAAAAGTCCCTCCGCTGGTCATTGGTGTTGAAATGGAGAGAAAACGCCCTTTCATTTTGTCCTGAAGTTCTTCCAGAAGGTTTTCAATAAGATGTGAGACTTACTGATGTCTTTCCTTGCTCATAGGGCCAAACGACATTGGAAGCATTTTAAGATTTTTTCAGCATGATTTTTTCAAAAATTCAGTTTCCTTTTAAATCCAAGAATCTCATTACTTGGAGTCAACACGTTTTCTCCTGGGGCCTGCAAGATACTTGTTCAACTAGTTTATGTGATAAAGTATTTGCTAAGTAGGCTAGTTTCTGCTGACATTCTTTATCTTCAAAGCACTAAGAAAAATCTGGCTTTCCATTTTCTTGAAAGTCCTCCTGCAAGTCACCTTTCAGCTCGAACTCTTCCTTTGTTAAGCCACCTGGTTTCTCTGTACTGGGAGATTCATGTACCTTTGTCCAGGTTTTCTTAGTTTTTAAAGCGTACTCAAGTGAACTGGGCTTTTTAAAATGTAGTTTCTCATGTTTGAGAATCACTCAGAACTTTGGTCACTTCACCTCCAAGAGTTTTTTACTTCAATACCTTTCTATAAAGAAAGTAGTGTGTTGTGACTTTGTCAGAATTTTCTTTCTTTACAAGAGGTGAAAATTCTTTTTTTTTTTTTTTTTTTTTTTGAGATGGAGTCTTGCTCTGTCACCCAGGCTGGAGTGCAGTGGTGTAATCTCATCTCACTGCACCTTCTGCCTCCCAGGTTCAAGTGATTCTCCTTCCTTAGCCTCCAGAGTAGCTGAGATTACAGGCGCCCGTCACCACGCCCAGCTAATTTTTGTATTTTTAGTAAAGACAGGTTTTCACCATGTTGGTCAGGCTGGTTTCAAACTCCTGACTTAGGTGATCTGCCCGCCTTGGCCTCCCAAAGTGCTAGGATTATAGACGTGAGCCACCACACCCAGCCAAGAGGTGAAAATTCTTATGGAACCATCCATGCGTGGGACCCTATGGTCCAGATTGTGAGCATGGTTCCTCCAAGACAGAGCTTTTGTTTCCAGGTAGGAAGACAGAACCTTAAATGTGTCTTGGCCTTGAGGTGAATTTTTACAGCAGGAAGGTTTCTTGAGATTCATCATTACTTACAGATCTTCCCAGTGCTACCCAGTGATATTTATTGGTAACGTCTGTTGACTCATCAACCTGAATAAGGAAGCTATTGTTTTCCAGTTCATTACGCAAAATTCTTCAGCATCACAGGAAAGGAATATAAACTTTTTCCTCTGCTCCTTTAGGTTCATTGTCTGGGGCACTGAAGATTAGACTGATGAAAGACAGATTAACAGGAGAAAAGACATACAAATTTTATTTGATCTTAATCTTTATATATAAGGGCCTTCCTGGAAAAGAAGTGAAGAGCCAAATAAGCAGATAGATCTGAGAGCTTATATACCATCTTCAACAAAGAGCAATAAATTGTGGAAAAGTGACAAGACAAAGGACTTTTTTTTAAGAGAGATGGGGTCTTGCTATGTTGCCCAGGTTGGCCTGGAACTCCTGGCTTCAAGCAATCCTCCCACCTCAGTCCTGAGTAGTTGTGACTACAGGTATAGCCACCACACCAGCAGGAAAAGGGTTTTAAGCTTCTAGGGGCTGCCCTCTGTGGGATCATAGACATATGGGGAAAGTAATGGAAGATAAGGGTTAATTTAGTAAGGTTGGTTTGTGCAGGTCCATCTTGGTGCCAACTTTCTGTTTTCTTCATGGTCATAAAATGTCCCTGGGAGAGGAGATTTATGGCAGTTCTCATTTCTCAGGCATTTCTGCTTTTAGTCAGATAGGGAAAGCCCCAGGAAGGTTCTCTTTGCATCTGCTAATTCTCAAATGCCTTCAGCTCAAAATAATTCATATGCCACAGTGGCATATTTTGGGGTAGCATATTCCAATCCTCTTCCACATCATGTGACATGTCATCACTATGTTGAGCTATACTGTTGAAAGTGGAACCTTGTCAACTTCTTATACTGCATCTTATCTTGTCGTTTTACTCACTGTAATTTTACATGCTGGCCTAATGAGATTCTCACCAATGGTGTGACTTTTCCTTTTTTGAGCAATTAGTCCAGCTAGTAAATAAGTTGCTGTAAGCCTTTCCACTGAATGTGATTATCTTTTCTTTTCATTCTTTCTTTCTTTCTTTTTTTTTCTTGCGAGAGCTTTCCCTGTTTGGAATTTCCAATAGTCATTTAAAAAACATCAGCACTTTTACTATTAAATGGCTGTGATTTGTAGGTAGGTTCTTTTCCAATTTTTTGGAGCCACTGCTGTATTTGTAAGATGACACTCAACATATAACAGACTAGGCCAACTTGAATTACCAGACCACCTAAAACTCATCAACAAGTAACTTTGATTGTTACTTTTTGGTGCATCCTTAATCATATTAATGCTGAATCATGAAATGACTCAGAAGGTTGTAATTAGCTTTAATCAGAATTATTCACAGGTATAAGCCTATGAATACTGCTCTTCCATTTAGTATATTTTCCTTAAAAACTGCTACATTTAACCATCAGACTTTAAAAAACACCAACAAACATGAACAGAGGGCATAATAAATATTAGACGAGAATTGCAAGCAAAAGTTAATAAGTAATAATACAGTTCACTTCTACCCTGCACAATCCATGTGTTGCAATGTTTACAGCAGCAAAACAACAGGAATGGGCAGCTGAGTCACAGTGCATTAAAATTCTTCTTTTAGAATGAAACTTTCACTCCAGTTTTCCAACGGCGAGAGCTTATTTACTGCTGTCAGTCATGGCATCCGAGAGGAGATTGGGGGACTGAGGTGATTCGGTATGCAGAGGGTGATGTCTCAGCCCACTGTGGCACATGCATTCTGGAACTCCTCTGTCCCATAGAGACTTCAAACATTTATTGTCCACCCCCCACACTGGAACATAAGGTTTGGTGATGTGCAAAAGCAGGTCATCCCTGTCCACAAACACTTAACGCTTAGTGTACTTGTGTATTTTAAACTTGATTCTTTAAAATGCTACAATTTTCTATCCACAAAGACGGATACTCTGTCAAAGGATTTTGCCTTGCAGATTTTTTCTATGTAAACAGATATATTAGTCTGTTTTCACACTGCTGAAAAAACATACCCAAGACTGGGAAGAAAAAGGCTTAATTGGACTTACAGTTCCACATGGCTGGGGAGGCCTCAGAATCATGGCAGGAGGCAAAAGGCACTTCTTACATGGTGGCGGCAAGAGAAGATGAGGAAGAAGCAAAAGCAGAAACCCCTGATAAACCCATCAGATCTCATGAGACTTATTCATTATCATGAGAATAGCATGGGAAATACCGGTCCCCATGATTCAATTACCTCTCCCTGGGTCCCTCCCACAACATGTGGGAATTCTGGGAGATACAATTCAAGTTGAGATTTGGGTGGGGACACAGCCAAACCATATCATTCTTCCCCTGGCCCCTCCAAATTTCTGTCCTCACATTTCAAAACCAATCATGCCCTCCCAACAACCCCCCAAAGTCTTAACTCATTTCAGCATTAACCCAAAAGTCCACAGTCCAAAGTCTCACCTGAGACAAGGCAAGTCTCTTCCACCTATGAGCCTGTAAAATCAAAAGCAAGCTAGTTACTTTCTAGATACAATGAGGGTATAGGTATCAGATAAATAGAGTCATTCCAAATGGGAGAGACTGGTCAAAACAAAGGGGTTCCTGGGCCCGTGCAAGTCCAAAATCCAGCAGGCAGTCTAATTTTGAAGGTCCAAAATGATCTCCTATGACTCCAAGTCTCACATCCAGGTCACGCTGATGCAAGAGATGGATTCCCATGGTCTTGGACAGCTCCACCCCTGTGGCTTTGCAGGGTACATCCTCCCTCCCAGCTGCTTTCATGGGCTGGCATTGAGTGTCTGTGGCTTTTCCAGGTGCACAGCGCAAGTTGTCAGTAGATCTACCATTCTGGGCCCTGGAGGATGGTGGCTCTCTTTTCACAGCTTTGCTAGGCAGTGCCCCAGGAGGGAGTCTGTGTGGAGGCTCTGACCTCACATTTCCCTTCTGCATTGCCCTAGCGAGGTTCTCCATGAGGACCCCACCACTGCAGCAAACTTTTGCTTGGGCATCTGGGCATTTCCATATATCTTCTGAAATCTAGGCAGAGGTTGCCAAACAATTCTTGACTTCTGTGCACTTGCAGGCTCAACACCATGTGGAAGTTGCCAAGGCTTGGGGCTTCCACCCTCTGAAGCCACAGCCCGAGCTGTGTGTTCGCCCCTTTCAGCCACAGCTGGAGGGGCTGGGACGCACAGCACTGAGTCCCTAGGCTTCACACAGCACAGGGACCCTGGCCCTGGCCCACAAAACCACTTTTTCCTCCAGGGTCTCTGGGCCCGTGATGGGAGGGGCTGCCATGAAGGTCTCTGACATGGCCTGGAGACATTTTTCCCATGGTCTTGGGGATTAATATT